>NC_000003.12:56676666-56979696 GCF_000001405.40 Homo sapiens
AATGTTAGTCTACATAAAAGAAATTTTCATTAGTTAAGCTACCCAATACAATTTCTACCATTAATCTAATCGTAAGTAAAAAATTAGTCAAATCATGAATCTGCATAAAAGTTCACATCCAAATTATTCTCAAAGTACTTAACATTTCCAGTTGACTCTAAAGCAATGTCCAAGTCATGTCCAATGTACTAAAAATGACAGCTGACAGGAAAAAAATTATTGCAAATGAAAAGGAAAAAGCATTTTAGCTTTAACAATAAATATCTGTATCCTAATTATTTTGTATTGCAAATGCCTCAGTGGCTTCGTTAGGCCGGTTATAATTTCTCATTTTTTCTGGTGATAATTTCTAAGATAATAAAATTATCCTGCAACTATTTTTAAGGATTTCAAGTCAACTTGCTGCTAACAGCAGTTCAGAAAATTTATTAAGTTCATGTTCTGAATGTACATTTTCTGGTAGTCTATTTTATGTCCTCAGAGGTCATTTAACACTACATGTATCTCGATCAATGTATCCTGTCACTCCTTTTAAAGAAAATATTTAAGTCAAAAATCTCAATTATGGGTCACTATTTGAGGTAGTAATAATAAACAACCCTGTGTCTATCCAAATAGGGAAAGCATTATGTATATGAATTATCCATTTCACTCAGGGAACTCAGTATTCAATACACTGTTCTCTAGATTGACAGTTACTGTCTAACCATTAGTGGTTAAGTACCACCTTCAATACTGTACTAAGAGCTTTACATATATCATCTCAATCATCAAAACTACACTATGAAGTTCAACATGCCCGTTTCTCAATTGAAACTGAGACAAGTAGCCTTTTGAGTTGGCCCAAGGTTACAGGGTTAATGAATGAATCAAGCTGCTGGGATTCAAATTCAAGTGGTTAAGCTCCCTTTCTTGTATCCTGAAATATATGATGTGTGTGTGCATATGGGTATTAGACATACAATGTCCAATCATGTCAAGAGCTGGAAAAATGACTGTTTCCTCACTTTATAGACTAGAAATCATATACAACACTTAGACACAGGAAGTTAATATAAAAGAACAAAGAATTTCGTTCTAATACTGCTCTTTCTACCTTCCTATCTTCTCTCAAATTTCTTAATTTTTTCTGATTTTAATTTTCCTCTAGAGACAACAGGGCCAAGAGTCGTAACACCCTTTGTTTTATAAAGGTTAACAGCAGTAGCAATAGAAGTTCTTTCACACATTAAGAAATGTGTAATTTTGCTTATTTGATCGATTTCCATTAAATGCCTGTCAGAAGAACAGCTAAGTTGATTACTGATCACACAAGGTTTCCCTACTTACAAATTATAGATGTATTTTACGAGACTGAAGAGCAGATTTACAAGGGCACTTAGAGATTTATAATTCAAACGAGGAAACTGATAGTATCATAGAATTTCAACTGGAATTCAAATTTCCTGACTCTTAGCCATACTATCATCAAATATTTTTTATTACTAGTATCATACAAAACACACTTATGATTTTTTTTTTTTTTTTTTTTTTGAGATGGAGTTCTGCACTGTTGCCCGGGCTGGAGTGCAGTGGCGCGATCTTGGCTCACTGCAACTTCCACCTCCTGGGTTCAAGCTATTCTCCTGCCTCAGCCTCCCGAGCAGCTGGGATTTCAGGCACCCACCACCAGGCCCAGCTAATTTTTTGTATTTTTAATAGAGTCAGGGTTTCACCACGTTGGCCAGGCTGGTCTCAAACTCCTGACCTCGTGATTCGCCCACCTCGGCCTCTCAAAGTGCTGGGATTACAGACATGATCCACCATGCCCAGCCCACACTCAAGATTTGAAGGTTGTATTTATAAAGGCAGTGGGCATTGATATATAATTTAGGTCATCAAACAGCTTTGTTCCTTAATCAAAAGAACATCTTCATCAATTAGTTTTACCAATTTGTTTGGTGTTAAGGCAGATCTTTTTGTATTATGTATACATGTATCACAAAAAATATTATCATATATACATAAATTTAAAAAAGCTAAACTTAAAAGACATATCATTCCTATCAAAACATACAAATGGGGCTGGGCGTGGCGGCTCATGCCTGTAATCCCAGCACTTTGGGAGGCCAAGGAGGGCGGATCACTTCAGGTCAGGAGTTCCAGACCAGCCTGGCCAACATGGCAAAATCCCACCTCTAAGGAGAATACAAAAATTAGCTGGGCGTGGTGGCACATGCCTGTAATCCGAACTACTGGGGGAGGCTAAGGAAGGAGAATCCTTTGAACCTAGGATGCAGAGGCTGCAGTCAGCCGGGATCGCAACACTGCATCCCAGCCTGGGCAACAGAGGCTCTGACTCCAAAAAAAAAAAAAAAAAAGACATACAAATGGGTCATACGAAGTACAAATAAACAATTGTCTGATTTAAAGTAACTAATACATAGAAGATGACGAAATAATTAGCAAGAAGAGGCTGAGGATCTGAAATTTTCTGAATTCACAGCTGACGCCTATTAATGATTATAATACAACCACTCTCCATCCATTTGTTCTTCACAGTAAGATCTTTTTTTAAAATCACTTTTCTTCATTCTAAAAAAAATTACCACAGACAATACTTTAGGAGTGGGTACTTCATCTCTACATCAACAAGGTTGAACATAGTGTACAATTAGAAATGAATATGCTGGCAGGAATCAAGAGTACAAATACGAAACAAAGTTTTTTGGACTGAGGATAGCTCAAAGTAAATTTTACCTTGATTACTTTGCTATTATGTATGGAGAGAGCTATTGTTCTCAGAACCCACTCATCCATATACAACTAATGAAATACCATGGAAATTTCCTTAAGAATGAGACTTGGCTCCAATGACTTCAAAAAGGCAAGTGAAAATTTTGTGGGGGAAGATGGAGGTTAGGAGAATTAGCCATTACTTCTGGACTAAACCAGTATGGAAATTTAGTGCATGAGCGCAATTAATTTTTGAGACTCCCTTGGACCCTACAAAAACATTAACCAATAAACGTTTTCCAGAAAGTGAATCATCGCTACTCCATTTCCCAAGAACTTTGGAGGGAAAAATTACATCAAATGCAATTACCAATTTTAATTTACTTTTTATGACTCACTAGATTTAAAGAAGGCAATAGTGAAACATCTACCAACAAAATGCAATTCTACAATTTGGTTAAATTCTATAATTTGGTTAAATGTAAGAATCATGCCTCAGCCAATAAATAACATACATCAAAAACAGTAAAATGTATACCTTTCCAGTCAAAGACGCACTTAGTATGTCAGTACCAACCAAATGTTGATAGTAAACATAATTTCTGAATGTCAAAATTCCCCAAGGATGAAAACATACTAAATATTTCTATATTTAATGAAGGGGGGGAACAGTTTTTGTTACTAACAGGTCAGGTCAAAAGCAGCTAACTTAAACCCTTAGATTATTCAAACTGGGTAGCAAGATTTTTCTTTTTTATAGTAGTAAAAGTACTCTACAACTACCTTCAAATTCCATCTCCACAACTTAGCTGTGTGACCTGAAGCAAGTTACCTAACTTCTCAGTACTTTAGTCTCCTCATCTGTAAAATGGGAATAGTACCTACCACAAAACATTGTTGAGATTTAGTCAATGTATGTAAATTGCTTAGAACAATGCCCACAACTTATTAGGCACTATACAAGTGTTTGCCAATATTATTACTCAATTACAATGGCAGTTATTTTGGATGTCACACTACTGGGAAGACCAAAAAAAGAACTTTCTGAGTCAAGTTGTATTTGCATAGCAGTGACCTTTAAGGTATTAAAATATTTAAGTCCTAATCTTAAATTTCACTGGAAAAGCACAGTCACAAGAAAAGGTCTACCATATTAAAATATGAATGCAACAGAACCTGCACTGTTTTTGAATTTTTTTAATAAAGTTGAATTTATGTATTAAATTCTATCAGCAACCACTAACTTCTCTCAGCTTGAACAAGATAAAATTCATGGTGGTAAAATAGCTGCTTATTTAATTTTTTAAAGTTCTATTTAAATCGCTATTTTACTATTTGAACAGCTGGTGTTCAGGGTATAAATAATTACACAAGTTAAAAATTGCTCATTTTCACTAATCATGACAAAGTCCACTGCGATATATTTTCCTCCCAACTTTTGTCTGTAAGTAAAAATGGAAAATACAAGTTTTACCCAAGAGGTACAAGACTATGGGGGACAACAGCTAGATTTATATTTCCTAATCCCTCAATTATTTCCACTTTTAGTGTGTTCAGCTGAAGTCTATTTTACAACAATCTCTGGATTTTATCTAATTTTAAAAAAACACACAAACACAGTGCCTTTCCAGTTCCTACTGCCTTCCCACATTTCAAACTAAATTTTGAAGAGTTTCTAGGCCAATCTTCTGGTCCTAACAAACAGTAAAAAAAAAAAAAAAAAAATCACGGTTTGTCCATATTCTTAGGCACTTAAACCTTAAAAATAGATTTCAAACGGCTTTTATCAAGCTGTGAAGAAAAAAAATAGTTCCACCTCCTACCTCATAACCAGAGCCCATTTGAATGTACTTCCTACCTATTCTCTACCAATTGATTACACTGGGAACTTTTCTCATACAGACTATAATCATACATCTCAAATTTTAACTAAATACACGAAAAGAACTGAGTTTTGACCTTTAAAAGTATCTTTCTGAACCCTAAAATTACATTAACTCAAAAGATATTTCTAGAAACATTCCTCATGCTAATTTCCAAAGGTTAACTTCATCTTTGTCAACATGGTTTCTCACACCAAGTATTTTCTTGGCTTTGCCATCCAAACAAATGAACTTTATTTGTATTTTTCCAATAAAAGGCTCAAACAATTCCAGTAGTGCAAATGGAACTGGTGATGCTTATGGAAAGTCAGTATAATGCTACAGCCAAGACTCTGTACCAGATGGATGGAAAAGATACGGGAAAAAAACAAATCCTATTTTTTTCCAAAGTAAATAATGAAAACCTAACCATACAGTAGGGCAAAAAGGAAGTTGTCTAAATTCAGAATATCCAAAATTTACTGGATAGTTAAAAAATAATACCCCAATAACAAAAAACGATACTAATTTTGACCTCCATTAGGAATTCTGACTCCATATTAACAATATGGCATTAAGATTTTTTAAAAGTACAAGTAATTAATGTAACTGTTTCCATATGGGTTCCAAAAACTAAGACTGGACTTTTTTTTAACCTGAAGTTCTACCATCTAGAAGACCAAGTTGGTGACTCTTGAGAATAAGGTAACTTCTCATTAGTTTTTTTCCATTGGGAAATTACTGCTCCAAGAACCTACCTTTCCATTCTTTTCAAATATAAGAAAAACAATACTAAGTTCGAATTTAAAGAGAGAAAAACCTATTTAATCTAACGCTTCAAAAACAAGGGGGAAAAATCTACATGGAAATGAAGTGTGATGGAAAACAGCAGTGTGCATGGATCACATCTACTAATAGAGATTTCTAAATAAGGGAGGACGCTGACATCAAGCACATTTCAAGTAGACACACAGAACTGAAGAATTTCCACGGGGAGAAGCACTCATGGTCCTCAGAACATTGGCAATGGCCTTGGAGAAAGCCCCAGAATCCATGGCCACGGGCTATTTCCATAGCGAGACTTCTCAGAAGCATCCTTAGGAGGACACAACGGCTTCTCTGCTTTCAGGGGCTGGGAGGGAGGGGCGCCGAGCACCATCTTTCCTCTCTGGGAGCTGCAGCCTTACGGACAAGCTTCAAACCTGAGCTACTTCCAACTTCCGCGGGGAGGGGCAGCAGGGGAGCGTGGTTCCACCGCTTTCTCTCGCACCAAACGCGGCAGCTGGGCGGCCGTGGCGGTGAGGGGAGAGGCGGCCGGCGCTGCATGCGTGTTTACGTATCTCGGATGGGTGTGGGAAGAGGAGATAGAAAGATTCTAATGAAAAGATGGAGGGGAGAGAGAGAGGGGGTTGAGAAGAAGGGGAGGCACCACCTTTCTTTTCTCTGCTCTTCCTGGGGATCTGAAAACTCCTCCTAACAGGCCTTTCGGGCTCTTCGGGGCCTCTGGGCAGGGCGGCCGCGCCCGCCTCAGAGGAGTCCTGAGGCTGCTCGTGGCTGAGGCTCTGGGCGGCCTCGGCCCCCGCGTTCTCCTCACGCCCAGCGCCGCCGCTGGGCTCAGCGATGTTGAGGCCGCCGCCGCCGCCATTTTGTTGGGAGGACTCAAGCTCCGGAAGCGCCTGCTTCATCTCGTCGTCTCCGCCGCCGCCACTTTCCCAACTCGCATCCGTCGGCTGACAGGCCTCCGTCTCCACAGCAGTCGCCATCGCGCCGGCCTAAGGAGCTCTGGGAAGCTTCTGCCCACAAGGTCGACGGGTGTGGGGGGAAGGGGCGGCGGGCCAGTCTCGCCGCCGAGCTGCTCTCAGCCCACCCACCCCCTTCCCCCCGTGGCCTCAGGCTGCGCTCCCGACCTGGCAGCCTCTTGGGGGGCCCTGTAGCGGGCACCCCAAATGCGCTGCCCGGTCCTCGGAGCCGCTCCTCCCTCGGGCAGTTCTTCTGCCTTCCCCCGCCACTCAACGTGCGCGCGTCGGGGCCGGGAGGGGGCGGGGCCACCGCGGGCCACTCCACCAATGGGAGCGCGGCACCCGCCTGCGCGAGTGCGGAAATACCGCGCCGGGGGGCGGAGTTTCGGGGCGCCCGAGCCCGCCAAAAGGGGCGACCGCAACGCCCCGCGAGGACCTCGACGCCGCAGCCGTGGCCTGCGGAATGCGTGGGCCCCTGGCGATCTTCGGGTTCCCGGGGATTCCCCCGCCGCGCTGCAGGCGAGGGAGACTAGCTTGGCCTCTTCTCCGGAGCGCAGGCGTCGCCCATTTGTGGGCAAAACCCTTCCTCTGCGCACGAGTTATCTCGGCCCAAACGGGCTTCAGAGCAGTGGATGCGGGACGATCTCGGTTTTATGAACTATTTGCATGTGTACAAAAACCTGGAGAGGAGATAAAAGAATGGGCTAGGCGGTAATAGCCTAAAAGCCTCGACAGCCTTTGCGACCTGCTATTCTCACCGGATCTTGTATCTTTATGATAGATTACTCGCACCCGGCCTTCTCTTTTATCTCAGAGAGTGTGACCCAGTGTCACAGCTCCAGCAAGCACTTTCACCTGAGATCCTCTGATGGGACTTAACAACCTAGTGTTAACAGGATTTGGTTCTGGGGAGTTTGAGGGGAGGAGGCTGTTAACTTTTCCCATTTTTTTCCTTTAGTCGCACCCCCCCCCACCACACGCCATGGAGACCGCACCTGGCCTCCATTTGTTCCCTTTCTATGGTTACTTCTGTTAAAAATCTGGCCACTGATAAACCTCTAACTCCACTGTTTCTTCCACTGGAACGTTCATCAACGTTTTCCTATAGTAAATGTATATTAAAGAAAAAATAAACTTGCGGTCACATTAAAAAATACACAGCAGGTCGTCGCTCTCCCATAAAGGGAACAACTTCATAGTTAAGAGCCCTTTACATAGTGGTTTCTACCTTATCAGTATAAACTATCACGGGTTATCGTGAGTACAGCCAATATTTACTGAGTGCTTTCTACGTGCTAGACACGGACTGGACAAGTGATTTACGTGCATTGTCTCCATTTAATCCTCACAGCAACAGACATGAGGTAGATACTAGTTTGCAGAATTTGAAAGAAGCGTTGCAAGACACTGGACAAATTATGGTAACCGAAGATTTGAAACCGGGTCTATTTAACTCTCCGAGTAAGTACTTAAGCACTGCACTGACTGCTTCTCTAAGACCTAATTTTCACAGCAGCTGTGCACTTTTATTCATTTTATGGACGAAGCAACAGAGGGCTGACATTTTGTTGAGGGTCGCCAAGCAGCAGGATCAGGTTTGAGACCCAGATCTCTAGTCTCAAACTGTCTCCCAAGGAGTTTACAGACCAAATTATCATCATAATAAAGCCCCAGGCTTAAAGAGCATTCCTAAGGGCAACACGAAAGTTGGATTCTTTTGTCCTCTAATAAACATTACCACTGTTTAACAGCTGATATTAAAAAAAAATCATGAATTGCCCAACCTATTCGAAACAATTTAGTAAATCATACGAAAGAGAGTGTAAATCCATTATTAGTAAATAGTTTAAAAACACATTTTAGGCCAGGCGCAGTGGCTCACGCCCATAATCCCAGCATTTTGGGAGGCCGAGGCGGGCAGATCACCTGAGGTCAGGGGTTGGAGACCAGTCTGGCCAACATGGTGAAACCCCATCTCTACTAAAAATACAAAAATTAGCCGGGCATGGTAGCACATGCCTGTAATCCCAGCTACTCAGGAGGCTGAGGCTTGAGAATTGCTTGAACCCGGGAGGCAGAGGTTGCACTGACCTGAGATGGCACCATTGCACTCCACCCTGGGCTGAGACTTTGTCTCAAAACACACACACACATTTTAAAATATGTTTAAATGAAAAACTGAGGTCTAGGTTGAGGGAAAAATACATTATTTTAAGAAAAAGTTTTTTAGTTGGGGGAAGGGCTTTACTTGATTTAAAAGAGAGTACAGAAGATCAGAAACTCACATTGCAGTCCCAAATTGGTAACTTTCTTTTTTGTTGATTCATTGAAGGCATCCCTAAAAGCTCATTTTTATCAAATTCAAAAATAAGAATTGTAGCCAGGTGTGGCTCACGTCAAAATCCTACTTCGGGAGGTGGAGGCAAGAGAATCACTTGAGCCCAGGAGTTCAAGCCCAGACTGGGCAATAAGTGAGACCCTGTCTCTATTAAAAACAAACAAACAAAAACAACTAATTGCATGCTAATGCCACCACTTATCCACTCAAGAAAAGGCAACTCTACTTGTAAGCTCGTAGGCTATGCATAAAGCAATCACAGGTTGTTAGTAAAGAGTACCTAAAACTAAGGCTAGACAGAACCATTAGCCCTCCACAGAGGTTGAATCTTAAATTTTGTGAAGATAAAAATTGCTTCCCATTCCAAATCAACATTTATTAAAAAAAAAAAAAACTTTAATGAAATGTAGCTGGGTGTGGTGGCTGACACCTATAATCCAGCACTTTGGGAGCCAAGGCTGGAGGATCACTTGAGCCTAGGAGTTCAAGACCAGCCTTCACCATATGGTGAGACTCTGTCTCTATTTAAAAAAAATAAATAAATAATCCTAGCACTTTGGGAGGCCGAGGCAGGTGGACTTGAGGTCAGGGGTTCGAGAATAGCCTGGCCAACATGGTGAAACCCTGTCTCTACTAAAAATACAAAAATCAGCTGGGCATGGGCCAGGCGTGGTGGCTCACACCTGTAATCCCAGCATTTTGGGAGGCCGAGGCAGTTGGATCACGAGGTCAGGAGATCAAGACCATTCTGGCTAACACGGTGAAACCCTGTCTCTACTAAAAATACAAAAAATTAGCTGGGCGTGGTGGCGGGCGCTTGTAGTCCCAGCTACTCAGGAGGCTGAGGCAGGAGAATAGCGTGAACCCGGGAAGCGGAGCTTGCAGTGAGCTGAGATCATACCACTGCACTCCAGCCTGGGCAACAGCTCCGTCTCAAAAAAAAAAAAAATTAGCTGGGCATGGTGGTGGGTGCCTGTAATCCCAGCTACTTGGGAGGCTGAGGCAGGAGAAACTCTTGAACCCAGGAGGCAGAGGTTGCATTGAGTGAAGATTGCACCACTGCACTCCAGCCTGGACGACAGAGAGAGACTTCATCTCAAAAATAATCATAATAAAAGAAAAAAAATTAGTGAAATCAGATTTTCTATATTATGCCTTACAAGGTATAAAAAAATTAGGAGTCTCTAAAATATAATTTTAAATACATATTCATTTATTGTAGATAGCAAAAAAATTTCAGTTTAGCTGGAGAACATTACTAATGTTCACTATTAGAAATATTTTTTATGTATTGGGGACTAAGCACTGCTACCTACTAAGGATGTCATTTTGAAGCAAATGAACAGGGTTACCTTCTTCAAATTTGCTGTTCAGTGGGGAATGCGTCTGAAACTAGGATGTATGGTGATGGCTAAGCTGAGACCTAAAGGTAAAGTAAGGAGTCAGAAACATGAGGGGCAGAAAAGGGGTATAAATTTGCTGAATCCCACCTATTTCAGGAAAACTAACACAGTGACATACAGAAGATACCCATCTAGGTATTCATATATGTTTATGTATATAGATATCTTTGGGGGGGTGAGTACCACAGAGGCACATAGTTCTGAAGCACGAGCTACCAAAAGTTTATGCTTTTAAGTATAAAGCCTGTAGTTGTCTCCTGCTATCAGTAATGGGCAAAGCAGCAGCACAAGGAATATTAGAGAACAGTATAAAATAGTGTAAAATTAAATTTCCAGGGACCACAATTGCCTTTTAAAATTTGGAAACATAAAAATAATCAATTTCAACTCCACAATTTAAAAATAGGAAAAGAGAGGCTGGGCACGGTGCCTCACGCCTGTAGGCCGTGAGCACTTTAGGAGGCCAAGGCAGGTGGATCACTTGTGGTTAGGAATTCGAGATCAGCCTAGCCAACATGGTAAAACCCTGTCTCTACTAAAAATACAAAAGTTAAGGCCGGGTGCAGTGGCTCACGCTTGTAATCCCAGCATTTTGGGAGGCTGAGGCGGGCAGATCATGAGGTCAGGAGTTCGAGACCAGCCTGGCCAACACAGTGAAACCCCGTCTCTACTAAAAATACAAAAATTAGCTGATCATGGGGGCAGGCGCCTGTAATCCGAACTACTCGGGAGGCTGAGGCAGGAGAATCGCTTGAACCTGGGAGGCGGAGGTTGCAGTGAGCGGAGATCGTGCCACTGCACTCCAGCCTGGGCAACAGAGCTAGACTCCGTCTCAAAAAAAAAAAAAAAATTAACTTGGCGTGGTGGCACATGCCTATTATCCCAGGTACTCAGGAGGCTAAGGGAGGAGAATCACTTGAACCTGGGAGGCGGAGGTTGCAGTGAGCCGAGATTGTGCCATGGCACTCCAGCCTGGGTGACAGAGTGAGACTCTGTCTCAAAAAAGTAAAAAAATAAAAATAGGAAAAGACAATGACTCAAGATCATATAGCAAGCTAGTAACATTTATTGAGTACTTTCTATGTGTCAAGACACTGTTCTTTTTTTTTTTTTTTTTTTTTTGAGATGGAGTTTCGCTCTTGTTGCCCAGGCTGGAGTGCAATGGCATGATCTCTGCTCACCACAAGCTTTGCCTCCCGGGTTCAAGCAATCCTCCTGCCTCATCCTCCCAAGTAGCTGGGATTACAAGCACCCATCACCATGCCCAGCTAATTTTTGTATTTTTAGTAGAGACGGCGTTTCTCCATGTTGGTCAGGCTGGTCTCAAACTCCCGACCTCAGGTGATCTGCCTGCCTTGGCCTCCCAAAGTGCTGGGATTACAGGTGTAAGCCACTGCGCCCAGCCCAGACACTGTTCTAAGAGTGTTACAGGTGTAGTCTCATCAATGCCCAGAGAAGGTACTGATGTTATTTCCATTTACAGATGAAAAAAACTGAGGCAGAGCAGTTAATTAACTTAATGTCATTTAGAGTGTAAGTTGCAAAACCAAGATTCTAACACAGGCACTGTGCCTCCAAAGCCCCATGCCGTTAATAACCACAATATATTAAACTTCTCTTGAAACAAAATACAAAACTCAGTGCATTTTCCACTATGTCATTTCATCTCCCTTCCTCAAACAGTACTTTAAAAGACAGGATATAAATAGCATAACTCAGCAATAACTATCAATATTACTGATGCATAACCTTTTGACCTAGCAGTTCTACTTCTAGAAATGTATATGGTACAGATGTACTCATTCACATTCTAAATGTGTATTCAAGGATATTCTTTAGTGTTGTTAATAATAGCAAAGGATTGGAAATAAGTATCTATCAAAAGGTATGTCCAGTGGAATACAGCCATAAAAAGGAATGAGGCACTGATGCATGCTACAACATGAATGAACCTTGAAAACATTATGCTAAGTAAAAGAAGCCAGACACAAAAGCGATATATTATAGATTCTGTTCATATGGAAATGAAAAATAGGAAATTCCACAGAAACAGAAAAATGATTAGTGGTTACCAGGGGCTAGAGAGAAGGGGGAATGAGGACTGACTGCTAATGAGTACAGGGTTTCTTTTTGGGGTGATGAAAATATTCTGGAATTAGTGGTGGTAATTCCACAACTTTGTGGATATATTTAAAATCATTGAACTATGTACTGTATTTATTTATTTATTTATTTATTTATTTGAGATGAGTCTCACTCTGTCACCCAGACTGGAATGCAGTGGTGCCATCTTGGCTCACTGCAACCTCTGCCTCCTGGGTTCAAGTGATTCTCCTGCCTCAGCTTCACGAGTAGCTGGGATTACAGGCACCTGCCATCACACCCAGCTAATTTTTGCATTTTTAGTAGAGATGAGGTTTCGCCATGTTGGCCAGGCTAGTCTTGAACTCCTGACCTCACGTGATCCACCCACCTCGGCCTCCCCAAGTGCTGGGATTACATGCGTGAACCACCACATCCGGCTGAACTATATACTTTAAAAAGATGAATTTTATAATATGTGAATTATATCTCAAGGTGGTGGGGAGGACTAGGCATTCCTTGAGGTCAGAGACTCCAAGCAGCAGAAACTCTCTCCTGTTGCTGGGTTTGAACAAACAAGCTGCCATGAGTTTTATAGCTGCCAACAACTTGAAGGAATTTGGGAGCGAACCCTTTTGTAGTTGAGTCTCCAGGTGAGAATGCAGCCCAGCTGCATGATTCTAGCCTTGTGAGACTCTGAGCACAGACCCCAGCTAAGCCATGCCTGGACTTCTGACCTGCAGAAACTGTGAGCTAATACAGTATTGTTCTAAGCCACCAGGTTTGTGTTAGTTGTTATGCAGTAATAGAAAACTAATACAGAGGTCACAATATGCCTGGCATTTTCTTTTTCTTTCTTTCTTTTTTTTTCTTTTTTTTTTTTTTTTTTTTGAGAGGGGTCTTGCTCTGTCACCCAGGCTGGAGTGCAATGACACAATCTCGGCTCACTACAACCTCCACCTCCCAGGTTCAAGCAATTCTTCTGCCTTGGGCTCCCGAGTAGGTGGGATTACAGGCACACGCCACCAGGCCCAGCTAATTTTTGTATTTTTAGTAGAGACGGGGTTTCACCATGATGGCCAGGCTGGTCTTGAACTCCTGACATCAGGTGATCTGCCTGCCTCGGCCTCCCAAAGTGCTGGGATTACAGGCGTGCACCACTGCGCCCAGCCATGCCTGGCATTTTCTAAGTGCTTGCCTGGCATTTTCTAAGTGCTGTGTGTGTGTGTGTGTGTGTGTGTGTGTGTGTGTGTGTGTGTTTTTGAGACGGAATCTCGCTCTGTCGCCCAGGCTGGAGTGCAGCAGCGCGATCTCACCTCACTGCAACCTCTTGCCTCCCAGGCTCAAGCGATTCTGCTGCCTGCCTCAACCTCCCAAGTAGCTGGGACTACAGGCGCGATGCCATCACACCCGGCTATTTTTTTGTGTTTTTAGTAGAGATGGGGTTTCACCATGTTAGCCAGGATGGTCTCGATCTCCTGACCTCGTGATCTGCCTACCTCGGCCTCCCAAAGTGCTGGGATTACAGGTGTGAGTCACCGCGCCCGGCCAGTGCTTTGTATATTTTAACTCATTTGATTTTCACAACAACGCTATGAGGTAAGTACTCACATTATTCCCATTTTTCTAATAAAGAAGCTCATTAGGTGCTAAGTGTTTAAAAAAAAAACTGGCTGGGTGCAGTGGCTCACATCTGTAATCCCAGCACTTTGGGAGGCCAAAGGCAGGTGGATCACAAGGTCAGGAGTTCAAGACCAGCCTCGCCAACATAGTGAAACCCCATCTCTACTAAAAATACAAAAATTAGCCAGGCATGGTGGTGCACGCCTGTAATCCCAGCTACTCGGGAGGCTGAGGCAGGAGAATTGCTTGAACCCAGGAGGCAGAGATGGCAGTGAGCCAAGATCACACCACTACACGCCAGCCTGGGTGACAGAGAAAGACTCCATCTCAAAAAAAAAAAAAAACAAAAAAAAAAACGAAAAACAAAAAACAAGGCGCAGAACAGGATGAATAGAGGGTTAGTATTTATATCAAAAAATGGGAAATACAGTGAAATATATACAAATATTTACATCTATTTGCATAAAACTTTACTGGAAGTCTACATAAGTAGCTAGCAATATTGATTGCCTATGGAAAGGGAACAGGGGCTAGAAGATAGAGATGGGAGAGACTTTTCCCTCTATGTCCTTTCATACTTTTCATGTAAAAGACAGGTTAAAAAAAAATATATATATATATATATTCTTTTTTTTTTTTTTGAGACAGGGTCTCCCTCTGTCATGTCATGGCTCACCCAGCCTTGACCTCGTGGGCTCCAATGATCCTCCTGCCACAGCCTCCGAGTAGCTGGGACTACAGGTGTGTACCACCATACCTGGCTAATTTTCTTATTTTTTGTAGATATTGGGGTCTTACTGTGTTGCCCAGACTGGTCTCAAACTCCTAGGCTCAAGCAATCCTCCTGCCTCAGCATCCCAAAGTGCTAGGATTATAGGCATAAGCCACCATGCTTGGCCAAAAGATGTGATTTTTGATGCTCACATATATCTTGAGCCTTGTAGGTCACACAGCTAGGAGGCTTTTTGTTTTTTAACATTTTCATTTAAAGACAGTAGTAAAGATAATAAAGTCCAGTCAACAAAAAAGTACCACTAACATCTAATTCATAGAACTTTAAGGATCTTAATTAGTTTGATTCATTTTATGGATGAAGAAAATATTACAAGGTTACAACTCCACTGTCCATTCAGATGCATTAAAAAATGTGAAATTGTCATTCCCTCCATATATTGAGCAACAATAATTCTACTTCCAAGGAGTCATCCTCTTTCCCCAAAGGGTTTTTCTGGTTACTCATTGAGCAAATATTTCTTAGGTGTGTCCTAGTGAGAGGTGACAGCGTGCTAGCAGTCCTCACAGCCCTCACTGGCTCTGGGCGCCTCCTCTGCCTGGGCTCCCAATTTGGCGGCACTTGAGGAGTCCTTCAGCCCACCGCTGCACTGTGGGAGCCCCTTTCTGGGCTGGCCAAGGCCAGAGCCAGCTCCCTCAGCTTGCAGGGAGGTGTGGAGGGAGAGCCGCAAGCGGGAACCCGGGCTGCCCGCGGCGCTTGCTGGCCAGCTGGAGTTCCGTGTGGGCGCGGGCTTGGCGGCCCCACACTCGGAGCAGCCGGCCGGCCCTGCCGGCCCCGGGCAATGAGGGGCTTAGCACCCGGGCCAGTGGCTGCGGAGGGTGTAGTGGGTCCCCCAGCAGTGCCAGCCCACCGGCGATGCGCTCGATTTCTCACCCGGCCTTAGCTGCCTTCCCACGGGGCAGGACTCAGGACCTGCAGCCCGCCATGCCTGAGCCTCCCACCCCCTCCATGGGCTCCTGTGCTGACCCGAGCCTCCCCGATGAGCGCCGCCCCCTGCTCCACGGCGCCCAGTTCCATCGACCACCCAAGGGCTGAGGAGTGCGGGCGCAAGGGGCGGGACTGGCAGGCAGCTCCACCTGCAGCCCCAGTGCGGGATCCACTGGGTGAAGCCAGCTGGGCTCCTGAGTCTGGTGGGGACGTGGAGAACCTTTATGTCTAGCTCAGGGATTGTAAATACACCAATCGGCACTCTGTATCTAGCTCAAGGTTTGTAAACACACCAATCAGCACCCTGTGTCTAGCTCAGGGTTTGTGAATGCACCAATCGACACTCTGTATTTAGCTACTCTGGTGGGGCCTTGGAGAACCTTTGTGTCCACACTCTGTATCTAGCTAATCTAGTGGGGACGTGGAGGACCTCTGTGTCTAGCTCAGGGATTGTAAACGCACCAGTCAGCGCCCTGTCAAAACAGACCACTTGGCTCTACCAATCAGCAGGATGTGGGTGGGGCCAGATAAGAGAATAAAAGCAGGCTGCCCTAGCCAGCAGTGGCAACCTACTCGGGTCCCCTTCCACACTGTGGAAGCTTTGTTCTTTCGCTCTGCAATAAATCTTGCTACTGCTCACTCTTTGGGTCCACACTGCTTTTATGAGCTGTAACACTCACTGCGAAGGTCTGCAGCTTCACTCCTGAGCCAGCGAGACCATGAACCCACCAGAAGGAAAAAACTCCGAACACAGCCGAACATCAGAAGGAACAAACTCCAGACGTGCCACCTCAAGAGATGTAACACTCACCGCAAGGGTCCGCGGCTTCATTCTTGAAGTCAGTGAGACCAAGAACCCACCAATTCCGGACACACTAGGGAAGCCTGAAAAAGACCCTCTTAATTTGGCAAGAAACCATGTTGAAGTTGATTCCTGGTTAATGACTGGAAGAAAAACTTCCATGCAATGAGGAGAAGCAACAAAAGGGAGAAATTCAATTGAAAAAAAGAATATAGTTAGCAATGAACAAGAAGCAAGTGTCCTCTCACCAACACAGCTGACTCTGGTAACCACAAACCTCAGCTAAACCCAGAAGTCAAGAGCTGTCACTTAAGTTTTGTTTCATTTCTGAGTGAAACCCTTCTAAGACTTTATTACATGCAATGCCATGGATTAATGTCATAGACATAATGTTAAATGAAAGACGTACTGTATGATCCCATTTACATGATGTTCAAGGACAGACAAAAATAATCTATGGTAATAAAAGAATTGTGGTTCCCTTGTGGGGGTGAAGATGTACTGTATGATCCCATTTACATGACGTTCAAGGACAGACAAAAATAATCTATGGTAGTAAAGGAATTGTGGTTCCCTTTTTGGAGTGGGGGTGGTAGGTAATTGACTCAAAGGGGACATGAAGGAACTTTCTGGAATGATGGAAATGCTCTGTATCTTGATCTGGGTGGTAGTTATACAGACAGGGGCATACACATATAAGTATTCATTGAACTGTATGCATAGAGTTGCATTTTATTCTGTGATGTTATTCTTCAATTAAATAAACAAAAACAAAACTTTTCTATGGATTCTCATTATTCCAGGGACAAAGATAAGAATTCTTCATGTGGGCAATGGACCCTTACTGATTCTGACCTTTGCCTGCCTTTCCATCTTGCACTTCACTTCCCTAAGCTCCTCCTTGGTTCTTCCTATGTCTGGCACACTTGCCAAACTCCCTGGCCATGCAATCAACCTCAGCACATGATATGTTTCCTGTGTGGGATGTTATTCTTCCCCGTGCCACCCTCTTCTCCAGTTCCAGTAAGCTACTGCACTTCCTTTGGCTGAAGCTTCACTTCCCTGTGTGAACTTCTTTCATAATCGGCCCCCCATTCTAGGTCGAGTTCCCCATTGGATGCTCTTACAGAATTTTGCTCCTTTTACTCAGACCATTTACCTCCCAATTTCCTCAATTTGTAATTACTCCCTCATTTGTGGGACTATTTAATTAAATCTGTCTCTCTCACTACAGTCTGTGCCATACCATGGACTGAGGGTCAATGTCTGGGTTCTGCTTACCATGGTATCCCCAGGGCTCACCACAGTGCCTGGAACACAGTAAGTGTTTACTAAATATGTTTTTGGGCCGGGCGCAGTGGCTCACGCCTGTAATCCCAGCACTTTGGGAGGCCAAGGCAGGTGGATCACGAGGTCAGAAGATCAAGACCCTCCTGGCTAACAGGGTGAAACCCCATCTCTACTAAAAATACAAAAAAAAAAAAAAAAACTTAGCCAGGCGTGGTGGCGGGCACCTGTAGTCCCAGATACTTGGGAGGCTGAAGCAGGAGAATGGCGTGAACCTAGGAGGTGGAGCTTGCAGTGAGCTGAGGTCACGCCACTGCACTCCAGCCTGGGCGACAGAGCTAGACTTAAATAAATAAATAAATATGTTTTTGACTCCTGAGGATAAAGTGACTATCTGATATTCTCTGGCAGAAAAATTGTTGATGTCTCACATTACGTGATTTGGATTTATCCCCATTAAATGTTTGGTATATCTTGCTTTAAGCAAACTGAATCCATTATATGGAAATCTGTATTTATTCAAAATATAAATTAGAGTGCATGTACTCAAATGCCTGTTACGAGATTTATACAAGTTCCAGGTGTTTTTTACTGCATTTGAAAAATAGATGAGCTTCATTTGCCAAATTCAAGCCTAGTTGAAATCAATAGGGTTTAAGAATTGGAAGTGATGGTTTTCTTCTATCAGCTGACTGGCCAGTATAGACGCAGTTATAGAGTCATTTACACCACTGCCATTATCATCTGAACAAAGATCTAAATTTATACTAACTTCACGTTGTGGTTGGTGGAGCTCTGTAAGTAAGAAGGAGGCTGGTGCCAACAATCCAAGTTACACAAAGAGAAAAAAAATGCTCAAGAGGAAGTGGTACACTACAAAAGTGCAAACGTAGGTGGAATGTGTGAAAAAAAAAATTTTCAAATTAAAAGTGTCTTCGATTTTATGTTTTTATGATAAAAGAGGCCAAAAGAAAGTTGTCTGGAACTTCCTATTTTCAAGATAACCCATCTCAGCACTCAATTTGGAAGACAGTGAATAAGTTGGAGGAAAAGAAGTAACAATACAGAGAGAACATGTGAATAACACCTTGCAATTTACCAAATGCTTCACTTATTCTCTCAACCTGCTACCAGGCCCTAAGATGGGCTTCTGAGGTTACAGCTGTAAACAAGCAGATCCATCCTGACCCTGTTTGTTTTCTGATGCTTCTATACCCATTGCCTCATTTAATCTTCCCAGCATTGTCAGAGAAACATTGTTACATTTGTCAGATGAGGAAATGGTAACTTAACTGCCTTGCTCAAGGAAACATCACCAGTAAGTGAGGGAACAGGACTCAGATTTGCCTCCTAAATCTAATTGCAAACCCTTGCAACTACCCCAGTTCTACTTGCTTATAGGCCTCTGGGATGGCTACTTTGTTAATCAAGACTCTCAATGGAAATCAAGAAAAATTACAAAGTTACCCACTGGGCATTTTAATCATTCCTCTATGTATCATTTCTCTCCCTTGTTTTGTCCTTTCATTTTTCTGAGTGAACAGGAATATTCCCACCAACTCCCTTAAAAACACAAGTTTCTTCACTAATTTCTCGTAGCTCCTACAGATTTATATATGATTTCTGGGCAGACAGAAGTAATCAAAGTCATCCAATTTCTTTGGCTGACCAATAACTAAATTGAGAGCTGCTTCCCTTTTAAGTCACATGATTCAGGTTATTGTTTTATTATTTGGTGCTTCATAGTACCAGAAAGGTATTCAGACTTAATTTTGGACATTTTCTCCCCAGTCCATAAAAGCCTGGTAATAAAAAGATATTTGACATGACCTTTTGCTATATGGTTGGTGCTACAAAATGCTGATTTTAAGAGAAATTAGCAAAAGTACATCAACATATGAAGAGATGAACAAGATATCTTACATTTATACAATGGAATATTATTTGTCCATAAAAAGGAGTGAAGAACTGATACATCCTGCAACATGGATGAACCTGGAAAATACTGTGCTAAGAAAAAGAAGCCAGTCACAAAATGCTGCATATGGTATGATTCTGTTTATAGGAAATGTCCAGAACAGGGAAATCAATACAGACAGAAATTAGATCAGTGGTTTCCTAGGGCTAGGTTAATGAGGGAATTTGGGGATGATAGCTAAAGGGTACAGGTTCTTTTTAAGGTGATGAAAATGTAGTTGCATAATTCTGTGATTATCTTAAAGACGATTGAATTGTATGCTTTAAGTCAGTGAATTGTATGGTGCATGAATTATATCAATGAAACTTTTTTTTTTCATGTCTGACGGGTAATGTGCTGAAATTTATGAACTACCAAAGGATCTAAAACCGGTTTTTTATTATTTTTTATTTTTATTTATTTATTTAATTTTTTTGAGACGGAGTCTTGCTCTGTAGCCCAGGCTGGCATGATCACAGCTCACTGCAAACTTGAACTCCTAGCCTCAAGTGATCCTCCCACCTCGGCCACCCAAAGTGCTGGAATTACTTACAGGCGTGAACCCCCACACCCAGCCTTAAACTGTTTTTTAAAAAAGGAGGTTGATATAGTGTTCCACTAATAGCTTGGGGGAAATTCTTTCTCAGGTATATAATACAGGAAGTTATTTGACAGGCAACTATGCTTAAATTTATGTTAATTGTGTAGAAAGAACTGAGTAAATCATTTCCTGTTTTCTCTCCACCTGCCCCCACCAAAAAAAGAAAAGAAAAAATTCTAAATTTGACCAATACAATAATAGCAAGATAACGCAAAGATTACAATGGGATATGGCCTGGGTCAATTAAAGCACCAGCAATTGGCATTGGACCCTCCACCTTATGCATGTCTATATCCAGCCATGATGTGAATATGTGAGTAGCAAAAGTGCTAGCTGTGTCTTTTCCTGATTTTTTTTTTTTTTTTTTTTTTTTTGAGATGGAGTTTCACTCTTGTTGCCCAGGCTGGAGTGCAATGGCGCCATCTCAGCTCACTGCAACCTCCACTTCCCAGGTTCAAGTGATTCTCCTGCCTCAGCCCCCAGAGTAGCTAGGATTACAGGCATGCGCTACCACGCCTGGCTAATTTTGTATTTTTAGTAGAGACAGGGTTTCTCCATGTTGGTCAGGCTGGTCTCGAACTCCCAACCTCAGGTGATCCACCCGCCTCGGCCTCCCAAAGTGCTGGGATTCCAGGCGTGAGTTACCGTGCCTGGCTCTTTTCCTGGTTTTTATATTTTAATGATTCGTATTAGAGTTAATTCACATTAACCCTCTTCAAAAAGAACATTAAACCTAAAGCCCAGTGACTTAACAACATTAAATATTCCAGATTCTTTTCCCCAAAAAGTTCCATTTCAACTCTTGGAAACAAAAAGTTAGATAATGGTTTGGCTTTAAATGCCTCATTTCAAATGTCCTTCCCCATAATACTCCCAAGTGAAAAAAATATTTTTTCCCAATTATTTTTTCATTTAATGTAAAACATTCCAGTTAAAAGAGATTCTCAAAAATAGAGCTTTACAAAAAATACGAGTTCAAGTTTCAGTACCCTACCCTTCCCCCACCCCCGGCCCAGTGGCTCTGAAAAGATAGGCAATTAATAATAAGTTTTTTCCTAAGAAATCTTTGGGGAACCAGCCAAGTTTAAATAGGGTAATTGGTAGGTCTATGGTTGCAATTTACATAAATTATAGAAACATAACACCAGACATTTATCTAATTGAAGAAAATGTGGTGTTCAGTTACTTATCTAGAGGAATTCTACTTGCAGTTTGTGCCATTTGGTGATTAGTCCATTCTCTTGAGAATCTGAGTTGCTCTAGAGACAGAATATATGATAATAATGGTCCAAAAAATCAGTTTTGCTTACTTAGCAACAACAAAAAATATATATTAAAAATAAAATACTATTCATATACATTTCCTTGATAAAAATAGTATTGAAATAGTATAAATCCATAATTCCTTTAGAAGATGCTTATCCACATTCCTGTTAGAGATGTGGAGTAGTTAACACTCACCAGATGATGCTCTCCTTCCTTCCTTCCTTCCTTCCTTTCTTTCTCTTTCTTTTTTTTTTTTTTTTTTGAGATGGAGTTTTACTCTTGTCGCCCAGGCTGGAGTGCAATGGCATGATCTCGGCTCACTGCAACCTCTGCCTCTTGGGTTCAAGTGATTCTCCTGCCTCAGCCTCCCGAGTCTGGGACTACAGGTGTGCGCCACCACACCCTGCTGATTTTTGTAGTTTTAGTAGAGACGGGGTTTCACTATGTTGGCCAGGCTGGTCTCGAACTCCTGACATCAGGTGATCCACCTGCCTCAGCCTCCCAAAGTGCTGGGATTACAGGTGTGAGCCACCGCACCCGCCAATGCTCTCCTTTCTTTCAGTGCTAAAGAACTCTTCACTCTCTTAATCAATCTGTTATTACAAGTCCTATGGCCCTTTGTTGAATTTCTGTTTACTAGAAATATAATAAGCAACGTAAGATATTTAATTTTGTCAAAGTCGTTCCAAATCTCTTATACTAAATAAGTATAAAGATACTATATATGTATATATATATGTGTATATATGTGTGTGTGTGTATGTGTGTGTGTGTGTGTGTGTGTGTGTGTGTGTATATATATATATATATATATTTTTTTTTTTTTTTTTTTCCACCCAGGCTGGAGTGCAGTGGTGAGATCACAGCTCACTGCAGCCTTGACATCTCTGGCTCAGGTGATCCTCCCACCTCAGCCTCCCAAGTAGCTGGGACCACAGGCATGCACCACCACCCGGGCTAATTTGTATTTTTTGTAGAGATGGGATTGTGCAATATTGCCCAGGTTGGTCTGGAACTCCTGGGTTCAAGTGATCTGCCTACCTTGGCCTCCCAAAGTGCTGGGATTCCAGGTGTGAGCCACCATGCCCAGCCTGATAATAAGCAAAATTCCACTTCCCTAGTGCTACAGACTAAATTTTTATGTCCCACCCAAATTCATATGTTGAAACTCTTAGGATTTCACCATCCTTGATAATTGTCAGATAAAGAAGTAGGACCTTTGGGAGGTAACTAGGTCATGAGGGTGGAGCCCTCATGCATGGGATTAGCGTCTTTATAAAACAGACTTCAGAGAGCCCCTTTACCCCTTTAGCCATGTGAGGACGCAGTGGAAAGATGGCTGTCCACGAATGAGGGAGTGGTTCCTCACCAGACACTGGATCTGCCAGTGCCTTGATGTCAAACTTCCCACCCTCTAGAACTGTGAGAAATAAGTGTTTGTTGTTTATAAGCCACCAGCAATATGGTACTCTGTTACAGCAGCCCAAACTGACTAAGACATCTATTTCTTACCTGAAGGAGTTTGAAGTGGGGTCAAATGCAAGTTTTACATTCTTTTAAATGTAAAAGCCTGGGCGCAGAGGCTCATGCCTGTAATCCCAGCATTTTGGGAGGCTGAGGCAGGCGGCCATCACGAGGTCAGGAGTTCGAGACCAGCCTGACCAACATGGTGAAATCCCTGTCTCTACTAAAAATACAAAAATTAGCCGGAAGTGGTGGTGTGTGCCTGTAATCCCAGCTACCTAGGAGGCTGAGGCAGAAGAATTGGTTGAACCTGGGAGGCGGAGGTTGCAGTGAACCGAGATCACGCCACTGCACTCCAGCCTGGGCAACAGAGTGAGACTCCGTCTCAATTAAAAAAAAAAAAAAGACAAAATAGCATACAATTCTGTCTCAAAGCCTCAAGTACCTTTAACTACAGTCTGTCTACAATAACCTAAGACATTCAAAAGACAGGAGAATGCTCATACCCTCATGCTGGGACACTGATAATCTGGAGCTTACTACATTGACATCACTGGCACCCACTTACTAAACACATGCAATTACTTAGCAATTAGTTCTTGAACAATTTGTGTTTGCTAAGAACTATATCTGACCCAGGGAATAAAACATAAGACACAGTTCCTGCTTGTAAATACACTAGCAAAAGAGAAGAAGACTATCTTGTAGAGACTAGCTGAGTCAGTGAATGTCAGAGATGAAGAGGAAGGGCAATGGCATGAGTGGAATTCCAGGTAGAGAAACGGTGAGAGAAAAAAAGAACAAAGATACCAATGTGAGAAACAAAAAGGTTTCTGCAGCAGGGAAGCACAGTTGGCTGTTGTGGTATACAGGATGAGGCGGCAAGTGGAGAGGCGGGCTGGTCTGAAGGCTCTAGCTGAATCACAGAACATATGCCACATTAAGGGATTTGGATTTAATCCTGATGCAAAATATAAGAAGTTAAGGATTTTAGGTAGAAGCTGACCCAATCAGTCGTGCATTTTAGACAGATCATTCTGGGTTTCTTTGTTGTTTTTAACTTTTCATTTCTTTCTCTCTTTCCTTTTTTCTTTCTCTTCCTGTCCTTTCTTTCTCCTTCCTTCCTTCTCCTTCCTTCCTTCATTCCTTCTCCTTCCTTCCTTCCTTCCTTCTTTCTTCCTTTCTTTCTTAGGGTCTCACTCGGTCACCCAGGCTGGAGTGCAGTGGCACAATCACAGATCACTGCAGCCGAAACTTCCAGGGCCCAAGCTATCCTCCTACCTCAGCTCCCCGAGTAGCTGGGACCACAGGTGTGTGCCACCACACCCAGCTAATTTTCTTATTTTTTGCAGAGACGGGAGTCTACCTGTGTTATCAGGCTGGTTTCGAACCCCTGGGCTCAAGCAGTCCTCCCACCTTGGCAACCCAAAGTGCTTGATTACAGGTGTGAGCATTCTGGTTCTCGTTATAGAAGGTGGATTTTAGGTGGATTGGAGTCAACAAAACTACTTAGGACATTGTTGCAAAAATCTAGGTAAGGATGGCTTAGAACTTCTCCATCCTTGGTCATTGTCAGCCTAGATACAAACTGAGGTTGCACTACAGTGTGAGAGAATTTCAAAGAAGCAGGAAAGAAGTAGAGATGGGTTTTACTAAAGTACTAGTAATCACAGTTACTAAAGGATGCTGTTGTTTTTCCCCCACTCCCCACCACATTCTTTTTTTAACATGTCAGTAATTTATAACTTTCTGAAAGGACCAAATAATAAACCATAAAATGATGATGCCAGGTGTTTTGTTACGTGTTTTTGTTGTTGTTGTTGTTGTTGTTTTGAGATGGAGTCTCACTCTGTTGCCAGGCTGAAGTGCAGTGGCTCGATCTTGGCTCACTGAACCTCCGCTTGCCAGGTTCAAGCGATTCTCCTGCCTCAACCTCCCAAGTAGCTGGGATTACAGGCACGCGCCACCATGCCCAGCTAATTTTTTTGTATTTTTAGTAGAGATGGGGTTTCACCATGTTGACCAGAATGGCCTCAATCTCCTGACCTCGTGATCCGCCCGCCTTGGCCTCCCAAGTGCTGGGATTACAGGCATGAGCCACCATGCCAAGGTGTTTTAATTGTTTTTGGTGTTTTGTTTTGTTTTGTTGTTTTGTTTTGTTTTTGAGACTCTGTCTCTCAGGCTGGAGTGTAGTGGCAAGATCTAGGCTCACTGAAACCTCTGGCCCCTGGGCTTAAGCAACCCTCCCACCTCAGCCTCCCAGGTAGCTGGAACTATGCAGGTGAGTACCACTGCACCCAGCTAATTTTTGTATTTTCTGTAGAGATGGGGTTTCACTCTGTGGCCCAGGCTGATCTTGAACTCCTGAGCTCAAGCAATTCACCCAGCTTGGCCTCCCAAAGTGCTAGAATTACAGGTGTTTTAAAATAAGCCAAATAAAGGATATAAACACTTCCAATTCATAATTCAGATGTAGAGGACCTTACAATAGTTAACAATTTTCAAGCTAAAAATCACATCATCTATAAAACATTATAAGTGTTTTCCTTATTGAAATGGTTTAGCGGAAGGCCGTAGGGCTTGAAATGGAGTGACGGAACACAAACATGTAAGAACAGATAAGAAGAGTGGATGGTTAGTTTAGGAAGGTTTTCCCTTTCCATTCCAAGACTAGATTCTGGCAATATCTGGTATGTCAAACTAAGATATGTAACATTTAAATACACAATATTATTTTTATTGTGAAAATAGTTTAAATATGTTTAGAATATAAAATTTGGGCTGGGCATGGTGGCTCACACCTGTAATCCCAGGACTTGGGAGGCTGAGGCGGGCGGATCACCTGAGGTCAGGAGTTCAAGACCAGCCTGGCCAACATGGTGAAACCTTGTCTCCACTGAAAATACAAAAATATAGCCAGGCATCATGTGCGTGCCTGTAATCCCTTGAACCCGGGAGGCGGAGGTTGTAGTGAGCTGAGATCTTGCCACTGCACTCCACACTGGGCAACAAAGTGATATTCCATCTCAAAAAAAAAAAAATTGTGCCAGACGCTTGCAGAACGCCTGAGACACCTCCATGAAATTCTAACAATGCATACTAAATGCTTTATAATCCTTCTGTTGAAAACCAGACATTCAAGAGCATACAGCTTAATTCCAGCAGAGGGCAGCAAAACTTCACTAAGCAGTTTTCAAAACCCTAGCAGCTTTTCTGTATTACCTAATAATATTTTTAAAATATTCCCCCAGAAGAGTTCTGTAGTTCCACAACTACAATCTCATAGTATTTGTGGAATTACAGTATTACCATACTTATATTTAGGCAGGACAGAATTCTTCCCAGAGTTCAAAGACTGCGGAAGGCTCTTAGATGGATAGGACCTGGGGCAATGCCAAGAGGGAATAAAGACGAGCCACAATGTCTTACTGGGGTCATCTGCCTGGTGGTTTTCCAACTCTTTTACAAAGAGTCATGATTTAAGGTACAATGGGATTCTTTTAAAAAATATGTTGTCACTGCAGGTATGGTGGCCCATGCCTGTAGTCCCAGGCACTGGGGAGGCTGAGGTGGGAGGATCACCTAAGCCCAGGAGTTAAGAGTCCTGCCTGGGCAACATAGTGAGGCTGCATCTATAAAAGCACGCATATATATGTATATGTGTGTGTGTGTGTGTGTGTGCATATATATGCACACACACACACAAAATATATATACACACACACATACTCACATATTTTATAGTTGTTTATATAAGCATGTGTATATATATTTATAATAACAGTTACAACATATATATGTTGTAACTATGGGTCTGAGTTTTCTCATCTGTAAAACTGAGATAATAATTGCACCAGCAGGGCGCAGAGGCTCACACCTGTAATCCTGGCACTTTGGGAGGCTGAGGTGGGTGGATCACGAGGTCAGGAGTTCGAGACCAGCCTGGCCAATATGGTGAACCCCCATCTCTACTAAAAAATAAAAAAAATTAGCTGGGCGGGGTGGCAGGCACCTGTAGTCCCAGCTACTCGGGAGGCTGAGGCAGGAGAATTGCTGGAACCAGTGAGGTGGAGGTTGCAGTGAGCAGAGATCGCCGCACTGTACTCCAGCCTGGGCAACAGAGCAAGACTCCATGTTGAGAAAAAAAATGGCACCTAGGCCAGCCACCTGCAGTGGCTCACACCTGCAATCTTGGCGCTTTGGGAGGCCAAAGGGGGAGAATCCTTTGAGGTCAGGAGTTGAAGACCAACCTGGGCAACAAAGCAAGACCCCACCTCTACAAAAAAATTAAAAACTAGCTGGGCATGGAGGTGCATGCCTGTAGTTCTAGCTACTCGGGAGGCTGAGGCAGGAGGATTGCTTGAGCCCAGGAGTTCAAGGCTAGAGTGAGCTATGATCACGTCACTGTACCACACACTGTATAATAGGGCAAGACAGTGTCTCAAAACAAAATAATAATGATTGCACCTACATCTTAAGAGGTTGTTGCACAGATTAAGCGTAATGTAAAATGACTGGAACACTGTTAGGTGTGGTTTTTGTTGTTGTTGTTGTTGTTTTGTTTTTTTGTTTTTGTTTTTTTTTGAGATGGAGTCTCGCTCTGTCGCCTAGGCTGGAGTGCAGTGGTGTGATCTCGGCTCACTGCAAGCTCCGCCTTCTCGGTTCATGCCATTCTCCTGCCTCAGCCTCCCGAGTAGCTGGGACTACAGGCACCCGCCACCACACCTGGCTAATTTTTTGTATTTTTAGTAGAGATGGGGTTTCATCGTGTTAGCCAGGATGTTCTCGATCTCCTGACCTCGTGATCCGCCCACCTCGGCCTCCCAAAGTGCTGGGATTACAGCTGTGAGCCACCGCGCCCAGTCACTGTTAGCTGTTTTTTAAAAAAATTGTAAAATACATATAACAGAAAATTTACCATCTCAACCTTTTTTTTTTTTTTTTTTTTTTTTTTTTCAGATGGAGTCTCACTCTGTCGCCCAGGCTCCTAGGCTGGAGTGCAGTGGTGCAGTCTAGGCTCACTGCAACCTCTGCCTCCCGGGTTCAAGTGATTCTCTGGCTGGCTAATTTTTGTATTTTTTACAGAGGCATGTTCACCATGTTGGCCAGGCTGGTCTCAAACTCCTGAGCTCAGGTGATATGTCCACCTTGGCCTCCCAAAGTGCTGGAATTACAGGCGTGAGGCACTGCACCTGGCCTCAACCATTTTAAGTGTACAGTCTACATAAGCAGAATATATATGGGAGAAAAAAGCATACAGTCCAATAGTGTTAAGCATATTCACACTGTTGTACAAATAATCTCCTATCCCCTTTTCATATTGCAAAACTGAAACTCTATACCAATTAAAGAACAGCTCGCCATTTCCCTCTCCCCGCAGTACTTGCTAACCATCACTCTACTTCCTGTCTTTATAAATTTGACTACTCTAAGTACCTCATAGAAATGGAATCATATAGTATTTGTCTTTTTGTGATTGGCTTGTTTCACTTAGCATAACATCCTCAAGGTTCATCTATGTTTTATCATATGTCAGGATTTCTTTTTAAGGCCGAATAATATTCCATTGTATGTACACAGAGCTGTTACATTTTAAAACAGAAATTTAAAAAATGACTTTGAGACTCCTGCTTCCAATTATACTGATCCCCCCATAAACAACTAGAAAACTGGCCAAAATACTCTAAACAACTATATTCAGAAATCAGACAATAGGCAGTGTGGATTGTAATCCCTAAAAGAAAGGAAACAAAAAGGTAAACCCTAAAACCACACCGGAATTTTGTCTGAAGGCAATTTCCAGGTTGTGGATGCGGGGAGGGGAATGCAAGTGAAGCTGAGCAATCTCTCCGAGATTTGGGGAGCAGAAGGTAACTGAAAGTTGCCAGGCAAAATTCTAGAGAATTGGAAGCTTTGTAGAAAAAGAGTTTCAGAAGACCGCATAGGAAGTCCCCTTGACTATGCATGTGTGGAGTAAAACCTTCATGAGGCTGAGAAAATAAAGACTTGGAATTGTAAACTGAATTACACTCAGTGTTCAAACTGAGTGGGGAGAAGTGAGAACTTCAATTAGCCAAGGTCCTGAATAACCAATGGAAAGTCTTCAATAATTAACTGAGCCATGTGACAAATATTCAGGGGGATCATGCTTAGACGGAATAATCCTGGAGTAAAGGCTAATCTATATCTGCCATAGCAAAAATTAAAATAGGCCTTAAAAGTATCAAACTGGGCTGGGTGTGGTGGCTCACGCCTGTAATCCCAGCACTTTGGGAGGCCGAGGCAGGCGGATTACCTGAGGTTAGGAGTTCAAGACCAGCCTGACCAACATGGTGAAACCCTGTCTCTACTAAAAATACAAAAATTAGCTGGGTGTAGTGGCACATGCCAGTAATCCCAGTTATTCGGGAGGCTGAGGCAGGAGAATTGCTTGAGCCCGGGAGACAGAAGTTGCAGTGAGCCAAGATCGTGCCACTGCACTCCAGCCTGGCTGACAGAGTGAGACTCTGCCTCAAAAAAAAAAAAAAAAAAAAAAGAAGGTATCAAAATAATCTATAATTAGCTTACCTGCCTGCCATAACAAAGCCTGATCTTCTCTTCCTCTCTTCTCTTCTCTTCCTTTGTTTCCAGCTATGATTGCACCACTGGAGTATGGTGGTGCAATCATGGCCCACTGCAGCCTCGACCTCCTGTGCTCAAGTGATCCTCCTGGCCTCCCAAAGTGCTGGGATTATAGGCATAAACCACCACGGCTGGACTAATATTCTTCTTCTTTTTTATCAAGGTGCTCAACAAAAGTAAACTGGCCTAATATCCTTAAAATAACAACAACAGCAACAAAATTCAGATGCTTACAATGTCCAGCATCCAATAAAATATTACTAAACATGCCAAGAAGCCAGAAAGTGCTAGCTTATAACCAAGAGAAAATCAATCAATGAAAACAGACAAAAATGATACGGATGCTGGAACTAGCAGATAGAAATATTAAAATAACTATTATTACAGTGTAAACACAGTTAAGTGAAAATATGAACATCATAAGCAAAGAAATGAAACTACAAAAGAGTAACACATGGAATATCCAAAGATTAAAATATAGTATCAGAATGAAAATGGAAGTTTCTCTGGAGGTATTAAGATTAGAAACTGCTAAAACATAAATAGTAAACTTGAGAACCTGGCAATAGAATCTGTTTTTAAAAATGAAGCACAAATGTTAAAAATATTTTTTAACCAAATGAACAGAGCCTCACTGACTTCTGGAAAAATATGGAGTGGTCTAACATATTCATAATTGGAGTCTCATAAGGAAGGATACTACAAAAAAACTATTTTAATAAATATTGGCTTATAGTTTTCAAATTTTATGGAAATCACAGACACAGAAACCCAAGACATTCATTGAATGCCAAGTAGGATAAACATTCTCACACATACAAACCTCACCAAGGCATGTCATAATTAAAATCACTAAAAAACCAATGATTAAGATACAATCTTAAATGCAGGCTCCTCTCAACCCCAAATACACATTACATACAGAAGAACAAAGATAAGAATTATTCACAGGCTTCTGGTAGAAACTGCAAACCAGAAGACAATGAAGTAATATCTTTAAAGTGCTCAGAGAAAAAAATATTGTAGATTAAAATTCTATTTTCAGTGAAAATACTGTTTAAAAATTAAAACAAGATTAAAGATTTTTCAAACAAAAGCCGAGAAGTTTATTGTTAGTATATATCTCCAATATAAAAAATGTTCAAAGAAAGTTCTTCAGGCTGAAATAAAATAATACCAAATGGAAACTTTTTTCTATACAAATGAAATAAGAGTACTAGAAAGGTAAATATAGCCGGGGGCGGTGGCTCATACCTGTAATCCCAGCACTTTGGGAGGCCAAGGTGGGTGGATCACCTGAGGTCAGGAGTTTGAGACCAGCCTGACCAACATGGAGAAACCCTGTCTCTACTAAAAATACAAAATTAGCCGGGCGTGGTGGCACATGCCAGTAATCCCAGCTACTCGGGAAGCTGAGGCAGGAGAATCACTTGAACCTGTGAGGTGGAGGTTGCAGTGAGCCGAGATGGCGCCATTGCACTTCGGCTTGGGCAACAAGAGTGAAACTCCATCTCAAAAAAAAAAAAAAAAAAGAAAAGGTAAATATTGGCACAGATATAACAATTTTTTCTAATTGTTTTATTTCTTTAAAAGATAAATATGTCTATCTATCTCTATTATGTTAAAATAATAATAAAATTTGGAGCTTAAAACATGAGAAGACACATGTGTAACAACACTACCACAGAGAAGGGGGTGAAGGAAATGGAAGTATATTGGTGTAAGATTCTACGTTATACATGAAAGGTATGATACTATTATTATTATTATTATTATTTTTGAGACGGAGTCTCACTCGGTTGCCCAGGCTGGAGTGCAGTGGCGCGATCTCAGCTCACTGCAACCTCTGCCTCCTGGGTTCAAGCAGTTCCCTGCCTCCTGGGTTCAAGCAGTTCCCTGCCTCAGCCTCCGGAGTAGCTGGGATTACAGGTGCCTGCCACCACTTCCGGCTAATGTTTGTATTTTTAGAAGAGACGGGGTTTCACCATATTGTCCAGGTTGCTCTTAAACTCTGGACCTCATGATCCACCCGCCTTGGCCTCCCAAAGTGCTGGCATCACAGGCATAAACTACCGCGCGTGGCCGGTATGATATTATTTGAAGGTAGATGGTGATAATTTAAAGAACAAACACTAAACAAACAAACAAAAAACCAAAAAAGACCAAAGAGAATAACTACTAAAGGGGAGACAAATACAGTATTAGAAAATATTTAATCTGGTCAGGTGCTGTGGCTCACGCCTGTAATCCCAGCACTTTGGGAGGCCGAGGCGGGCAGATCACTTGAGGTCAGGAGTTCGAGACCAGCTGGGCAACATGGCGAAACCCTGTCTCTACTAAAAATATAAAAAATAGCCGGGCGTGGTGGCACGTGCCTGTAATCCCAGCTACTTGGGAGGCAGAGGCATGAGAATTGCTTGAACCCGGGAGGCAGAGGTTCCCTTGCCACTGCACTCCAGCCTGGGTGACAGAACGAGACTTTGTCTCAAAAAAAAAAAAAAAAAAGTAATTAATCCAAAAAAAGTTGGTAAAGAGAGAAAGTGGAATCTAAAACAAATGGAACATACAGAAAACAACTAACAAGATGGCAGACTTAAAATGAATTATATTATTAATTACATTAAACATAAAGGGTATAAAGCTTCCAATTGAAAGAGACTGTCAGGCTAGATTAGAAAAAAAAAAAGCAAGAGGCTGGGCGTGGTGGCTCATGCCTGTAATCCCAGCACTTTGGGAGGCTAAGGTGGGTGGATCACAAGGTCAGGAGACTGAGACCATCCTGGCCAACACGGTGAAACCCTGTCTCTACTAAAAATACAAAAATTAGCTGGGCCTGGTGGCATGTGCCTGTAATCCCAGCAACTCGGAGGCTGAGGCAGGAGAATCTCTTGAGCCAGGGAGTCAGAGGTTGCAGTGAACCAAGATCATGCCACTACACTCCAGCCTGGCGACAGAGCAAGACTCTGTCGCAAAAAAAAAAAAAAAAAAAAAAAAAAAGCAAGACTCATATATATGCTGTCCACAATAAATCTATTTAAATATATATTAGTCCGGGCGTGGTGGCTCAAGCCTGTAATCCCAGCACTTTGGGAGGCCAAGGCAGGCAGATCACTTGAGGTCGGGAGTTCGAGACCAGCCTGGCCAACATGGTAAAACCCCATCTCTACTAAAAATACAAAAAATTAGCTGAGCATGGTGGCAGGTGCCTGTAATCCCAGTTATTTGGGAGGCTGAGGCAGGAGAATCGCTTGAACCCAGGAGGTGGAAGTTGCAGTGAGCTGAGATTGGGCCATTGCACTCCAGCTGGGGTGATAGAGTGAGACTCTGTCTCAAAAAAAAAAGTATACACACACACACACACACACACACACACAGATTAAAATATATAAGATGACAAAATATATACCATATATGCTACAAGTCAAAAGAAAGCTAGAGTGGTTATGCCAATATAAAGAGACTTTATAATGAGGAGTATTACTAGAGCTAAGGGAGAAACATTTCATAACCATGAAGGGGTAATTTCATCAAGAAGATAAAACAGTCCTGAATGTGTTGGTATCCAATAACAAATCTTCAAAATACATATCCCAAAACTGATAGAATTTAAAGGAGAAATAGACAAATCCAAACTTACAGTTGGAAATTTTAGTACTTCTCTAATTAATATAAAAGGTAGACAGAAAATCAAGGCCAGGTGTGGTGGCTCACACCTGTAATCCTAGCTTTTTGGGAGGCTGAGAAAGGAGTTGGAGACCAGCCTGGACAATATAGTGAGACCCTGTCTGAAAAAGCAAACAAATGGCTGGGCTCGGTGGCTCACACCTGTAATCTCAGCACTTTAGGAGGCCGAGGTGGGGGGATCACCTGAGGTCAGGAGTTCAAGACCAGCCTGGCCAACATGGTGAAACCCTGTCTCTATAAAAATACAAAAATTAGCTGGGCGTGATGGTGGGTGCCTGTAATCCCAGCTGCTTGGGAGGCTGAGGCAGGAGAATCACTTGAACCTGGGAGGCAGAGGTTGCAGTGAGCCGAGATCACACCATTGCACTCCAGCCTAGGCGACAGAGTGAGACTCTGTCTCAAAAAAAACAAAAACAAAAACAAACAAACAAAAAAACACCAAGAAATTAGCCAGGCATGGTTCCAGTATTTGCCATTCCTTTTCCACATTGTACCTGGGTCATCTTTTCACTGACATTTTAATTGAGATAACTGCAAAGTTGTAATAAATAATACAAAGAGATCCTGTGAACCCTTTACCTTCTTCCCCCCAGTGGTAACCATTTTTCAGAACTACAGTAGAGCATCACAAGCAGAATACTGACATTGATAAAATCTGACAATCTTATTTAGATGTCCACATTTGAACTTGCACACATTTGTCTGTGTATAACAATGCTGGATTTAAAAAAAAAAAAATCTTACAGGTCCCTGGGGACTCTGCTCATATATATATATATATATATATATATATATATTTAACTGTATTTTATCTTTTTTTTTTTTTTGAGACAGGGTCTCACTCTGTCACCAGGACTGAAGTGTAGTGGCATGATCTTGGCTCACTGCAACGTCTGCCTCCTGGGCTCAAGTGATCCTCCCACCTCAGCCTCCCCAGTAGCTGGAACTACAGGCAGGTGCCACCACACCCAGCAATTTTTTTTTTATATGTTTTTGTAGAGACAGGGTTTTGCCATGTTGCCCAGGCTGATCTTGAACTCCTGAGCTTAAGCAATGCATCCACCTCGGCCTCCCAAAGTTCTGGGATTACAGCGTGAGCCACCTCACCCATCATTATTTGTTAATATTTAAGTGTGTTTTATGGTTCAGATAAATTCTATTTATCTGTCTTCGAATTCCCTGATTCTTTTGTCTGTCATCTTCACTTTACTATAGAGCCCATTCAAAGAAGTATTTTAAAATTTTTCTGCGCTTGTATTTTTAAGTTCTATATTTTCCATTCAGTACATTTTAATATAAGATCTATTTATTTGCTGAGACTTCCTGAAGAGAACTTGTAATGACTTTTGAAGCATTTTTATGATAGCTGGTTTAGAATCCTGTCAGATAATGCCAGTATTTGACTTATTTTTTTGTTGGCATCAATTGATGATCTTTTCTCATTCAAGTTGTAATTTTCCTGGTTTTTGGCATGATGGGTGATTTTTTATTATATTCTAGACATTTTTCTATTACATTAGGAGCATATTACTTAAATCTTTTAACTGGCAGTTACCTTGTTTAGGTTTAGTGTGCAGGTCCTGGGCTAATTTTATGGGCTGTGGTTCCAATGACATTTTTCAGAGCGCTTTCAGTGTTATTTTGGTCTGCTTGGTTTATCTGATGCTGCTGAGGCTCCCACTGGTCCTTATTGGTGCTGCTGGAGGGAACAGAGGTTCCCCAGGCTAGACCACCAGGTGTCTCTCAGTTGGGGAGATGAGACTCAGAGCCTTGAGGATGAAGATGTCTCCCTGGCTGGGTGCTTGGCAGGATCCCCTTTGCTTGTGAGGGACAAAGACTGCTTCCTGGGCCCGGTGCTTGCTGTGGTGGGACCTTGCCATCTCTGGGTGGGGGAGAGGAGTCTCAGGCCAATGGGAACACAGAGGCTTCCTGGGCTGAGCCACTTGTGGCAGGGTCCCTCTTGCAGGTACCACCTGGTTATCTTGGTATCTCTCAGTGGGGAAGGAGACTATTTCCCATGGCACTTGTTAGCAGGACTCCCAACCAATCCCCATCTCTGGTGGTGCTGGCCTCACCTGGTGGTATTGGAAGGCTCCTGTTGGATCTGGGAAAATGAGCCTACCAGGGCTGTCTTCTATTGCTGCTTCAAGAAATGCTGGGCCTGGGTCAGTGTCTTCTGTTGGGTGGAGAGTAAGATACCCTGCCACTGTGTTGTTTCTCTAGTTCCAGGGTCTCAAACCAGTTTGCCTTCCTATTCTTAGCCTTCAGAATTCTTCTTTGGTCGCCTTTTGAGTTATTTCTAGGGTTTATAGTTGTACTTAGTGAAGAGGAACAGGGAGGAATGAGTCTACATCATCTTATCTGGACCAGAAGTTTGGTTTATTTTTATTTTTTATTTTTTTTTAGAGACACAGCCTCGCTCTGTTGCCCAGGCTAGAGTGCAGTGGCATGATCCTAGCTCATCGCAGCCTCAAACTCGTAACCTCAAGTGATTCTCCCACTTCAGCCTCCCGAATAGCTGAAACTAATAGGCATGCACTACCATGTGTGGCTAATGTATCATTTTAAGTAGAGATGAGATCTCATAACTTTGCCCAGGCTGGTCTAGAACTCCTAGCCTCAAGTGATCCTTCCACCTCAGCCTCCCAAAGTACTGGGATTGTAGCCATGAGCCACCATGCCCAGTCCTGGTTTATTTTTATTTATTTTATTTTTTGAGACGGAGTCTCGCTTTGTCGCCCAGGCTGGAGTGCAACAGCACGATCTTGGTTCACTGCAACCTCCGCCTCTCAGGTTCAAGCAATTCTCCTGCCTCAGCCTCCTGAGAAACTGGGACTACAAGTGCACGCCGCCACGCCAGCTAATTTTTTGTATTTTAGTAGAGACCGGGTTTCACTAGGTTGCCCAGGCTGGTTGTGAACTCCTGAGGTCAGGCAATTCACCTTCCTCGGCCTCCCAAAGTGCTGGGATTACAGGCATGAGCCACCGAGCTCAGCCTATTTTTATTCATTTTTAATTGTAGTTTAAAAAACCCACATAAAAATTAGCTAGGCGTGGGGGCACATGCCTGTAGTCCCAACTACTCAGGCGGCTGAGGCAGGAGAATAGCTTGAACCCAGGAGGCAGAGGTTGCAGTGAGCCGAGATCGCACCACTGCACTCCAGCCTGGGCGACAGAGTGAGACTCCATCTCAAAAGAAATAAGTAAAAACCCCACATAATATTTACCACCTTAACTGGCTTCAAGTGTACAGTAGTGTTAAATATATTCACATTATTGTACAATAAAGCTCCAGAACTTTCTTATTTTGCAAAGCTAAAACTCTTATCTCCATTAAACAAAAACTCCTTATGTTCTCCTCCACCCAGCCCCTGGCAACCACCATTCTATTTTGTTTTTATGAATTTTATTACTTTAGATACATCATGTAAGTGGAATCATACAGTGTTTGTCTTTTTGTGACTGGCTTATCTCACCTAGCATAATGTCCTCAAGGCTCAACCATGCTGTAGCATGTATCATAATTTTCTTCCTTTTTAAAGCTGACTAATATTCTGTTTTGTGTATTTACTATAGTTTGTTTATCCATTAATCCATTGATACTAGGGTTGCTTCCATGTCTTGGCCATTGTGAATAATGTTGAAACAAACACTGGTGTGCAAATATCTTTTCAAGATCCTGCTTTCAATTCTTTTGGGTGTATACCCAGCATTGGGCTTGCTGAATCACATGGTAATTCTGTTTTTCGTTTTTTGAGGAACTGCCGTACTGCTTTCCATAGCAGTGGCACCATTTTACATTCCCACTGAAGTACAATTTTTCCACATCTTTGCTAACTTATTATCTGTTTTTTTACAGTAGCCACTGATGGGTGTGAGATAATATCATTGTAGTTTTTATTTGCATTTCCCTGATGATTAGTGATGTTGAACAATTTTTCTTATGCTATTTGCCATGGTTAGTCTTTTTAACTTTAGATTTATAATAGCTGAGTAGGTGAGTAGTGGTATCTCATGGCATTAATTTGCATTAACCTAATGACTAGTAATGTTGAGTATCTTTTCATATGCTTATTTGCCATCCATATATCTTCTTTGGTCAGTGTCTAAATCTTCTGCCCATTTTAAAATTGGGTTGTTTTCTTATCGTTGAATTTTAAAGATTTTTTTCTTTTTTTTTCTTTCTTTTTTTTTTTTTGAGACAGAGTCTCACTCTGTCACCCAGCCTGGAGTGCAGTGGTGCAATCTTCACTCACTGCAACCTCTGCTTCCCGGGCTCAAGTGATTCTCCTGCCTCAGCCTCGCGAATAGCTGGGATTATAGGCACCTGCCACCATGCTCTGCTAATTTTTGTAGTATTAGTAGAGACCAGGTTTCACCACGTTGGCCAGGCTGGTCTCAAACTCCTGATCTCAAATGATCCACTTTCCTCAGCCTCCCAAAGTGCTGGAATTACAGGTGTGAGTCACCACACCTGGCTGAATTTTGAGATTTCTTTATTCTGGATTCAGGTTCTCTGTCAGAGATGTGATTTGCAAATATTTTCTACCACTCTGTGGCTTGTCTTTTCAGTGTTTTAATCCATATCTTGAAGAACAGAAATTCTTAATTTTAATGATGTCTTAGTTATCAATTATTTTCTTTTATGGATTATAATTTGTGGGTCCCATTTAAGAAATCTTTGCCTAACCCAAGGTCACAAATATTGTCTCCTGATTTCCTCTAGAGGTTGTATAGTTTTTGGTTTTACATTTATGTCTATGATCCATTTATTTTTGTATAAGATGTAATGTAAAGGCCTAAATTATTGGGTTTTGTTGCATAGAAATATCCAATTGTTCTAACAATATGTATTGAAAGGATTATCCTTTATCACTGAATTCACTTTGCAACCCTGTTGAAAATCAATTGACCATATATGTTGGTTATATTTCTGGACTCCTATTTGTATCTATTGACTGTCCATCTTTTTTTTTTTTTTTTTGAGACAGAGTCTCCCTCTGTTGCCCAGGCTGGAGTGCAGTGGCGTGATTTCAGCTTACTGAAACCTCTGCCTCCCAGGTTCAAGCGATCCTCCTGCCTCAGCCTCCCAAGTCGCTGGGATTATAGGCACACATCACCATGCCCGACTAATTTTTGTATTTTTAGTAGAGACAGGGTTTCACCATGTTGGCCAGGCTGGTCTTGAACTCCTGACCTCAGGTGATCCATCCTCCTCGGCCTCCCAAAGTGCTGGGATTACAGGCATGAACCACTGCGCCTGGCCACTGTCCATCTTTTTTGTTTGTTTGTTTTGAGATGGAGTTTCGATCTTGTTGCCCAGGCTGGAGTGCAATGGCACGATCTCAGCTCACCACAACCTCCGCCTCCTGGGTTCAAGCAATTCTCCTGTCTCAGCCTCCCGAGTAGCTGGGATTACAGGCATGTGCCACCACACCCGGATAATTTTGTATTTTTAGTACAGACAGGGTTTCTCCATGTTGGTCAGGCTGGTCTCAAACTCCTGACCTCAGATGACCTGCCTGCCTCGGCCTCCCAAAGTGCTAGGATTTCAGGTGTGAGCCACCACGCCCAGCCCCAACTGTCCATCTTCATACCAGAATTACACTGTCTTGGCTATTGTAGCATTATAGTGAGTTTTGTTTGGGTAAGTCTTTCAACTTTGTTGTTCTTTTTCAGAATTGTTTTGGTTATTCTAGTTCTCTTAGATTTCCATTACTATTTTAAAATCAGATTGCCAATCTTTACAACACAGCCCACTTAGATTTAGGATTGTATTGTGTTAAATCTATGAATTAATTTGAGGGAGAGCTGACATCTTAATATTGAGTCTTCCATCTATGAACATGGTATATCTTTCCATTCACTTAGGTCTTCTAAGTGTTATTTCTTTTTATAATTTTCAGTGTACATTTTGCATATTTTTCTCAAAGGTATCGCTAAGCTTTTCATATTTTTGATGCTAAATGGTGTTGTTTCAAATTCAAATGTGTCACTGTTCATTGCTATCATATAGAAATATAATTGCTTTTTGTATGTTTATTGTGTATCCTGCAAACTTGCTAAGCTTATTCACTAGTTTTAGTTGCTTTTTTGTATATCCATAAAATTTTCTACCTAATCATGTTACCTATAAATTAAGACAGTTTTACCTTTCCTTTTACAACTGGGATGTCTTTTATTTATTTTTACTTACTACATTATTTAGGATCTCCAGTACAATATTGAATAAAAGTTGTAAGAATGAGCATCCTTTTTTTGTTTCCAATCTTAGGGGGAAAGCATTCAGTTTTTCAGTACTGTGGGGCTAGTCATAGTTTGTTATAGATAGCCTTTATTAGAGTCAGAACATTTCCCTGTATTCCTAGTTTGCTGAAGATTTTCTTTTTTTAATCAGTATGCTGAATTTTGTCAAATGCATTTTTATGCATCTATTTTTTTTTTTACTTTGGTAATTTGCATTGACTAATTTTTGAATGTTAAAGCAACCATTTGGCATCATTTTCTTTGCTTCAAGGATTTTTTTTTTTTTTTGAGTCAGTGTTTTGCTCTGTCACCCAGGCAATGGCGCAATCTGGGCTCACAGCAACCTCCACCTCCCAGGTTCAAGCAATTCTCCTGCCTTAGCCTCCAGAGTAGCTGGGATTACAGGTGCCCGCCACCACACCTGGCTAATTTTTGTATTTTTAGTAGAGACGGGGTTTCACCATGTTGGCCAGGCTGGTCTCTTTGGCCAGGCTGGTCTCCAACTCCTGACCTCGTGATCCAGCCCCCCCCGCCCCCCCCGCCCAACCCCCCACCTTGGCCTCTCAAAGTGCTGGGATTACAGGTGTGAGCCACTGTGCCCGGCCAGGATTTTCTTTAGTATTTCTTGTAATGCTGGTCTTTTGGTAATAAATTCAGCTTTATGTTTGAAAGTCTTTACTTTGTCTTTGTTTTGGAAATATATTTTCACTGTGTACAGAATTCTAGGTTGAGCTATTGTTCTTTCAGTTTTTTTCTTTTCTTCCTTCTTGTTGTTTGAGACGGAGTCTTGCTCTGTTGCCCAGGCTGGAGTGCAGTGGCACGATCTCAGCTCACTGCAAGCTCTGCCTCCCTGGTTCACACCATTCTCCTGCCTCAGCCTCCCGAGTAGCTGGGACTACAGGCACCCACCACCACGCCTGGCTAATTTTTTTTGTATTTTTAGTAGAGACGGGGTTTCACCTTGTTAGCCAGGCTGGTCTCGATCTCCTGACCTTGTGATCCGCCCGCCTCGGCCTCCCAAAGTGCTGGGATTACAGGCGTGAGCCACTGCGCCCAGCCATCTTTCAGTATTTTAAAGATATTCCTCACTGTCTTCTTGCTTCCCTTGTTTCCAATGATAATTCTTCTGTAATCCTTATCTTTGTTCCTCTGTAAGTAACATGTTTTCCTCCTCTGGCTGCTTTGTAAGATTTTTCTCTTTATCACTGGTATTGAGCAGTCTGACTATAAAATGCCTTGTTGTGGTCGGGTGCGGTGCCTCACGCCTGTAATCCCAGCTCTTAGGGAGGCCGATGCGGGCGGATCACGAGATCAGGAGATCCAGACCATCCTGGCTAATACAGTGAAACCCCGTCTCTACTAAAAATACAAAAAGTTAGCCAGGCAAGGTGGCGGGCGCCTGTAGTCCCAGCTACTTGGGAGGCTGAGGCAGGAGAATGGCATGAATCCGGGAGACGGAGCTTGCAGTGAGCCAAGACTGCGCCACTGCACTCCAGCCTGGGCAACAGAGCGAGACTCCGTCTCAAAAAAAAAAAAAAAAGCCTTGTATTTTTCTTCTTCTTGTGTTTGAGGGTTCATTAAGCTTCTTGGATCTGTGAGTTTATAGTTTTCATCAAGTTTGGAGAAATTTTGGCTTTATTTCGATTTTTGTTTCCTGCCTCTCTCCATGTCTTTAGAGATTCCAACTACATATATATTAGGGCACTGAAAGTTACCTCATGCTCTTACACTGACAAAGCCATCAAAATGGGAAGGAGAGGGGAGAACAGCAGCATAAGCAGCTGGCAGAGGCAGCAGAAAGGAAAGAAAGAGACAGGAAGTCAAAGAAAGAGACAGAGAGGAAGAGATAAAGAAGGAGTCAGAGAGAAAGAGGGACAGACACAGGAAGTCAGAGAGAGAGTTAAAAAGAGAGGAAGAGACAAAGGAGAAGTCGAAGAGAGAAAGAGAGAGATGTAAGTAGTAAAGAAAAAACAGTGTACCCTATTCCTTTAAAAGCCAGGGTAAATGTCTATCTACCCAGCCAAGGCATATTCTACTTATGTGGATCTTCAACCCATATCTGCCTCTCAGACAGTTTGCAAGAAATAACGAAATCTATCCTTGCTTTATAATCCCAAATAGACTCTTTGGCAGCAGTGACTCTCTAAAACCACCGAGGCCTAGACCTCCTCACTGCTGAGAAAGGAGGACTCTGCACCTTCTTAGGGGAAGAGTGTTGTTTTTACACTAACCAGTCGGGGATAGCACGAGATGCTGCCCAGCGTTTACAGGAAAAGGCTTCTGAAGTCAGACAACGCCTTTCAAAGTCTTATACCAATCTCTGGAGTTGGGCAACATGGCTTCTCCCCTTTCTAGGTCCCGTGGCAGCCATCTTGCTGTTACTCGCCTTTGGGCCCTGTATTTTTAACCTTCTTGTCAAATTTGTTTTCTCTAGAATCGAGGCCATCAAGCTACGGATGGTCTTACAAATGGAACCCCAAATGAGTTCAACTAACAACTTCTACCGAGGACCCCTGGACCGACCCGCTGGCACTTTCCCTGGCCTAGAGACCTCTCCTCTGAAGGACACTACAACTGCAGGGCCCCTTCTTTGCCCCTGTCCAGCAGGAAGTAGCTAGAGCGGTCATCGGCCAAATTCCCAACAGCAGTTGGGGTGTCCTGTTTAGAGGGGGGATTGAGAGGTGACAGCGTGCTGGCAGTCCTCACAGCCGTTGCTCTCTCTCGGCGCCTCCTCTGCCTGGGCTCCCACTTTGGCGGCACTTGAGGAGCCCTTCAGCCCACCGCTGCACTGTGGGAGCCCCTTTCTGGGCTGGCCAAGGCCAGTGCTGGCTCCCTCAGCTTGCAGGGAGGTGTGGAGGGAGAGGCGCGAGCGGGAACCTGGGCTGCGCGAGGCACTTGTGGGCCCCCTGGAGTTCCGGGTGGGCGTGGGCTTGGCTGGCCCGCACTCGGAGCAGCCGGCCGGCCCTGCCGGCCCGGGCAATGAGGGGCTTAGCACCCGGGCCAGCGGCTGCGGAGGGTGTACTGGGTCTCCCAGCAGTGCCAGCCTGCCGGCACTGCACTTGATTTCTCACCAGGCTGTAGCTGCCTTCCTGCAGGGCAGGGCTCCGGACCTGCAGCCCGCCATGCCTGAGCCTCCCACCCCCTCCATGGGCTCCTGTGCAGCCCCAGCCTCCCCGATGAGCACCACCCCCTGCTCCACGGCGCCCAGTCCCATTGACCACCCAATTCAGATTCACGTCTCCTGAATCTGGTGGAGACGTGGAGAACCTTTATGTCTAGCTCAGGGATTGTAAATACACCAATCAGCACCCTGTGTCTAACTCACGGTCTGTGAATGCACCAATCGACACTCTATCTAGCTACTCTGGTGGGGCCTTGGAGAACCTTTATGTCTAGCTCAGGGATTGTAAATACACCAATCGGCACTCTGTATCTAGCTCAAGGTTTGTAAACACACCAGTCAGCACCCTGTGTCTAGCTCAGGGTTTGTGAGTGCACCAATCGACACTCTGTATCTGGCTACTCTGGTGGGGCCTTGGAGAACCTTTGTGTGGACACTCTGTATCTAGTTAATCTAGTGGGGATGTGGAGAACCTGTGTATCTAGCTCAGGGATTGTAAACGCACCAATCAGCGCCCTGTCAAAACAGACCACTCGGCTCTACCAATCAGCAGGATGTGGGTGGGGCCAGATAAGAGAATAAAAGCAGGCTGCCCGAGCCAGCGGTGGCAACCCGCTCGGGTCCCCTTCCACACTGTGGAAGCTTTGTTCTTTCACTCTTTGCAATAAATCTTGCTGCTGCTTACTCTTTGGGTCCACACGCTTTTATGAGCTGTAACACTCACCGCGAAGGTCTGCAGCTTCACTCCTGAGCCCAGCGAGACCACGAGCCCACCGGGAGGAACGAACAACTCCAGACGCGCTGCCTTAAGAGCTGTAACACTCACCGTGAAGGTCTGCAGCTTCACTCCTGAGCCAGCGAGACCAGGAACCCACCAGAAGGAAGGAACTCCGAACATATCCGAACATCAGAAGGAACAAACTCCAGATGCACCACCTTAAGAGCTGTAACACTCACCACGAGGGTCCGCGGCTTCATTCTTGAAGTCAGCGAGACCAAGAACCCACCAATTCCAGACACAATGCCTCTCTGATACTCTTTTCATTTTAAAATCCTCTTTTCTCCATGTTTCACTTTCAATAATTTTTATTGCTGTCTTTTTCACTAGTATTTTCTTCTGCAATGTCTAAACTATTCTTAATCCCATCCAGTGTATTTTTTTTTTTCTTTTTGAGACAGAGTTTTGCTCTGTCAGCCAGGCTGGAGTGCAGTAGCACAGTCTTGGCTCACTGCAACCTCCGTTTCCCAGGCTCAAGCAATTCTCCTGCATCAGCCTTCCCAGTAGCTGGGATTACAGGCATGTGCCACCATGCCCAGCTAATTTTTGTATTTTTAGTAGAGACGGGGTTTCACCATGTTGGCCAGGATGGTCTCGAACTCCTGACCTCAGTTAACCTACCTGCCTCGGCCTCCCAAAGTTTTGGGATTACAGGCTTGAGCCACCGCACCTGGCCATATTTTTCATCTCATTGATGGTAATTTTCATCTGTAGAAATTATATTTGGGTCTTTTTTCATCTCTTTCGTGTTTCTACTTAACATTAAAAATATGGAATACAGCTATAACAACTGTTTTAACATCCTTGTTGGCTAATTCTAACATTTCTGTCAGGTCTAAGTCAGTTTGGATTGGTTTTTATGTTTTTCTTCTATGGGTTGTGTTTTCCTGCTTTGCATGTCTTGTAGTCTTTCATTAGATGGCAGGCACTGTGAATTTTACCCTATTCAGTGCTGGATAATTTTGTATTCCCATAAATATTGTTGAGCTTTGCTCCAGGATGCAGTTAGGTTACTTGGAAACAATTTGATACTATTTGGTCTTTAAGATTTATTAGGTTGGACCAGAGCAGTGTTTACTCTAGGACTAATTATTCTCCACTACTGAAACTAGACCCTTCTGAGTACTTTACCCAATGCCCTGTGAATTATATTCTTCTAGTCTGGTTTGTGAGAATAGGCACTATTCCAAGCACTATGTGTGTTCTAATTTTTTTAGGGTATTTCCCCTCAGCCTTGGGTATTTTCTTCACATGTATGCACTTTTCAATACTCTGCTTAATACCTGAGGGGGACTCTCTACAGTAATCTCTGAGGTTGTCTCTCCATGGACTGCTCTCCTCTTTGTTCTGTAAACTGTAGCTGCCTTGGTCTCCCTAAACTCTCAGCTCCAAAACTTCCACTCAGGAAGTTCACTGGAGTCTACCTGGGATCCCCCTCTGATATAGTTTGGATGTCTGTCCCTTCCAAATCTCATGTTGAACTGTAATCCCCAATGTTGGAGGTGGGGCCTAGTGGGAGGTGTTTGGACCATGAGGGCAGATTCCTCATGAATGTCTTGGTGTCATCCTCACAGTAATGAGTTATCTGAGTTCACACAAGATCTGATTGTTTAAGAGTCTGGAACTTCCTCCTTGCTCTCTCACTCTCTCCTGACATGTGACACGCTGGCTCCCCTTCACCTTCTGTCATGATTGGAAGCTTCTTGAGGCCCTTACCAGAAGCAGAGGGCAGCACTATGCTTCGTGTACAGCCTGCAGAACCATGAGTCAAATAAACTTCTTTTCTTCATAAATTAACCAGGCTAGGTATTCCTTTATAGCAATGCAAATGGACACCCTCCCTGTGCTGTGTCCTGAAATCCCTTTCAAGACTGGAAGTTGGAGCAATTGCAGGGCTCACCTCATTTATACCTCTTCTCTTAGGGTCACTGTCCTTCATTGCCTGATGTCCAGTGTCTTCAAAGCTATAGCTTTATAGGTTTTTTCATCTTTTTGTTTTTATTTCAGTTGCAAAGGCAAATCTGGTGCCTGTTACTCCATCATGGCTAGAACTAATTACTTTTCTTTTTTTTTTGAGATGGAGTCTCGCTCTGTTGCCCAGGCTGGAGTGCAGTGGTGCAATCTTGGCTCTCTGCAACCTCCGCCTCCCGGGTTCAAGAGATCCTCCTGCTTCAGCCTCCCAAGTAGCTGGGACTACAGGCATGCACCATCATACCTAGCTAATTTTTGTATTTTTAGTAGAGACGGGGTTTCACTATGTTGGCCAGGCTGGTCTTAAACTCCTGACCTCAGGTGATCCTCCCAACTTGGCCTCCTAAAGTGCTGGGATTACAGGCATGAGCCACTGCGGCCGCCTTTTTTTTTTTTTTTTTTTTTTAAAGACAGTGTCTTGCTCTGTCACCCAGGCTGCAGTGCAGTGGCTTGATTTTGGCTAACTGCAAACTCTGCCTCTTGGGCTCAAGTGATCCTCCCATAGTGCTGGGATTACAGGCATGAGCTACCACAACCGACCTAGAACTAATTACTTTTAAAGAAGTTTAAATAGTAAGAAAAGCCTCTCCTATTTTCTGACATAGTTGCATTTTTAGTGCTCTTCATTCTGTTGTTTGGATCCATATGTCCACAGGGTATCATTCTGTTTCTCTTCAAAGAAAGTCCTTTTAACATTTCTTGTAGTGGAGGTCTGCTGGTGATGAATTCTTTTAGCTTTCATATGCCTGAAAAAGTATTTTGCCTTTGTTTTTGAAATACGCTTTCATTTATCTTCCCAGAAAACAATCCATCACGATAACAAAAAATAGAAACACAAAACCCATCTTTGATGATTCCAAAGATCTGTTTATCCTTGGACCACAACATTTGAAAATGGAAAGCAAATGGTGAAATAACATAAATGATGACAATAGTAGACATATATGTTTACTATATCAGGAACCAGTATCTATCAGGGGCTCAGCAGCATACTCAAATATCACATATTCAAATTAGGAGGTTTTAATAAAGGGACAGTACACAAAGTTTGGGCAGTGTGTAGGGACAATACAATATCCTGGGGCTAGTGACAGTGGGGTTGTTACCATACTAGGCTAGAAGGGTTACAGGAATTCAGAGAGGACTCCTTGAGAGAAGCTGTGACCTCACGATAAGAGATGCAACCAGCCCAAGGAAATCCTCCAGGTGGGAGCTGGAGGAATGAATACTCTAAACTCACTCTTCTCCCTCTCACTGATATAATGACAGGATTTTCACTGGGCCAAACCAAACCAGAAACGTCAGGCAGGAGAGCCCATGATGAAGTACACACAGAAGAGTGAATCAGGGTGCATAGTGGATTTGGAGAAGTAAACAAAAATACGGGGCATAGCCCCATTCTAAGGTTTTTTTTTTTTTTTTTTTTGAGACGGAGTCTCGCTCTGTCGCCAGGCCGGAGTGCAGTGGTGTGATCTCGGCTCACTGCAACCTCCACCTCCCAGGTTCAAGCAATTCTCCTGCCTCAGCCTCCTGAGTAGCTGGGACTATGGGCACGCCACCACACCCAGCTAATTTTTTGTATTTTAAGTAGAAATGGAGTCTCACCATGTCAGCCAGGATGGTCTCGATCTCTTGACTTCGTGATCCGCCCGCCTCAGCCTCCCAAAGTGCTGGGATTACAGGTGGGATTACAGGCATGAGCCACCATGCCTGGCCCATTCTAAGTACTTTGGATGTATTACTACATTGAATCCTCCCCCAAATCCTATTAATTACCATTATTATTCCCAGATAAACAATGAAAGATGAAGGAAAATTCAACTGAACTGTGACATCTTCTGAGAGTTCAGAGAAGACACTGCCTTCATTAAATAAAAATAAGGGTGCTTTAAGTATAGAAAGAATGATAGAAAAACTTATAGTAGAAAAAAAAACTGATGGCAACCCTCTCCTCAAATTAATAGAAGGATCTGAAGACAAAGGTGAGGAAATCTCCTTGAGAGTTGAACAAAATATAAATAAATAAAAAGTAAGAATAAAGAGATTAAGACTATTTGAAAATCAATCCAGAAGTTAAGGCATAAAATCCAGAAGGTTCATCTCTCTTTCTGGAATTCCTGAAAGAGAAAATAGAAAATTGTGGGAATGAAAATATGTAAGAAAAAAAAATACAAGAAAAAATTCCAAATTATCTGGATTGAAAAGTCTCTCCAGGTATATAGTACAACGAATGAAAAAGACCCAGGCCAAGGCCACACTTTTGAGAAATTTCACATGTACGGTTTATTTTTTTTTATTTTTTGAGACAGAGTCTCACTGTGTTACCCAGGCTGGAATGCAGTGGTGCAATCTGTGCTCACTGCAACCTCCACCTCCCAAGTTCAAGTGATTCTCGTGCCTCAGCCTCCTGAGTATCTGGGATTACAGGCGCCTGCCACCATGCCCAGCTAATTTTTCATATTTTTAATAGAGACGGGGTTTCACCATGTTGGCCAGACTGATCTTCAACTCCTGGTCTCAAGTGATCTGCCCTCTTCGGCCTCCCAAAGTGCTGGGATTACAGGCATAAGGCACCATGCCTGGGCAACATGTACAAATTTAAAAGTGATTATTAAATAACAATGAAAACTACTAGCTCTTAGTATCTTTTTAAAAAGTGATTTCACATACAGTCTCACATTTAAATGGGCTTGAAGGGTCCAGTGTCCCTGGCAACAGAGAATAAAACACTTGTAGGATGTCATTTTCAAACCTTTCACAGATGAGAGAGCACAGTTCATTAATACCTAGGTATGTTTGCATGTGGACAAGCTTTGGAATGCATGTCCAGTTTCCTAGGCTAAGTGATTAGCTCTTAAAGATACAGTGCATGACTTCTAATTCCTTGCTATTCCCTCACGTCAACTGAAAACTGCTTTGACTAGGTAGGTCTGTGCAGCTGACTGATATATGAACCAAGCCTGGAGAAAGGAGATATGATGTCATGAGCATTTTTTTTTCCAACTTGTTTCCCTCAATACCCTTCAGGTACAGTGAATACGGTCACCTTTTCTCACTGTGTGCTCATGCGGACAAGGTTTTAAATTTTGATGATTGTCAGATTTTTACTGGTAGGTTTGGGCTTGGGTAACCCTCTTCCCTTCCAATAGTGTAGTTCTAGAATTCTGTCAATAAACAAGCTAGTGTGAATTAATTGAATCAGCTGCATCAATAAGGGGGGGTATTCAGTGTCTTCTCTCCTCAATGCCAAGGGGAACCAGGTGAGTGAAACTGATTGGCCAGACAGTTTCTTTGCCAAATCTTTGAGAGTCCTCAGGCTTTGGGAGAATTAGTAAAAAACGGACATGGACAGAATGTAAATGGAAAGTTGAACAGGCTCTTCACCAAGATGGTGGGTTGCAGTTTCCTGCAGCCACACAGTCTTTGTTGAAACAGGGCTGTGGTTATGAAGAGTTGTGCATTCTTAGCTGCCGCAGACTGTGCTGGGAATGGAAACTAAAGCAGTCAGTGGCGGTGACCACAACCCAGAAGCTGAAACCATGCTCTAATTTTACAGAAAATTGCTAGTTCTGGCTCTGTTCATTGCTTATGAGTTTTCATTTAGACTGCAAGGATTACATCTAGTTGTATGTGAAATAACATCTTGAAAATTGACTGAAGAAAAACCATTTAGCCCTCACTCATTTGTACTAACCCACAAAATGTCAGTACAAACATCTTCTAATATACTGTAAGATACATCCTTTAGCATTGACAGTCAGTACAATTATAGGAGTGAAAAACAGAGGGAATAGCCAAAGCAGCAGTGAGAAAAGAGGACGGACAAAAAAGATGAGGAGGAGGAGGAAGAAAAAAATTAGGAGAAGCGACTTTGCATTTGGGAAAAAATTTGGACTTATATTTATTTATGTGAATATCTTGCCAAATTTGGGAATTAACAGTATGTTAAAGAAAATGGTGAGAGCTGGCCGGGCGTGGTGGCTCAGGCCTGTAATCCCAGCACTTTGGGAGGCCGAGGCAGGCAGATCACAAGGTCAGGAGATCGAGACCATCCTGGCTAACACGGTGAAACCCCGTCTCTACTAAAAATACAAAAAATTAGCCGGGCGTGGCAGCGTGCGCCTGTAGTCCCAGCTACCTGGGAGGCTGAGGCAGAAGGATGGCATGAACCCAGGAGGTGGAGCTTGCAGTGAGCTGAGATCGCACCACTGCACTCCAGCCTGGGTGACAGAGCGAGACTGTCTCAAAAAAAAAAAAAAAAAAAAAAGAAAAAGAAAAAAAAGAAAATGGTGAGAGCTTATTGTAAAGATAAGACTAACTACCAGCCTTATTGGGCCAATGTGCTATTGAGAATTGGCTACTAACAGCTTAAAAATGTTTAGCCTTTTCATCTAAAAAACCTCACTCATTGTGGGACAGAGTACTAATCTTTTTTTTCTTTTTTGAGATAGGTTCTCACTCTGTCACCCAGGCTGGAGTGCAATGGTGTGATCACAGCTCACTGCAACCTCTGCCTCCTAGGCTCAAGGGATCCTCCCGACTCAGCCTCCTGAGTAGCTGGGACTATAGGCACATGCCATCAAGCCTGGCTAATTTTTGTGCTTTTGTAGAGATGAGGTTTTGCCATGTTGCCTAGGCTGGTCTTGAACTCCTGGGCTCAAGTAATTCACCTGCCTTGGCCTCCCAAACTGCTAGGATTAGAGGTATAGCCACTGTGCTCAGACTAGAAAGAGTACTAATCATTTTAATTAAAGTAGACTGAAATTCCAGTAAGAATTTCAAAGTGAAATTTGCCTTCTTTTATTTAGCCTCAAGTTCCTCAACAGTTACCTATATTAGCAGTGAGATTCAACATTTCTTTTCTATAACAACTATGACTTACCACTTGACTTTATACATAGTATGGATTCCAGATAGAGTTATTAAAAGTGAACACATAAATAAGTGAATGAATAGAGAATGCTTGAGAAAACAGATTTTAGAATTATGAGTTCTTGGACAGACTCAGAGGCTTACGCCTGTAATCCCAACACTTTAGGAGGTTGTGGCAGAAGGATCACTTGAGGCCAGGAGTTCAGGACCAGCCTAGGCAGCATAGTGAAACTTCAATCTTTACAAAAAATTTAAAAATTAGCCAGATGTGGTGGTGTGTACCTGTAATCCCAGTTACTTGGGAGGCTGAGGCAGGAGGATTGCATAAGCCCAGGAATTTGAGGCTGCAGTGAGCTATGATCACACCACCACACTCCAGCCTGGGTGACAGAGTGAGATCCTGTTTCAAAAGAAAGAAAGAAAAAAAAAATGAGTTCTGTGAAAGTTTTGATAGATCAAATAAAAGCATTTGTATCAATCTGCATCCTATTTTAAAGTTTGTATTCAGGAACCACAAACAAAAATTTCAGAAAGAACCTCCCCAGGAACACAGCTGAAACCTGTATTTTGTTTGTAGGACAAACACTGTACACATGGAGGATGACTTAATAATGTAATTTATTTGAAATACTTCCAGAAAAGTTTAAGGCCATTATACAAAAACATTCATTTCATCAAAACATTCATTGACCACCTTCCCATAGGCCAACACTTGACAAACCTCTTTTCCCAACACACTGGCTGATGGCTTCTAAAAGTGGCTGATGGCGCCTACAAAGAATCATTCATTCTTTTCTTCACCAATAAAGGCTGTTCTTGGCTTTCCTCTGCTTCTGTCTGCAGCAGGTTCACTTGCTGTATCAATAACGACTTGAGAAAGCAGTTTTAAATAAACTTGTAATAGAAAAAATTCATCATGTTTAAGACCTATAAATACAGAAATATGTTTTACAGGGTAAAATTGATCACAATATCCTTGTTTTCAAAAAATAATAAAGTATATACCTTGTTTTTATATTGATATATCTTGTCACACAGCTTGAATGCACATGATATATGTACATAATAAAATGACATCAATGCATTTACTGCTTTCTTTTCTGTAAACTTGAAAGACAGATTAAAAAAAACTTTTTGGCAATAATTTAGAATAATTACCACTAGTGCTGGTGTGGGTATAATTTTGCACAGGTCATCCTTAATATTTACACTTGCAGGGAGCTCTTCTAGGTACTTAGCTGTTTTTAAGGTCTGCACTTTACCCTGCACTGTAAATCAAGGCTGGACAAAGAGGTTACTAATCTGGCTAGCTGATTCTAATTAATCAGAGTTAATGAAATTGGCCTCTGGAGAACATAATTACAATTCTGATTATAGCACAGAACCAGAGATGGCAAATTGACGACCCAAAAGCAGAGCAGGAAAGCCCAAAGCTCTGGCCTTTCTCAGAAGGCACTGGACCATGCTTTTCTCTCAATGGCTCCCACAGAAGGTTCTGACGAAGTGCTTTTCATTCCAAATTCTTCCTCTCCTGTGTTTCTATAAACAGTGTCATCGATAGAGTCATGGTCTCTCTTCCTTGTTGCTTCATTCATTCTCTAAAATAATGAGTAGGCCTAGGCAGATGAAACACAATGAATACAGGGCCTTCTTGTTATCCTGGCAGGCCTTCCTAAGCCCTTTGGGTTCTATTCTGATGTTTTAGGCTAGCAACCAACTATGAGAGACACCTCCTGGTGCCATGTGCATTTCAGTTAAAGATTCAGAGCTGGCAGCCGCTTCTGTCCTGGCCCTTTTAAGGTCAGCCTCTATTTTATGTCCTAATACATTCTTGCATCAAACTTGCACTGGATGAAGTTGCAAAGTTCAGACAATGCATCCTCCTTTGCAAAATTAAGCCTTCAGAATCCCCAGGGATGTTTTCAAGCTTTCTAGTTGAGTAAGATCAAACCAAGTTCACTTCATGAGTTGGTCTTTCCTGATTCTCTCTCTAATACCATCCCAATACACAGATGAGTTCCTCATGCCCTATTTACAAGGCCGTCTAAATTCCGTGCCTTTAGCTACCACATCTAAGAGCTGGGAAAGTGGTACAGAAGCACAAGAGGAAGGACTCTTCAAACAATCTATGTAAAACAGTAGTTTTGAGATTCTTTTTCTATTTTTTTAAAATCCAGCAGGACAACTGAAAGTAACTTGTTTGAGTACCTCTCCATCCATCCAGACACTTGGGAAATACAACACAGGGTAATAGTTGCCACAGATTCCAGCTTACACAGACAGATTGGCAGTTACAGTACTAGGGACAAAGGTACAGATACGAGAGACTGGGCCAACATGTATACTTTCACAAAAGTATGAAAAAGTGCTTCTCCAAACCGTTCCATCTGTGGAATGCAAATACTGTACAGGTAAGATGCAGGCCTGCTTCCCGAAGTGCACATGCTTCTGTCAGACGTTACTTTCACCGTGCCTGCTGTTTCCACAGGAAGAGTCTGTCTGTTCCATGCGCTCACAGTCGAGGCTGACCTCACTCGTGTCCATACTACAGTCTGACTCACTGTCCGATTGGTCCATCTGCTCAAGTTTTGTTTCTCCCTGTAGCTCTCTGCTCCCGGTGGTGGGATTTAGGAACGATCCCTCGGAGTCAAGCACCCCAGCTTGCCCGGCAGCACACAAAACTGTTTCTTTGGCTTGACGAATACAGTTAAGCCACTGCTGTTTGTTGAAAGTGTCATTGGCTTGTAGCGAGTGGGTCTGACTTTGGGATCCATTTTTGAAACTGACTCTGAAGAAGTTTTTAACTAGAAAGGAAAAACACATGAAAAACAAAGTCAATGGACAGATCCTTCCTCAGGCCAAAGAGAACACACGTAGTGACACTAAACCCCAGAATCCATGGCAGGTATTGCTGATAACAAAACGTTTCCCACTGATCTGGGGCATGGCTCAGCTCCACCCTGCAGCCACCATCAGGGAGATGGGATTGACACAGGTCTAGCGTTCAGCTGCCCTCGTCGCTCTCAGAAACCCGCAGGTGGAGATCATCTTGGAACCACAAAGTCAAGTGATTTAGGGGAGCCCAGAGTACTGGTGACCCAATCTGGCTGCATAACAAAATCCCTTGGGGTGAGAGCTTGTTAAAAAGACAGATGCGCTCAGAGGCTGAAGTGGGAGCACTGCTTGAGTCTAGGATTTTGAGATCAGCCTGAGCAATATAGTGACGCCTTTTCTCAAAAAATAAAAATAAATCAATAAAAATAAATCCCCAGGCCCTTTTTTAGAGATTCTGATTCAGAAGATCTAAAAGTCGTTTCATAATCTGTAATTTCAACAAGTACACCAAGCTGGAGCTTTTTTCAGTTTAAGAGGCTCTTTTTAACATTAAAACATGCCCATGTTTCTCCATATGAGAGTATCTATACACTTAGTATCCAATGATGGAGAAGATATATGTAGACAAATTTGGTTTCATTGTCAAACGAAATTACATTTTAATTACCTCAACAGGAGCCATCTGCATTTAAAAAAAAATGGTAGTCCACAATATGGAAGACATTTTATTTAATCTTTTTTTTTTTTTTTTTTTGAGACAGAGTCTTGCTCTGGAGTGCAGTGACACAATCTCCGCTCACTGCAACCTCTGCCTCCTGGGTTCAAGCAATTCTCCTGTCTCAGCCTCCTGAGTAGCTGGGATTACAGGCATGCACCACCATGCCTGGCTGATTTTTGTATTTTTTTTAGTAGAGACAGGGTTTTGCCATGTTGGCTAGGCTGGTCTCGAACTCCTGACCTCAGGTGATCCACCCACCTCAGCCTCCCAAAAAGATGGGACTATAGGCGTGAGCCACCGTGCCTGGCCTATTTAATCTAATAACAACAATATAATGGACATTTAAAGGGCCCTGCGTGCCACATGCAATGCTTGGTTCACAGAAGCATCTGCAGTCAGTCCCTTTGCACTAACCCTGCAGCCAGTAGACTGGGAACCACCACCACTTCCAATGGCTTAGAGGCTAAGCAACAGAGGGAAAGGAGGCCAAAATGTTTTACTGCTAGCCATCTTTGGCTAGAAGCTATTCTCCGTCCTTCAAATTTAGGCTCCACCCTTTGATCTTGGGCAAGTACCTTAAATCCTCTGTATCTTAGTTTCTAACTTGTAAAATGGAGAAAACAAGAACCTACTTTATATGGTTGTTATGAGGAATAAATGTAATACATGTAAATGCTTATACAATGCCTGGCACATAGTCAGTACTCAAGAAACATAAGCTCTTATTTCTACTACTCCTACTCCTAGGGTAGAGGGATTGATCAGTAGGGAGAAGGCAGTACATGTTAATTACTTTGACAGTATGATGCCTATGTTAACCCAGGAAGCTCAAACGTTACTTTCTCAGAGAAGTGTTCCCTATCTCATTTAAAACAGACCTCCAGGCTGGGCCCGGGGGCCTGTAATCCCAGCACTTTGGGAGGCTGAGGTGGGTGGATTACTTGGGGTCAGGAGTTCCAGACCAGCCTGGCCAACATGGCAAAACCTTGTCTCTACTGAAAATACAAAAATTAGCCAGGTGTGGTGGCCAGCCCCTGTACTCCCAGTTACTTGGAAGGTTGAGACACGAGAATTGCTTGAACCCAGGAGGCAGAGAGTGCAGTGAGCCGAGATCACGCCACCACACACCAGCCTGGGTAACAGAGGAAGACTCTGTCTCAAAAAAATAAATAAATAAAAATAAAACAGACCTCCTATTGCTATCCCTTCCTATTCCCTTACCGGGTTTTAAGTTTTCTTAACAACACCTGGAGTATTCATTTGTTTATCATCTTTCTCCTCCATCACAATGCAAGCTCCATAGGGGAAGGAAGTTACCTGCTTGTTTCACCGAGTATCATGTTAGATACTCGATAGATATTGCTATCTTGGCTTCTTTTAGTTAATTTGTTTATTAAGTCTTAAATTAGGCCCACTGAGTAATGTTACAGATGAATCCACATTCCAGTTGACCATTCTTATGTCTCTTTAGGGACAAGTTTACCAGTTCAGCTGCAAAACCCACCATAACGCAACTGGCATCCATGTAGGGACTATCTGGTATTAAGCATGTTTTTATCCAATGGAAAAAGACAGAGAAAGGGAACTTAAGGAGCACTAACTATGTGCAGACAGTTTCACTTAGATTATCTTACTAAATCCTTATAACAATCTTATGAAGGAGGTACCTATGCATTTCCATTTTGGAGATGAGAAACTGAGAATCACAGGGACTAAACAAAGTACATAATCAGGAAGTGATGAAATAGCATACAAATGCAGTTTGACTTCAAGACCGTGGCTTTTCTCTTTCCACCAGCTGCCCACTCCCTCCAAACTACCACGGCCAAAAACATTCAACAGGTCAACCCCGACTGCTATCCATACTTCTCTCATTGTTGCTGAATGCCCCTCGCAGGGAGCCACCCAGCCTCACTTCTCCATCCTGGAGGTCTTCCAGCAGGAGGTCTTTCACGGGGATTGGCTGACGGTACAGCTGGTAGCAAAGCTGCTCATTGTGGGTGACGGCTCGAGTGATCACAAGCACTTCTTGGAACAGGAAAACATGCAGTTTCTAGAAGAAAAAAATCCACAAGCTTTCATTAAGCAATAATGTAATGAGTGGTTGATATGTGGACCTCTGTGGATAAAGAGGTCCCCAGGTACCAGGTTCACACTGGATTATGAACTCCTAGGTTCAAATCTACCTCCAGGAGAACCAAAGTTGGGCATGTTGGAGGCACTTCCAGATATGTCCACTGCCCTTCCTGTAGAAGCACCTCCCTAGGGACTCAATGGAGAAAGCCCTTCTGCCTACAGACACCTACAGCCAGGGTTGCCAACTTTGGGGGCCCTATTCACATTGCAATTCACAACTTGTACAGACATACCTGCCCCAGCTCCTATAAGAAAAAAACGAGAAAGGGAAATAGAATCAAGAAGGTGATGAAGGGAAAAAAAAGTTAGCACTCTCTTGACTTTAGTTTATATTACTCAATATAATTCTAAGTAATCAGGCCGGATGTGGTGGCTCACACCTGTAATTCTAGCACTTTGGGAGGCTGAAGTGGGCGGATCACTTGAGGTTAGGAGTTCAAGACTAGGCTGGCCAACATGGTGAAACCCCGTCTCTATTAAAAATACAAAAACTAGGCCGGATGCAGTGACTCACGCCTGTAATCCCAGCACTTTGGGAGGCTGAGGCGGGCGGATCACCAGGTCAGGAGATACAGACCATCCTGGCTAACACAGTGAAACCCTGTCTCTACTAAAAATACAAAAAATTAGCCGGGTGTGGTGGCGGGCACCTGTAGTCCCAGCTACTTGGGAGCCTGAGGCAGGAGAATGACATGAACCCAGGAAGTGGAGCTTGCAGTGAGCTGAGGTCGTGCCACTGCACTCCAGTCTGGGCGACAGTGTGAGACTCCATCTAAAAAAAAAAAAAAAAAATACAAAAACTAGCCAGGCGAGGTGGGCGGGGCGGGGGGGGGGGGGGGGCGCCTGTAATCCCAGCTACTCAGGAGGCTGAGGCAGGAGAATCATTCGAACCCAGGAGGCAGAGGTTGCAGTGAGCCCAGATCATACCACTGCACTTCAGCCTGGGTGACAGAGCAAGACTGTTTAAAAAAAAAAAGAAAAAAATTCTAAAAGATCAAAATTAACAATAGTCTATAAAAAATGAGACTGGTATATCAAAGCTAATATTAATCTTTGCTTCCCAAACCCATGAAAAACACTTGTTCCTTCAACCACAAAGTCATTATCAGCTTTATTCAGGAACTCTAAGTCAGAACAGTGCTCATTCCTGAGGGGACCAGAGTATGCTGCCACAGCCACAAAGAAAGATGATCAGGCTGGGCACAGTGGCTCACGCCTGGAATCCCAGCACTTTGGGAGGCCGAGGTGGGCGGATCACCTGAGGTCAGGAGTTCAAGACCAGCCTGGCCAACATGGTGAAACCCCATCTCTACTAAAAATACAAAAATTAGCGAGGCGCGGTGGCAGGCGCCTATAATCCCAGCTACTCAGGAGGCTGAGGCAGAAGAACTGCTTGAACCCAGGAGGTGGAGGTTGCAGTGAGCTGAGATCGGGCCATTGCACTCCAGTCTGGGCGACAAAAGCAAAATTCTGTCTCAAAAAAAAAAAAAAAAAAAAAAAAAGATGATCAATATTTTCCTTCTAAGTTAATCAGAACCTTGGTTCTCTGAAGAGGGTTAAAAAGTTGACGACTGATGTGTGTGATGTTGGCAAAAAGAAAATTGCAAAAATGAAGGCTTGTTTCAGGTCCCATTATGAAAGCAGGTGTGCTTGGTGGAGCTGGGGTATATTTGCTCCATTCAATGCTAAGTGCCAGACTCTTCTCACACTTTGGAAATGCTTACGAACTGAAGTGAAAATATCCACAACTTTGCAACTAGGTTCTAGCTTTCTGGTGGAAATATTTGGGAATGTCAATCCAGCAGTCTTAAAGGGGAGAGACCAGAAGAGGAGAGGTTGTCACTTGTAAGTGGGAGCTAAATCTTGGGTTCACATGGGCATAAAGATAGGAACAACAGACACTGGGGACTCTAAAAGGCAAGAGGGAGTGAGAGGGGCAAGGGCTGAAAAACTTCCTATCGAGTACTATGTTACTATGTTCACTATCTGGGTGATGAGATCAATAGAAGCCTATTCTCAGCACCATGCAGTATATCCTTGTAACAAACCTGCACATATACCCCCTGCATCTAAAACAAAAATGGGAACTGAATTAAAAACTTCAGATTAGAATTTTGACTTGGGATAGTGGGAGCACATTCAATATTATTAGATCATTTTAAATTTAGGAGAAAAGAAACCCATAGGTCTCCCACCCCTATCCCTACTACCTCCCAAACACACACAAACAGAAACAAAACCCAACCAAATCTTGGCTAGAGGGAATAAAATGTATATTTAAGAAGACTGAAAAACAGGATAAAGCACAAAATAACCAAGTTAAAGGCTTTTTGGTGTGGTAGTTGTGGAAATAACGTGTTAAGAATTTTCTTTTGGGGGCTGTTTTAATGTACAGTATTTGGAATAATCAGATTTTTACACTGTTTCTACTTCAATCAATCTTCTAGCCAAGGTGGGCTGAGATTGTCTGGGCAACCTTTTAAAAATACAACTCAGCCAGGCACGGTGGCTCACTCCTGTAATCCCAGCACTTTGGGAGGCCGAGGTGGACGGATCACTTGAGGTCAGGAATTCAAGAACAGCCTGGCCAACATGGTGAAACCCCATCTCTACTAAAAATGCAAAAATTAGCCAAGCGTGGTGTTGGGTGCCTGTAATCCCAGCTACTCGGGAAGCTGAGGCAGGAGAATTGCTTGAACCCTGGAGGTGGAGGTTGCAGTGAGCCAAGATCGTGCCACTGCACTCCAGCCTGGGCAACAGAGTGAGACTGTCTCAAAAAACAAACAAACAAACAAACAAACAAAAAACTCATTTATGAATGTTCACTGATAATTTCTCTTATTGGTCTCAGCTCCTTCCTGCCTTCAACTACTGTGCTTTTTTTCTGACCCAAGACTTTATTCACAATGACGTTTACAACTCTACCGGGTGAAAAAAAAACCCACAAGCCTCCCACCCCAACTATCTTTGTTCTCAAAAATCTATCTGCCTGCAATAAAAACTAGAGTTTATCTTTATGCCTTAGGCACATCTAACCAAAAAGTTCTCAGTCCTTCACTGATGTACAGAAAGATAATAGGCTTACACCCTGTGGAGCACTGCATTTTCCTATTTCTCATTGGGCTTCCTAGAAAGAACGTTCAAGGAGCTTGGTGTAAGATACTAGAAGTCCACAGGTGCTTTCTGAAAATAAGCAAGAAACAGAATGCAGCTTTCTAGCAATCAGTAACTCTCTAGTCCCACAGACACACGTCTTCAAGCAACAGACTTGACAGGTCTCATTACTCCCACTGTACCATCCACTGGATGGATCCACAGCATCCCTGATAATGGGTTATAACATGTACTCACTAATTTCAAGTAATATTTCCATGGCTGCTCAGTCTAGACTAAACGGATGTCCCTTGAATTATCAAAACTTTATTAAGAACCCTTCAATCTAGTTCTAGCTTTCATTCTAAGGGTTGGCTAGATACTGAAGATGAAATACAATCAAAATGCAGAGTCTCTCTCCCAATGGCTATCTCAACACAGAAATTTAAACACACACACACACACACACACACACACACACACACACAAATTTCTACTGGCTATACATACAAATAGCTTGGTGAGCTGAATGAATTTTGAACTCTCATATAATTCAAATTCATCTTTCCTTTTAAACAAGCATTCATTCATTGAGTACCCAGTATGTGCCAGGTCCCCATAATAGGTTCTAAGGTTGACAAACCACCAAAACAACATGGTATAATGGAATATACTGACAGACAAATGGAGAATTGCAAATCACTATATTAAGTGCTCCAAGGGAGATATACACAGTTGCTATGATAGCAGAAGAGGAACCATTTCAGTATCTACATGGGAATAAAAGCCAGGAAATGGGTATCTATAGGTCAAAGCTAAATATGCAACCAATAGAAGATAGGTTGTTATTTTTAAAAAATTGGTTTCAAAATGCCAGTCTGTGGATGGGTCCCAATGCACAAGAAAGAAGTTAAATGCATTCAACTGAAGAGCTGTTTCTCTGAGATTAAATCCTTCTAATATCTTATTAAGATCATCCTTTATTTTCTGAAATCAAAGTGACAGATGTTAACTGTTCTGCATTTGTTTCTCAAAGCCAAGATCAGACAAAATAAATAGCTGGCAACCCTATGTTGGTTTCCAAAATTCTTTCTGAATAGGTACTGATCCTTAACATTACAAAATATGAATGAATATATATATACATATACACATATGATCCTGTGATATAAATGACACTGGAAAAGCAATTTTTGTTTGAAAGAACGAAGGACAGGCACGGTGGCTCAAGCCTGTAATTCCAGCACTTTCAGAGGATAAGGCAGGCGGATCACTTGAGCTCAGGAGTTTGAGACCACCCTGGCCAACGTGGTGAAACCCTGTCTCTACTAAAAAAATACAAAAATTAGCTGGGCATGGTGGTGCGTGCCTGCAGTTCCAGCTACTTGGGAGGCCGAGGCACAAGAATTGCTTGAACCGGGAAGGCAGAGGTTGCAGTGAGCCAGCCTGGGTGACAAAGCGAGACTCCATCTCAAAAAAGAACATGACCCTAGATAGGGAAGAAATTCTAAGAGGAGGCTCCACACCAAATGAATTAGGGATACGGGAGGCGGATAAGACTGCTTAAAGGGAGTAACTACTTACCACGCCCCGATTGTTCTTCAGTTCACCATGACAACACAAGACTCGAGAGCTGTCGATCAGGGAGTCTTTCTGGCCTTCTTCCAAGTAAAGAAGCCGCTCTTTATAATAGCGGCATTCAGATTCACCAGTCTTGGTGTTGATTTCTGCCACAATTCCCTGAATGATATTTATCTATGAAAACAAAGAGGAAAATTAAGTATGGAGGAAAGCAGCAAACCATTCACACCAAGTCTTAGGGGCTCAGCCTAGAAGGACACCAGGACACACCTGGATCTAACTCTGTTATCTAAGTTGCTACTTTGGGAAAAGAGAAAAAAAAAAAACATAAATACTTTTAGCATACTGCATCTATCTATCCATCTGTACACATACACACACATTTATTTGTATACTTATAAAGATATTTGTATTATATATAAAACTAATATTGATGAATAATTTTATCCGGGAGGAAGAATACCTATTGAACTCCAGGCTGCATATTTCTTAAAACGTGCTCACAATGTTGAAAATGTAGCCATATAAAAAAATTAGCTAAGGACAGAAAACAAAGCAGAATGTAAGAGTCCAAAAGAGGGACTGTCTTTGAGGATGTGACACAATTAATAGCTTCAACGTCTCTCTATATGTACTCAATCTAATGTATGAACAATATTTGCAGATTGGGTTTGAACAAATGGTTTGAATATCTTTTTTTTTTTGATATGGAGTTTCCCTCTTGTTGCCCAGGCTGGAGTGAGATGGCACAATCTCAGCTCACTGCAACCTCTGCCTCCCAGGTTCAAGCGATTCTTCTGCCTCAGCCTCCCAAGTAGCTGGGATTACAGGTGTCTGCCATAATGCCCAGCTAATTTTTGTATTTTTTGTTTGTTTGTTTTGAGACGGAGTCTCACTCTGTCACTAGGCTGGAGTGCAGTGGCGTGATCTCAGCTCACTGCAACCTCCACCTCCTGGGTTCAAGTGATTCTACTGCCTCAGCCTCCTGAGTAGCTGGGACTACAGGCACCACCACGCCCAGCTAATTTTTTGTATTTTTAGTAGAACAGGGTTTCACCATGTTGGCCAGGGTGGTCTCGATCTCTTGACCTTGTGATCCCCCTGCCTCAGCCTCCCAAAGTGCTGGGATTACAAGTGTGAGCCACTGCGCCTGGCCAATTTTTGTACTTTTGGTAGAGACGGGTTTCACCATGTTGCCCAGGCTGGTCTTGAACTCCTCAGCTCAAGTGATCCACCCACCTCTGCCTTCCAAAGTGCTGGGATTACAAGCGTGAGCCACCACGCCTGGCCTGGATATCTTTTTCAGTGATATAATATAAATGTTTATAAAGAACAGAGAAAAAATAATGGGAAAAAAGACACCAGTATAATGCTGGGGATGGTCTGTATAAATACACTCACACCCAGGATCTAGAGCACATGTGAGTGACTAAGTTTGGGCAGAAGATTCCGAAGTGGTGGTGGATGCAGTGTTGTCAATATAAAAACAAGAGTACTGCCTGAGATGTAGTCAGTGGATATTTATTCTGATGTGTTGGTCATTCTGTCATATGAATATATTTAAATGTTACAAAATGCTAGCAAACAAAGGGATGAGAAATTAGTTGAGGAAAACTCAATGACACCAGGCCAGGCACGGTGGCTCATGCCTGTGATCCCAGCACTTTGGGAAGCCAAGGAAGGCATATCACTTGAGGTCAGGAGTTCCAGACCAGCCTGGCCAACATGGTGAACGCTGTCTCTACTAAAAATATTAAAAAAAAATTAGCCAGGCGAGGTGGTGCCCACCTATCATTCCAGCTGCTTGGGAGGCTGAGGTGGGAAAATCGCTTGAACCTGGGAGGCAGAGGTTGCAGTGAGCCGAGATCACGCCACCGCACTTCAGCCTGGGTGACAGAGCAAGACTCCGTCTCAAAAAATTAAAAAACTCCATGACACCAATCAGAGGCAAAATAATGATTTCCTTAGCAGGATTCTCTGTCCCCTAAAAGTGAAAAGACCAACAGTCCCATTGTTCTTGTGGTGGTAACTGAAAAGTACTTAACAGATGGCAAATGTTGATAAGGCCTCTTCTTCGTCACATTTACTTAAAAGAAAAGCCAATCTCTGAAAAGCAAGGTTCCAAAAGAGCCTTTGCGCAGTCAGAAGTTATCATGTCTTAAAATAATAATAATAATAATAAATTGTATCTAGGATTGTTAAGTAATTATTTTCCTTTTTTTTTTTTTTTTTCAGTTGAGACAGGGTCTCATTCTGTTGCCCAGGCTGGAGTGCAGTGGCGCCATCTTGGCTCACTGCAACCCCTGCCTCTTGGGCTCAAGTGATCCTCCCACCTCAGCCTCCTGATAGCTGGGACCACAGGCGTGCGCCACCACACCTGGCTAATTTTTGTATTTTTCATGGAGATGGGTTTTTGCTCTGTTGCCTAGGCTGGTCTCTGACTCCTAGACTCAAGCGATCTGCCTGCCTCGGCCTCCCAAAATGCTAGGATTACAGGTGTGAGCCACTGTGTCTGGCCAAGTGATTATTTTTTCATATGCCACTAAAATGATATTGTCTGCCAAAAGCAACTGGGTAAAAACTGTTACTCAGTTATAACTTTTGTACTTCCACACAAGTTTGACAGAAGATCTTACAGCTTTGAGCTGAAGTTTGGTGAATGTATCTTATGGAGAGATGCACAATCTGTATATTTTTGTAGCTATTAAGAGTTTCAAAGATTTTTTTTTTTTTTTGAGACGGAGTCTTGTTCTTGTCACCCAGGCTGGAGTGCAATGGCACGATCTTGGCTCACTGCAACCTCCGCCTCCTGGATTCAAGCGATTCTCCTGCCTCAGCCTCCTGAGTAGCTGGGATTACGGGCACCTGCCACCACGCCCAGCTAATTTTTGTATTTTTAGTAGAGACAGGCTTTCTCCATGTTGGCCAGGCTGGTCTCAAACTCCTGACCGCATGATCTGCCTGCCTTGGCCTCCCTAAGTGCTGGGATTACAGGCATGAGCCACCATGCCTGGCCAAAAGTTTCAGATATTTCTTTATTCTTTTCTCTATTTCTCAAATGGTGGTGGTAGCACTCACTACTTTGATTTAAAAAAAAAAACCCTTATTTTAAAAAATATAGGCTCTTTAGTGTTATAGAAGAAGCTTTTTGGCCTTTGATGTCAACCTAATATTAAATGTAAATCCTGTAAAAGTAATTTGAGTTTTATTAACATAAAACAATAAATAGCAGAACACTTTGGTATACTTTCTTAGTTTCTTTTTTCCTTTCTTGGTTTTCAAAAATGAATGATTATTCACTGTTACTTTCAAGACAAAATAATTTCACAAAATATACTAAAGCCATGACTCATCCTTCAAATTACTTTAACTGTTTATTGAGAACCTGTTCCATGTTAGACGAAGTGGTAGCATTCAAAGAAATGAGAGGATTCCTGCCTTCAAGAAGCTTAAAACAAATGGGAGGTATCTGAGCAACTGTGTTATGTCTACTTTATCCTTTTACCTTTCCATATTTTTAATATATAGTGAAATCCATGCTTTTTCCTTACTCTTAAAGACCTCAGCATTAGTGGCTGTGACTTCTCAGTTAACTGTTACCAGGTGTACCTGGACAGCCGGAATTAATCAGCGCTTGAGTCAATTTTCTGAGTTGCCTGCAAATATCCAGGAAACCAGAAAGAAGATGCGCTATAGTCATAAATATGTGTTCATTTCCTAATTTAACTCAGGAACTGAACAACTGGCATATCACATGAAGATTAATGAACTCAAATGCCATGGCAGTTCCTTATGCAGCTAAGATTAGTTTCAAATACTGCTTCTTTTGCTGGTGTTTGAAAAACAGAGACAAAACAATGGAAACAATCAGTGTTCTCATTCCATGTTCTATGTATATACATTTATAATAGTAACTCTGGGTCTGCTTTCATTTATTAAAAATAATGTTTTGTCTTTCTATCTACCTGAATATCATGAGAATCTTATCTCTCTGCTTTGGTTCTTTTTTTTTTTTTTTTTGGAGACTGAGTTTCGCTCTTGTTGCCCAGGCTAGAGTGCAATGGCGCAATCTCGGCTCACTGCAACCTCCGCCTCCCGGGTTCAAGTGATTCGCTTGCCTCAGCCTCCCGTGTAGCTGGGATTACAGGCATGCACCACCATGCCCGGCTAATTTTGTATTTTTAGTAGAGATGGGATTTTCCATGTTGGTCAGGCTGGTCTCGAACTCCTGACCTCAGGTGATCCGCCTGCCTTGGCCTCCCAAAGTGCTGGGATTACAGGCATGAGCCACTGCTCCTGGCCTCTACATTGGTTCTTTTTTTTTTTTTTTTTTTTTTTTTTTGAGATGGAGTCTTGCCCTGTCGCCCAGGCTGGAGAGCAGTGGCAATCTCGGCTCACTGCAAGCTCCGCCTCCCAGGTTCACACCATTCTCCTGCCTCAGCCTCCCAAGTAGCTGGGACTACAGGCGCCTGCCACCACGCCCAGCTAATTTTTTGTATTTTTAGTAGAGACGGGGTTTCACTGTGTTAGCCAAGATGGTCTCGATCTCCTGACCTCTTGATCTGCCCGCCTTGGCCTCCCAAGGTGCTGGGATTACAGGCGTGAGCCACCGCGCCCAGCTTTGCATTGGTTCTTGAGAGAGATTTATTTTGCAGAATTTCAGGGAGGCATAAAGTTACATACAGTAGGCTGCCAATAGCCAGTCAACAGTCACAGTAGTTGCCCATTTAAATTAAATTTATTGTTGCATCTCTCACTGGGTTCAAACTGAAGGAAGGGACTGGTAAAGGGAGATGATGAGAGATACCTGGTAACAGTACAGAGATTAAGCTCACATGTGCTGGACTCATCATCCTCAAAGTGGACTCTGAAAGCCCTGACTGTCTGGTCCCTTGTGCCATGATACTCACTGGCTCCTGCCATGAACCAAGAATAGCAGTCTTCACGGCTGTTGCATCAAAAGCAGGACTGTTTTTCCCACTGATTTCAGTGATTTTTTTTTTTTTTAGGAGTTGAGAAATAGTGGTGAGGTGGGGGGAAGGGATGCTCTGCAGGATCATTTTCTGGCCGAAAAATTCTTAGAATTTAAAACACTAAACAACCAAGTTCTCTGGAATATCTGAATATCCAAACTCCTATTTTAAGAAGTTCTCTTTTGAGAAAAATTTTTATCAACCCTCAAAGCATTATTATGAAATTCTAATAAAGATGTGGTAATTTAGGCACTGCATTAAAGGCAAGACCTCTTTTTAGATCTAATCATAGGTATGAATGCAATCAACTCTCTTGGAACGGAAGCAATTTACTTAGCGCTCTCTGATTTTTCCCTTTTCATTGATGGGAAATTTATTCATGGGATATTTGTCAAGCTATATTGGTGCTTGTTTTATGTTTTATGTTTATCAAACATTCATAATGCACCCAAGAGTACAGGGCTAAATAATTCTGTTCATGTGGGGTAATGAATGCTATGAGGATTCTGTAAAGGGAAAAAAAAAATCCTGTGCGTATACTGTGTAAGTAGGCATTTGGAAGACTTGCTTTGCAGACATTTTCAAATGCAGGTATACCATGTTTCATGCACAGATCTGCCTGAATAACTAGATGCAGAGTGAACTTTTGAAAACAGCTTCATACTTTATGCACTAGGAAAACTGGTTACTGGCACATCATTTTGAATTACACACAATCATATTCTTATCTGTTTTTAAATTCAAACTTTAGCTCACTGGGTATTTTTTAAAAAAACAGAACAGTATTCTTTCATGCTCCATATTAAAAAGAAATCTTTACAGTAACTCAGAACAGGCTCCCATGCTTCAAAAAAGTCATGACTTTGAGTAGCTCATGCTCCCTGTTGTTTTTATTCCTGCAGACCACACACTTGCTGGGATGAAATATGGAAAGGAGGCAACTCTATCGCACTCTTCCCAGTAATAAAAACAGACATGATGAAGTGAGATGGGCCTCAACCCCAGCGACTGCGTCCCCCATCTGTGCTGGACTGGGGGCCTGATCTCTGTGTTGGGCCTGCCAGATACATTGAATACCTCATGAATCAGAAGAGGGTCCTTTATTCTTCTTTTCTATCCTACTTGGAGGCACCCAGCCCAGTTCTGCACCAGTGAGGCTGGTGACCAGACAGCTCTCCACAATTACAAAGGCAACAGAAACTCAAAGTAGTGGGCAGGCTTTCTGCATCAAGGTATAGAATCATAAAGAAGTTGAAGGGCACAGGATTTGGAGTCTACACTGACAGGGTTTGAACATCAACTGCATCACTTGCTGGCTGTGGACCTGGGCAAGCTATTTAACCCCTCTAAGCCTCATCTGGAAAATGGTCCTAATAAGAACAGCTATCTCCTAGGCTGTTGTGACGGTTAAATGAGATACATAACCTATGAGGCAAATTACATAAAGTTGATTTACTAGATACTCAATGCCAGCAATTATTACCATGATTGTTGTTACTACTACTTATTATTAAACCCCTATCTGGGAGGAAATAGGCAGTTTGCTCAGCAGGTTCAAGGTTTCTGATTTTCAAATTACCTATGCATATCCTCCTTCTATTATTGTCCCAGATTAAATCAGAAAATGAGCCCTTTGAATGGTCTGCTAGCCTCTATCCCCACTGCCACCTCCTTGATCAGGTTTTCACACCTGGACAGCATCCTCCCAACTTGCATCCCTATCACCAGTCTCTTCCTCCTCAGTCCCTTGTTCTACCAAGAGTATGTGTCCAAGGTTACAGAGCTTGTAAATGATGGAGCTGGGATTTGAATCCTGAATCCCAGCTACTTAGAAACCAACCAACAAACAAAAAAAAAACTTCAATTAATTGCATGACAAAGGAAAAAATCTCTTAAATTGATATTTAAAAACCTCTATAACCAGATCTGAACCCACATCCTCTGTCTTCTCTCCTGCTGCTTTCTCAGAGGACCCCTAACCCCAGGCCAACTGATCCATGATATTCCCCAGGCACGACCTGTCCTGTCATTTCCTTATACCTTTGCTCAGGCCACCCGCTCCCCGTGGCCTGCCATCTGCCATCTCTACCATGCAGAGTACCTCAACCAGAACGGTGCTCTCTGGGTGGAATGCTCACAGTTTACAATATTCTCATGATGTGCACCCCATTTTTCCTCGTCTTCTATTGCTGCTAGGGAAAAATATATATTTCCCAGATTACCCAGCCCACACTCAATAAACCTTTTTTTTTTTTTTTTTGAGACAAGAGTCTCACTCTGTTGCCCAGGCTGGAGTTGCAGTGGCGTGATCTCAGCTCACTGCAACCTCCACCTCCCAGGCTCAAGCGATTCTTGTGCCTCACCTTCCTGAGTAGCTGGGATTATAGGCATATGCCACCTCGCCCAGCTAATTTTTTTTTTTTGTATTTTTAGTAGAGACAGGGTTTTGCTTTTTTGGCCAGGCTGGTCTTGAACTCCTGGCTTCAAGTGATCTGCCCACCTCGGCCTCCCAAAGTGCTGGGATTACAGGCATGAGCCATCGTGCCTGGCCCACACTCAACAAACATTTGCTGAGTGAGGATCCCACTAGTGAGCAGGAGGTTTGACAAGGCAAGCCACTGTAATCGGGGGCTAAATGGAGCTAGATTTTAAATGGATGTCCACTTCACAAATGAGTTTTGGGGCTAGGCTAAAAGGCAACTTACTATTTTCTAACTAAACAAAATTTAAAATATACACAAAGATCTTGTCCCTCACAGACAGCAACTGTAACACCAGATTAGAGTCACCTGTATAAAATTAAGAATTTTACTAAGGGACCTTACAGCGTGTTTCATGTAAGCACTGCATTTTACAGTTTAGGAAACTGAGGCAGAAAGATGAGAAGTGACTTGCAAAATCAAAACATGGTTGATGGCAGTGCCAGGCCTGGAACCCAAGATTCCTGAGTACTAAGTACCCAGGGACTCTTCCATTCACCCACTGACCCAATCCACCAGCCATTATGGTGGAAATAACAAGAAGAGAGAGAAGGAAACAGACAAACTTACAGCTTCTTCCAAGTGCTGCTGATCTGGATTATCATTTGGTGTGTGCCTCAAGATTTCTCGGAGAAGCAGAGGGTATTTTACCAGGCGGCTTCTTGGAATATCGAGGAAATTCCAGAGATCTAGTTTGCGGCTAAAGGGGGATTCTAAACATCGCTGTAGGAAATCCTGGACTCGGTGATCTTGCTTTTTGTGGTCCAGCAGAGCTTTGGCGGCTACTTGATTGCTGCAGTAGCTATCATAGGAGCTGAGGCAAGGGAGCTAAGAAGGAAACAGAAAGAGAAGGTTGGAATGTCAAAATAATTGAGCTCTGAGGCTACGGTGGCATCATTTATTGGGACTGAACAAACACCTAACTGGTCTCTGGGTCTGGCTGACATTCCTTTATCTGCATGGCTGGAGGAAACTAGTGGAATCTTCAACATGGCAGGCAGTGGACAATTTTCTTAGGCTCTGGCTTGCTTTCACAAAGCAATTTTTTTTTTTTTGAGACGGAGTCTCGCTCTGTCACCCAGGCTGGTGTGCAATGGCACTATCTCGGCTCACTGCAAGCTCCACCTCCCGGGTTCACGCCATTCTCCTGCCTCAGCCTCCTGAGTAGCTGGGACTACAGGCGCCCGCCACCATGCCCGGATAATTTTTTGTATTTTTAGTAGAGATGGGGTTTCAACGTGTTAGCCAGCATAGTCTCCATCTCCTGACCTCGTGATCCGCCCGCCTCGGCCTCCCAAAGTGCTGAGATTACAGGCGTGAGCCTGTACAATACTATGTAACGAACAATTTAAGCTTAAAGACTTTGGAACATTTAACCTTCACTGCCTTCATTCTAGCAAAATGCTAATTTCTCTGACACATCCCATCAGTCACACTGTGCAAATACCATGTCAGAGATTCAACGGAAAAGGCTTCTCATCCACTTTTTCTGCCTTGGTGTTCTAATCTAAGAGCTATCAGCCTCCAGAAAGTTACCAGAAGCAATCAAATGCAGCCAATGGCCTAACTGCTTTTGTTTCTTTCTCTTGTACTAGGAAGCCCTAGTCCCTTGTAACACCTGCTCTTCAGAGGGATTCAGTGCAAGACACTGGCAAAGGAGTGTCTTTCATTTCTGTATCCTCACTACTTTGCATTGGGCCTACTATATGGCAGACACTCTGTGTTCTGAATGAACAAATAAATGCATGTTTAATGGATTACAAGATTAGGTAATATTTGATGGTTTGTGAACCTTGCTTAAAAATAAAGTATGGCGGCCAGGCGCAGTGGCTCGTGCCTGTAATCCCAGCACATTGGGAAGCCGGGGCAGGCGGATCACGAGGTCAGGAGTTTAAGACCAGCCTGGCCAGCATGGTGAAACCCCATCTCTACTAAAAATACAAAAATTAGCCAGGCATGGTGGCACACACCTGTAATCCCAGCTACTCAGGAGGCTGAGGCAGGAGACTCTCTTGAACCCGGGAGGCAGAGGTTGCAGTGAGCCGAGATCATGCCACTGCTCTCCAGCCTTGGCAACAGAGTGAGACTCTGTCTCAAAAAAAAAAATAAATAAATACATAAAAATAAATAAAGTATGGCAGCATCTGAAACTTTAAATACTCTGCTGCAGCTTTTACACCTCTTATTGAAATTATTTCCTCAGTGACTGAAACCATAAAAAGGATACCAGGAAAGTAATATTTTACAAGCTTACTATTGAGCTTAACATTCCTTTGAAATGTCTACCTTCCTTACATGTTATTAAAAATCTCTACTTGTGTTAAAGAGTTGCAGACATTTTTTCCCTCAACCTTATATTTGTGTAAGTACTAGCTATTATTATTTGAAAGTAATGATAATTGGTACTTATACATGCGCGCACACACACACAGAGAGAGAGAGAGAGAGAGAGAGAGAGAGAGAACCCAAACGTGGTACTGTGGCTTGTAATTTAGACTTTCAGAGTTAATTAAAAAGGGCCTCAGGCCCTCTTCATTTAATTTCCACTTCCTCACCTTTTAAAAAGATCTGGAAATGCCCAATGTTTTCATTAGGAAGAAACAAATCAGCAGTAACCATTGGATGTAAACTAGTGAGGAACCTCGACCACACTGCTGCTCACTGTCCAATGGGCCACTGCTCCCTGTGATCCTGCTGCCCTGCTACCATGGCAACCAAATGGGGCTCTGGTCCTGTGCTCTCACCTGACAGGGTGCTCATTTCCTGGGCATGACCTGAAAGGCTATCTGGTTCAGTCACCGGCTAGGAGAGGCCCCAAGTGATCTTTAACTACACAGGGTGAATAATGTACAAGATCTGGTTCTCAAATACAGACACTCCCTTATTCAGAATGAGAGGTGAAAATGCAGTTAAAGAGACTAGGCCGGGTGCGGTGGTTCACGCCTGTAATCATATTACTTTGGGAGGCACTTGAGGTCAGGAGTTTGAGCCCAGCCTGGGCAACGTGGCAAAATCCCGTCTTTACTAAAATATATAAAAATTAGCCGGGCATAGTGGTGCATGCCTGTAATCCCAGCTTCTTGGGAGGCTGAGTCACAAGAATCGCTTGAACCCAGAAGCCAAAGGTTGCAATGAACTGAGATCACATCACTGCACTCCAGCCTTGGCGACAGAGAGAGACTGTCTCGGAAAAAAGGACAGACTCAGTAATAGGGAGAATCAGGTTCAAAGCCTAACTCACACAGCTGTCAGTGACTCTTCCAAGCCTCAGTGTCTCCACCTACAAAATGTATATACTAATGTCCCCCTCTCCCTTAATGAGGTAAAGCATACAAAATGTGTAGCATGGAGCTTGGCTTCTGATATAGAATCAGTAAGTACTAGCTATTATTACTTGTCCCAAGAAGTTCTTTGTTTTCGAGATAGGGTCTCCCTTTGTTGCTCAGGTGGAGAGCAGTGGCATGATCATGGCTTACTGCAGCCTCTTCTTCCCAGGCTCAAACAATTCTCCCTCCTCAGCCTCTCAAATAGCTAGGGCTACAGGCATGCACCACCATGCCAGCTAATATTTTTTTTGTAGAGACAGGGTTTCGCCATGTTGCCCAGGCTGGTCTCCAACTCCTGGGCTCAAGAGATCCACCCGCCTCAGGCTCCCAAAGTGCTGGGATTACAGACGTGAGCCACTGTGCTTGGGCCCTAGAATATTTTTATTGAAGAAACTGTCGTTTAGAGAACCAAAGCTACTTGCTCAGCTGGAGACAAAACGAGAGTCTGAAGCTTGTTCTTGCTTCCCCTTTACCCTCAGAGTTCTGAACTATTCACCATCTCTTTATTAAATAGACTATCAAGAATTTATAAGGGAAACTCACTTTTTAAAGAAGTTCTTTTATCCCCCTAATATTGTGAAAAAATCTATTTTTTTTTTTTTTTTTGCTTCCATGTACTCTGGCTCTTTCCTGGGAATTAAAATTTAGTGAGACAACAAATTAACATGAGAACTTTCTGCCTTGGAGAGCTTATAAAGTATTTCATCATTGAAAAAACGTTGGCATAGAGATAAGTCACTTGGGAAGTTGTTTCTTTATGCTAGGGAAGGCTTACTCAAACAGGCTGACCCATTAGGGAGCGGGGACACTGATTCTCAGTAACCGGGGTAGTTCCCTGAAAAAAAGCAACCACTCTGTTTAAGGTCTTCAAAGTAAAAGTAATTGATTCATTCTAAGGTCAAAAGGACTGGCCAGGGCTGTCCCACTTGGAAGGCTCACTTGTTTAAAAGGGTTCCCCCCCACCCCCCTTTTTTCCTTTGCGGAGAAAATAAATCAATTTTTCATGGGTCGAATGGGACTCTTCTCATCCAAAGTCCACTAAGATGTTTATTTTGTTCTGTTAAAAATACAAGAACTCAAACATATGTACCCCTAGGTTTACTGTTCCCACTCAGACGGACACATCTGCAGTTAAAAGAGGAAAAACATTTAACAGCTTGTCAGGCCTGATAAATAAGGGCCATTTCTCACGAAGTCTGGCAACAACGGGCCAGTTGTTTAATTTTAGGCTGCTCTTCAAGATCCAAGTCCTCATTTGATGTCTGAAGCATCCAGATAGCAATGGGCCAGCATGGTCACACTTCCTTTGGGTATGTACAGAAAATGACTGCAAAGCTGCTCCCAGATCAAACCAATTTTCTAATAAACGTGACAAATGTTTATTTCAGCAAAAAGTTACTAACAAGGCAAATTCCTACAATTTTGCTTCTGGCATAAACTGACAATTTGCATATGATGCTTAAGGAAACCATGTAGTCCTGTACTGCTGTCTCATCAAAAGCAGAGGAGTTATCCTACAAATTCTGGAGTGTGGCCTAACTGCTCCATTTACCCCCATATCAAAGCAGTCCACAGACTCAGGAAGTTTAAGAGACACTGAGGCACTCTCTACTCATTATACCTTCTTTGTCTCTGTCTGTCTCCGGTTGGCTGGCTCTCTTTGGAGAAATTTCTTTGTGGGCTAAAGAAGTTAAAACATCTACGATGGCTCATAATAAAATGAAAGTCAAAAATATAAGATGAATGATCTCTCTTGAAATATTAAGGCATATTTTCTAAATTATTCATCTTAGAACATTACTTGCCTTTCGGATACCTTTGGGATATTTCAGCCTTGGTGCTAAAATTGACTCCTGAACTAAAGCTATTTAAGTCATGAAACTCTCATCAAGTATCTTGATCAAGGCAGTCATTGAGAAACGTAAGTTAAAAGATCAATGTTAAAACTTTCTGCACATCTATGTGTTATCAAGGCATGTTAACTGAAAGGTTTTAGGAAGATTAAAATGCAGATGTAACGGAATAAAGAGAACTCACATAGCAACAGTAGGATTTATAACCTTCACAACACTCTCCAAACAGTGAAATAATCTCTAATATTAGCTGTTGTGGTACTTCCTGCCTATTTTTCTGGAATACTGTGAGCAACAGAGTGATGAGAGACCTAATCTTGCCTGGAATAAGTCAGCAAAGTAATCTCCTCTCATTATCTGCTTTATAACAAATGAAAAACACCTGGAACTGGGGTGGACCATTCAAGCACTCACAGAAGGAAACATAAATGTGTAGAATAGGGAGCGGTGGGGACTGAGGCAAAATAAGAGCACACGCCTTGTCTAGCGTAAGTGAAACAAACAACTTTAAGTACACAATAAAACACAAATCCAGCCCCAGGATCATAAATTTATGACTCCTAATCTAAGATCACAGCTTACTTCTTTTTATTTAATTAGGAAAAGGAATGGATTATATTAGGATGAAGGTCACCATATACCCAGCTCTCCTATAAATTACTTAGCATGGTATATATGCTAAACATTAGCAACCTTTACTTATTATCTTGTTTATAAAACTACATTTTGACCATGAGATTTTTTTTATGGCCTAAAAAGTTTTTTTTAATATGCTAAACATTAGCAACCTTTACTTATGATCTTGTTTATAAAACTGCATTTTGACCATGAGAATTTTTTTTTAATAGCATGACAAGTTTTTTTTTTTTTTTTTTGGTAGTGGATATATGTCAATAAATTTTTATTGGAGTATATTATGTTAGCGATTGGCCTGACGGAATATTAACTAGTTTTATTTTGATACGAAACTAGTAATAGTTTCATGTGTACCTTTACTTATTTTGTTCCAAAAGGCCCTGTTACTTTTAAATGCAATAAATTTGTAATAAGAAAAAAACTATTTTCATGCTTTAAAGATACAAAACTTAAATTTAATTAAAATTTTACTAGGATTTTTTTTTCTGATGTGAAACCAACATTTGTAAAAAAATAAAAATAAAAATAAAAAAAGTCTAGCTAAAATGAAACTCCCATCTATATTATTGAAATTTATCTTCAATAAAGACCAGAGAACTTTCTTACCCAGCCCACGAGGATGGGACCAACATGTTCAGTCGAGCCATCAGGCTTCCTAACATCTCGAAGCTGACTAAGGAGCTCTGGCAAAAAACAAACAGATGCTTATTTGTTAGGCATTCAAATATGAACAGGGCTGGAAGTAGGTTCTGGGTTATTCACATTGCAGGCAATTAATAATCACTCACTCATTATAAGACAACTCAGTTAAGGCTACAAGTCACGACTCATCCTGGGAACAAAATTATACCTTCATGTAGAGGAATTAGAGAGTCCAGTGTTCCAAAAATTTGATTCAACTCTTGTTCTGTCATTATGGAGAGTTTCAGCATGGGGTCATGATAGGCCTGCACAAAAACGGCAAGAGATGGAAGCACATGTTTAAAATCAGAGGAAGTACATTGTTCATGTAAGTGGCTCCTGAGAGGTCCTATCCAATAACAAAACTTCTGGCTCTCTAACAACTTCTCCCATAAAGCTGCAGAAACAGCAGAGAGGTGTGGCTGGAGGAGAGGAGAAACCAGCACTGCCTTAAGCCTTTGTGGTTGATAAACCAAAGCAGATTTTTCAAAAGCTTTTTTATTCTAGTATGTCATATATCTAGGAAAGAGCACAAATCCTAGGTATAGAACAGATTTGACTGTTAAAATGTTTTCAAAATCAAGATCCTGCCTCTTAAAAAAATCCCACTTTATTCAAAACTAGCTACTAGCAGATTCTTTTTTCAATTAGTACATATTTAAAATAAAGAAAAAGAGGAAAGAAACAGTGATTGGTATCCTTTACTACTGATTTGAACAAAGAGAGCAAAGGTGATAATCCTATCACCTCTTACTAGAGAAAATTAAACAACAAGAATACACAGTTATACCCAGGGCACTAAAATAGAACACAAAGACTTAAAAGTCTCCTACCTTCAAGGAATTTTATAAAGCTAATGGGGAAGATAAGAAAAACTAAAATATTTTCTAGTTTATATTTTAGTTTCTGATCTCATGGAAAACTAAATCTATGTTTAAAAAATATTTTTTTCTTTTTTTTTTTGTACTTTTTAGTAGAGACAGGGTTTCACCATGTTGGCCAGGATGGTCTTGATCTCTTGACCTCGTGATCTGCCCGCCTCGGCCTCCCAAAGTGCTGGGATTACAGGCGTGAGCCACAGCACCCAGCCTAATTTTTGTATTTTTTAGTAGAGACAGGGTTTCACCATGTTGGCCAGGCTGGTCTTGAACTCCTGACCTCAAGTGATCCTTCTGCCTCAGCTTCCCAAAGTGTCGGGATTATAGGTGTGAGCCACCGGACCCGGCTTATGTTTAAAAATTAAAGATTAAAAACCAGACTGATGTCACAAGACAGCAAAAAGCCATCAAATCAAAACTGCTCTAGAAGGTCAGAGAATTAAAGCTGGAGTGGCCAAGGGAAGTTTTGAAGATAAGCTGCTTGGTACAGAGAAGGAGGCAATAAATGTTATGTAAGAATAAACTGAGATTTGAGCTGGTTCCTGAAGGATGGGTGGATATGAATGGTTGAAACGAAAGAGAAAAGTTTCTAGGAAGGTAGGGCCACCATAAGCAAAAGGATGGCTGGGAAACACCTGAAGGTGCTTGAGTTTGGCAAATCTTGATGCAGGAAAGGGGAGTTAGACACCAGCATGATAACTCTCAGAGTGAAATAACTTCTTTGTCCTCTCTGATCTCCTCCTCCTCCAGCTCTGCCTAAAACTCAGTTTCTTGGCTGTGTCCAAGCAAAGCTTGGGTGGCCATCTCTCAGGAATGCTAGAGGTGGAATTTCATCTTAGCAGAAAGACTAAAAACCCTTAAAAGAAGGGATGTAGCCTTCCAACCCTGTGATTCTTCGAGGAGGCTGTGAATATCAGATGAAGGAGTCTGGATTTTAGCCTCCAAGCCATGGAGTTGGGGGGCTGTGCCACTGGAACGAAAATGTTTTTGAGGAAGGTTTGTTGTCCTCCTCCTCCCCACACAAAATGTTGATTAGAAAACAAATTCCTATATAAAAGACCCCAACTTATATGATAGTATGCAATTGCCTCATTTCACTTTATTCACTTTTGAGATTCAAATGGCTTTATTTCTAAGACTCAGTTCAAGTTTCAGACATGCACACATTCTCTCCTATGGGCAAAGAGTCCTACATATGAGACTTCTAGGACAATGAAATATACATAAGGCGAGGCCTCCATGGACACTTTCTGATTTAGGCTGAAGTATTCTTTGACATGCATTAGAGACATACAGAGGTAAACCCCTAAAGGTGCCAGGTCTGGAGAGCTATTCTGCCCTCTTGTTTTGAAACACTTTCCCCACTGCTTGGTGTGTGGTAGCAGACCAGTCTTAGTCATAAAGACAGTTCTCACGAAGCACCACTTTAGGGTTGTGAAATTACTCAAGAAAAAAAATGTGACTTGACTCAAGTGACTGCTGGATTTAAATTTACCTTTTTTGCTAATTTCAAGTCTTCTATCAAGTCTTCTTCTCCTTGGGAAAGCTCAAAGATCGCCTGCAAGGAAAGATAAACATATTCACTGAATTCTCCCTTCATTTACAAGACCATATTCAAATAGTGCTGGCTCCACCACTCAAAACCCCAAATTTACATATTTAAGTATTTTAAGTTACGTTAACCTGAAGCAAATGCATCTATGCTTAAACCTGCAATGAAAAGATATTGCAAAACTGCTGCATATTGTGCTTCTCTGTTTGTGGGAGAAAGTTTCTACACATTTCTAGTCCAAAAAGTCATCTTTCATGTTACAGAACTTTGATGCAGCTGAACAAGAGGGAACTATTTTAGGTAAAATAATTACAGTGTGAGCCATGGATTTGGTACCCTTGTTGTGAGAGGCCATCATAAGAAGTGATTCAGAGGCTCTTCTAGATAATGGATGTGGCAGTATTATTAACTGGGCCATCCCCACTTTTTCTTCTACTCGACAGAAGGCGAATCTCAGCAGAAAGTTTTATTTGTATTATCCACTGCCTTGAGGCTGAGATTGTAGGAAGAATCCAACATTTTATCACTCCAAATACAACCTGGTGAAGTTAATTCATTCTAAACCACTTCTCAGCCCCACAGGTACAACAAATAAAATTATAGGCGCTGGCTGTGTGGAAGAGTAGGTAAATGGACCGTTTCTAATTTGGCTCTATTAAGCCATCATGCTAAAGAGCTATGATGCACAGAACACTCTTTCACTTCCATCTGGGAAGTCAAACTGTCAGCAAACATTACATTATTAAAGGAGTACAAGTTTGTAACGATATTTCAGGGTCTACTGTGTTTCAGGATATAGGGAAACAGTGGTCAGGCTTTGAAAGCTCCCTCCACCTGGGGCTGCTTGGTAAACTGAGGACAAAGCAGGTGGAGGCACAACCCTGAGCTGGATACTCCAAGGATCTCATCAGATGATGCACACATGAAGTGCTCAGCACAGCCTGGCACAAGCACTTAAACAAGCTCTTCTATACAGGGTAATATTATCAGAGTCATTTAGGGCAACTGATACAGAAAACTTACCGGGAATGAAATTAACTGGATTCTATAGAAAGGAAGTTTTCCATGAAGCTGAATCAAAGCTATGTAAACTAAATATTTTAAAATAGTCTATAAGTTGCTAACAAAATATAACTAAAATGATTATTTTTGTGAACTTCAGAATCCTAAATAGACACTTGGTTTCATCTTCTTGTAAATTCATATTTTCACATCAGTTTCTTTTTAAAGTGGGGGCCACACCCTCCCAGCTGGTTTCTGGTTTCTCAGTTCCTTCCCCAAGGTCAGACACTCTTGTTTATCCTTCTGCAAACGCAATGAAGAATTGATTTGGAGACTAAGGCGCAAATTCCAGCATGGCTGACGCTGCAATGCACCTTTGTTCCAGACACACAGCCAGCTCCATGGGCCCCGAGCCTACCTCCTGACGTTTGATTTCCTTGGATGTAAGCATCTGATTGACGCACACATCGAAGGTCTCACTCCACAGCTTGCTATCTCTCCGTTTCGTGCTCGAGGGGGCGGCATTTCTGGACCAGGGTCGGGGGGCGAGGATGTCAGGGCGGCTCTCACTGCGGAAGCTAATGGAGCGCTAAACAATGAGAAAAACAAACCATCACGGGGGCAGCGGCAGGACTGGGTGGATCTTTGAGCAGTTTCCTGTCGTTGACGGAACATAAATCATATATGTGAAAGAAAAAGAGGACATTGCCACAAGGCCTTTGGGAAGTGGGGCATTGTCTTGAGCCTACGTGCTAAGGAAAATTGGACAGGGGGCTGCTTTGGAACATGTGCTGGGAGTATCTGTTCTGTGTGACCTGGATACCAAGTGGACTATAGTGCAAGCACATATCAGGCCAAACTCACGCATGAAGGCAGTTCTTGGATACGTGATGAGCTCTACTTTTTTCCAGTGGACATCTCCCCTCTTTAAAAGAACCAGAGATAACAATAGTGGATGGCCTTTATTTATTCAAACATTTGGCCAGTACTCCTACTCTCCTCCTTCTATAAATAGAATCCCACTAACTTTGGGTATCCTATTACATATAGTTTTGGTGGGCACCCCCAGACCTGACCAATAGAGTATTCCACCATCCTAGTTCAGGGATGGGCATGTGATTCCCTGAAATTTGTCACATGAGTTACGGGAGAAAGGAGGAAAGAGTATTCCTTTGGGATTGTGAGTTCAAGAGAGAACACAAGCAGGGCCTTCCAGCAGCAACTCTCCCTAGTTACACAGAAGCATCTGTCTGCTACAGGAGAGAATAAAGAGACCCAGAATGAAGGATGGAGTGACCAATGGAGGCAGGAAGGGAGCAAGCTTTACCAATACTGCTTGAGCCTCTGGATCCCACTGTGCCTGAAACCAGAAAGAACCACCCTTAGACATTTTCATTACATATAGAAAGACATTTCCCTTTCTATTATCTCAGTTGGGGTTCTGTCAACTTGAAAAGTCCTGACTAATACACATACTAAATACCATCTTTGCAGCACATGATTCCTGTCCCTGAGGTATTTTCCTATTTCCCAAAGAGGCCGCAGAAGTCCACCTGTGTGACTTAAACATGCTACCAAAATGCTTTTCATGACAAATACAAATGATCCAGAAGAAAGCTGAGTGCATCATTTTCAGTCTTCATCCTAGAAGATTTCATCACACTTATTGGAGACTTTGCCAAAGCAATGAGGTTGCTGTGCTCCAAAACCACATTGTTATTTAGGAAGTGTTCCCTGCCATGGCTCTCTGTGGCCTTCAGCAGGAAGTTTCAACTCCTCATCTTGGCACAGGAAGTCTCTTGTAATCTGACCACAGTCTCCATATTTAGGATCCCATCCTGCCACTCATCCATGAGCCTCCATTTCTCCAACCATACTAGGCTATCTGTCATTCCCTAAATATGTCATGCTTTGCCATCCCTCTGTACTCCCTTCAAACAATCTTCTCTTCCTGGAATGTGTTTCCATCACTTCATAGCTGGCTTTTTTTTTTTTTTTTTTTTTTGAGACAGAGTCTTGCTCTGTCGCCCAGGCTGGAGTACAGTGGTGCGATCTCGGCTCACTGCAAGCCCCGCCTCCTGGGTTCACGCCACTCTCTTGCTTCAGCCTCCTGAGTAGCTGGGCCTACAGGCGCCCGCCACCACGCCCGGCTAATTTTTTGTATTTTCAGTAGAGACAGGGTTTCACCATGTTAGCCAGGATGCTCTCGATTTCCTGACCTCGTGATCCGCCCGCCTCGGCCTCCCGAAGTGCTGGAATTACAGGCATGAGCCACTGTGTCCGGCCATAGCTGGCTAACTCTTAACTGCCCTCGGGATGTAACTCAAACAGCACCTCCTCTAAGAAGTCTTCACCAACATTCTCCCATCCTCCTCCCCCAGAGCAATTCAGACATACTTCTGATATAGCAATGATCATACTTGATTATAATTATTGGTCACCTGCTCTTAACTAGAAACTTCCTGAGGTCAGGAATTGAATTTGCTTATGACATATGAGCCTTCATCACAAAGGCATTCTAAGGTAGTTCCCAGTTATTTTGAGATTCAACAATAAAATTCCAGAAAGTAAAGAAAAATTTTAAAAGGAACTATTCAACATAAGGGCATTGTTAAATAAGTTGTAAGTGGCTGGGCACAGTGGCTCACGCCTGTAATCCCAGCACTTTGGGAAGCCGAGGTGGGTGGGTCACCTGAGGTCAGCAGTTTGACACCAGCCTGGCCAACATGGTGAAACCCCGTCTCTACTAAAAGTACAAAAATTAGCCGGGGCGTGGTGGCATGTGCCTGTAATCCCAGCTACTCAGGAGGCTGAGGCAGGAGAATCGCTTGAACCCAGGAGGCGGAGATTGCAGTGAGCCAAGATCGTGCCACTGCACTCCAGTCTGGGCGACAAGAGTGAGACTCCGTCTCAGAAAAAAAAAAAAGTTATAATTACCTGCTGGATGGAATATTATCTAGACAATTCAGAGATAATTTAAAATGTAAACACCCCTTCTATGTAGCCTAAAATAAAATCAGGATTAAAAATCTATATGTGAACATTTTATAGTTATGCAAAAAATGCACATGAGCAAAGATATAAAGGGAACATCACAAAATTCTATTGTTGTTTCATGTTGACATTATGAGTGATTTCTGTCCTCCTTTATATATTTTTAGCCTTTTTTTTTTGTTTTGAGATGGAGTCTTGCTCTGTCGCCCAGGCTGGTGTGCAGTGGCGCAGTCTCAGCTCACTGCAAGCTCCGCCTCCCGGGTTCACACCATTCTCCTGCCTCAGCCTCCCAAGTAGCTGGGACTACAGGCACCTGCCACCACGCCCGGCTAATTTTTTGTATTTTTAGAAAAGACGGGGTTTCACTGTGTTAGCCAGGGTGGTCTCCATCTCCTGACCTCGTGATCCGCCCGCCTCGGCCTCCCAAAGTGTCTAAAATGGCCGGGCGTGGTGGCTCACGCCTGTAATCCCAGCACTTTGGGAGGCTGAGGCGGGCGGATCACCTGAGGTCAGGAGTTCAAGACCAGCCTGAACAACATGGTGAAACCCTGTCTTTATTAAAAATACAAAAAAAATTAGCTGGACGTGATGGTAGGTGCCTGTAATCCCAGCTACTTGGGAAGCTGAGGCAGAAGAATTGCTTGAACCCGTGAAGTGGAGATTGTAGTAAGCTGAGATTGCGCCACTGTACTCCAGCCTGGGCGACAGAGCAAGACTCCCTCTAAAGGAAAAAAAAAAAAATAGAAAATGAGGCGGGGCTTGGTGGCTCATGTCTGTAATCCCAGTTCTTCGGGAAGCCAAGGCAGGCGGATGGCTTGAGCTGAGGAGTTCGAGACCACTCTGGGCAACGTAGCAAGACCTCATTTCAGTTCTAAATTAAAAAAATATATATAGATATATATGTAAGAATAAATGAAAAATGTAAAAAGAAACTTCCAAAGAGCTTCAGGGTATTACCACAACCTTCTGGAAGCAGGACGCTCACTCTGCAAGTAGCAACACAAGCCCCTTAGGCTGGCACAAGTAGTGGGGGTGCTCCTGGGCTCACTAATGAGCTCATGATGGCTGGACCAGCCCTATGCAGGTCAAGAAAGTACTTGCACCAAATACACAGTTCACTAATGGTATCTTACAAATCCTTGTGATCTCTTAAAAACAGTCCCTTGTAAACAGTAACCAGGAACTAAATGCACACAGATCGCCAGCACTCGGAATCAATTAGCCACAAGCATTAAAAGGTCAAAACAAGTGCAGTGAGTCATTAAGTAACTTGCTCAACCCAGTTTGCAGTTCTGATGGCAGCTGAGTTAAGAATTAAAGAGCAGAAAGAAAGGAAACACACACAAAAACTTCAAAATGAAAGTTTCCACTTTCACTTGAGAGAATCAACCTCCTATCCTGTTATATTTTCAGTCCTTGGCTAACTTTAAACTCCCCCTACCAGTTTGAAAATAATGTATGCTAACTTTAAATTCTCATACATTACAAAAGTATATAAAATTAAGTACAAATGCCCTCATTTCCCCAAGTCTATCTCCTAGAAGTAACAACTGTTAAGTTTGTTCTAGCTCTTTCCAAACTTTTTCCATGCATTTGTTAACATTCATAGAAAACTGAATTTTTTTTTTTTTTTTTTTTTGAGATGGAGTCTCGCTCTGTCGCCCAGGCTGGAGTGCAGTGGCACGATCTCGGCTCACTGCAAGCTCTGCCTATTGGGTTCACACCATTCTCCTGCCTCAGCCTCCCAAGTAGCTGGGACTACAGGAGCCCGCCACCAGGCCCAGCTAATTTTTTTGTATTTTTAGTAGAGATGGGGTTTCACCATGTTGGTCTCGATCTCCTGACCTCGTGATCCGCCTGCCTTGGCCTCCCGAAGTGCTGGGATTACAGGCGTGAGCCTCCGCGCCTGGCCGAGAATGTTTTCTCTTTCTACTTGACAGTATCTTGAGGTGAAATTTACATAACTCAATTACTTTTTCGTTGTTGTTTTTTTGGAGATGGGTCTTGCTCTGTTGCCCATACTGGAGTGCAGTGGTGCAACCATATCTCACTGTAACCTCAAACTCATGGGCTCAAGTGATGCTTCCACCTCAATCTCTTGAGTAGCTGAGATTATAGATGAGTGCCACCGCTAAGCAAGTGCCTGGCTAACTTTTGTATTTTTGATTTAGTAGACATGGGGTCTTGCTGTGTTGCCCAGGTTGGTCTTGAACTTCTGGTCTCAAGAGATCCTCCCGCCTCAGCCTCCCAAACTGCTGGGATTACAGGCATGAGCCACTGTGCCCAGCCTACAATTAACCATTTTTTAGTGAACAATTCAGTGCTATTTAGTATATTCACAAGGTTGTACAACTACCATCTCTATTTAGTTCCAAAACATTTCCATTACCTCAAATTCACGTATTCTTTTTAATGGCTGCAGAATTAGTATCCCTCCCATAGTCTGGACAGACCTATTGATTTAATCAATCCACAACTGATGGACATTAAAATTGTTTCCAGTGTCTGGCTATTACAAAAAGTGCCTCAGTGAACATGCTTTGTGTATTTGTGCTGATACTTCTAAAAGGCAGGAATTCCTTAAGTGGAATTCCTTGGTCTAAGAAGTATGAACATTTTAATGTTTGAGATGTACCACTAAGTTGACCTCCAAATAGGCTATTCAACTTTATATTCCTCAGATAGGTACATAATAGTACACTTTGCTCACACTCTCATCAACAAGGTATTATTATCAATCTGATAGGTTAAACAACTATACCTTAATTTCAGTTTTGTGTTTTGAAGGTAAGATTGAGCATATTTTAATTAATTTATTTAAAAATTTCCCAGAGAGTTGGAGATTGTCTTCTGCTGCGGCATGGGAAAAAAGAGAGCAGTAAGCTGTACTAGGTGAGCTCTACCACTATGAATTTCTTGCTTTGCGTTTCCCTAGTGATTGCTGGGCTCAGGGTACTATGGGGGATATCACAGAGGGTCTTTTATGCGCTTTGCCTACACGTAGCACTTCTGATATATTCTCTCTGATTCTCACAACCACCCTGCAAGTTGGGGGTTTATTCCCATTCTACTGAGGAGGAAACTGAGGTTGAGGGAGGCTAAGATTCAAAACCAGATCTGGTTCCAACAGAGCCTGAGCTCTTTCTACTTTGGGGACTGCATCTACTGTTTACATGCAAGACATGCATTTTGGGGAAGTTTCAATGAGATGGGATCCAGCTCCTGCCTTCTAGGAATATAAATCTACTTAAGGAAAGAGAGAGAATACATTTGCTCAGTTTTAGGAATAATGGCTGATATCTGACCAATCAAATTTCAAATTTACACCTTTAATTAGGCTGGATTAAAAGAAACATTTTTTCTTACTCCACTCAGAAGGGACTGGATGTTGAAAGAAGAATCCCAAGGGAGGAATAAAGAATGCCAACCATTTGTCCAGGTGAGGTTACTGACACCTGTAAGTCTAGCAATTTGACAGGCTGAGATGGGAGGATTACCTGAGGCCAGGAGTTTGAAACCAGCCTGGGCAATGTAGCAAGACCCTGTCTCTATAAAAAAGAATAATAATAAAAGAATACCAAACCAGTGAGTGGTCAGCAGCCGTCTGGCCCCGGGGAAAAGGGGCAGCAGCTGGTATGGTCTGGGGACAGCACATGGGTGATGGGCAGGTGTTCATAACAGCACTGACCACATACCATGAGCTACCCCTGAACCCATCATCAGTACCACTGGGAAAAACTACATGAGAGAACTAGAGTTGAGGGAGGAACAGGCAACTACTACTAGAAGAAAAAAACTCCAAGAGGATGCCTCTTTAGAGAGAAGAACAGCCACATCCCTATCAGCATCCCTGCCACTGTCCATCTACACACCCTCTGCCCTTCTCTTTTTTTTTTATATTCAACATGTGCTGTATTTATAGGTTTGTTTGTTTCTTTCATGTCTATTTCCTTCCAATAGAAGGTAAACTCCTTGAAGGCAGGCATATCTACCTCCTCTATTCACTGATGGATTCATCAGCAACTGATATAGTAAGACCTCAACAACTTTTGCTTAATGATTAAATGTTATGCTTGCTATGTGCTGGGCACTGTGAGGGGAGCTTTAGAGCCCTGCTTATCTGAGAGGTAAGGATTCTGTCCCCTTTACAGACAAGGAAACTTGAGGCTCAGAGAAGGTGACACTTTGCTGAAGGTCACACAGCTAATGAATGGTGCTTTATTATTTAAAACCCGGTGGTAAGGTGACTGTCAGAATGACAATCCAAGTCTGGTCTATTTCAGGCCAACCTCCCTGCCCCAATATTTAACCAATATCCTACCCTAATTGCCCTAGGATAAGATTCATAGTGTAGCGGGGTACATGTGCCCAAATAAATGAACTGTAGTTTACTTCTTGGCCTGTAGAAAGTTTCTCAACCTGGCCACCACAACATTTTGGACTAGAGATTCTTTATTGTGGGAGGCTCTCCTGTGCATTGTAGGATATTTCGCATCATCTTTGCCCTCTAACCACCAGATGCCAGCAGCACAGCCAGCCCAGTTATGACAACCAAAACACCTCCAGACATTGCCAAATGTTCCTGGGGTGAGAAACGCCAGTCCACGGTAACTAGAAGAGGCCCACCTCAAAGTGAGGGACCTGGCCTTGGGCAGGACCACATAAAAACAGAAGCACATACATAGATCTCCCTGGGTGTGGGGATGCTGGGACCGGAGTGAAAAATATTCCAGGACAAGCAAGAGTTTCCATGAGGGAATCTGGCCTAGCAAATGAGTCAAAAACTGCAATCTCATAATTGCTGGCAGCTAAAACAACAATGACCATAAAACAGAGATAATGCAGATTGAGGAAATGGTGCTCAAGTTTATGCCCAAGCTGGATATGTGGAAAAGATGCTGCAGATGCAAAACAGACTGTCTGCCGGGGGTTGGGGGACGGGGGTGGCATGTGCGCTTTACACGTGTCAGAGGAAATGTAAACCCAGCAGGTAGACATGATGGGACAGATCTGATTTGTTAATGCCGCCTGTTCAGCGGAGTCCTCCCTTGCCCTTTTCCAAAAACCATTTTCCACAGCCACAGATAACATGCTCCAATAAAGTATTCAAGCCAAGGAAATTCTCCACACTTACCATGCTAACCATATTGCTATTTTGTAGCAGATGGTTTATTATCAGGGATTGGAGGTTGGGGTGGGACTGTAAGAGGAAAAAACTCTCCTATGTTGCCACTGCGGTGGGTTAAACCAAAATGTACAGCAATAATGGCCAGGACAGGAAAATGTTAACCAACAGCATCCTGGAGGAGTCTCCTATGAGGCTCCATTACAGAAATTAATGTTAAGTGAGAAGTAACACTTCCCAGCTGTGTGGTCTCTGTCACATTTGACCCTCATGCTAATCCTAGGAGAGGATGAGTAATTTGAGTAGCAGAGTGGTAAGTGAGTGGCACAAGTTAAGTGTTGGAATAGGAACTGAGTGCAATTGTTTGACTCCAAAACATGGATTTGGGTGAAGAACATAGGCTTTGGAGTAAAACAGGCATGGCTTCAAGTTGATTCAATGGCTGAGAGACCTTTCATCTCTCTGGGTCTCAGTTTCCTCATCTCTAAAAGGTGCATAATAATAAGTACCTCACAAAGTTGTAGTGAGGATTGGATAAGATAAAGTACACAAGAGGCTTGGCCAAGTCCCTGGCACTCGGTCAGCAGGAATGGTAGTTACCTATCATTGTCATACCACAGACCACACTGCCACTATTAGTGCTTGTTTATACGTGCTTTCATTAATTAGCAAACAGCAGACACATCTTTCTGAACTACCTGGGCCAAATGGCTCCTAGAGGGACTTCCATTAGGATAACTCCTAGGGAAAGAAAAGCCCTCAGCAGGACACTGTTGTTTATAAAAGATCTGGAAACAGCCTAAAATGTTCTACAATAGGGATTAAACAAATTACTCTGCAACAATAAAAGGGAACCTTAAACAGTTGTTAAGAAACATTCTTTTTGAGAAAAGCTTAATGATAAGGAGAGAGCCTCACATGCAGAGTTAAGTGAGAGAAGAAAGATCCCAATTTGAAATACAACAAAATGTTAACAAGGTTTACACCCCTGGATGGTGGGACTACGGATAATTTTTGTTTTCTTTTTAAAATTTTATTTATTTTTAATTTTTTGATTTTATTTTATTTTTTTTTGTAGGGACAGGGCCTTACTATATTGCCCAGGCTAGTCTTGAACTCCTGGCCTCAAGCAATCCTCTTGTTTCAGCCTCACAAAGTGATGGAATTACAGGTGTGAGCCACTGCACCTGGCTGATTTTTATTTTCATCTTTTAATTCTCTACATTTATTTTCCAGACTTTCTTTAATGAAGAAATATTAACTAAGAAGAAACACGGTCAGTTGACGAACATGAAAGACAATGAACACTGAGTTAGAAATGGTGCAATAAACATAAAACCACATATTTACAATCTGATTCAGATTGATGCACATTAAAACCATGGTAAAAGGGCACCCAATTAATTCATAATCAATAAATGTCAAACCTCAAAGACCCAGTACAACAAGAAACCCTTCTGTAGCTTGGAGATATTCTGAGTAGAATGAATGAAAAGCTGAAGAAAATATTTGGCTTAGGTGTAGAGAAAATATTATACAATTTGCATAGTGCAAGTCCAAAATTAGGAAGGCTTCCAGAGGCTTGGGGCAGTAGCTCAACCATCTTCATTGGGCACCATAAAATGGCTTTTGCATGAGAATGTTAATGACAAGATATTCCACAAGCTGAAATGGAAATGATGACTCTCCCTGCCACAGAAGGTGAACAGCAGTGAGGTGGGATGCTCCAACTCAAAAGTCTGGTGACTATTTTTAAATCCTGCCAAACTTCAGGCTTTATTATGACCAAACTTTGACTTTTTGTGATAAGCCTACGGCAGGAGAGGCACTCTGAACACCCTACGGAATCCCAGCTCTGGCACTTACCAGCTGTGTGACCTTGGGTACAATTTTAAACTTTCAGATCTCTCCCTATAAGTGGTGATGAATCCTATCTTGCAGAGTTTTGGAGAAGACGATATGAGGCCATGAACATAAGGTACTTTGTGCAGAACCTGGTTCATCATAGATACTACACTAATGAGTGTTATTACTAAATAAAAAATGACAAGCTTTAAATTACAATAGTCAACAAATTTTTTTTTTTTTTTTTTGAGACAGAGTTTCGCTTTGTTGCCCAGGCTGGAATGAAGTGGCACGATCTCAGCTCACTGCAGCCTCCGCCTCCCGGGTTCGAGCAATTCTCGTGCCTCAGCCTCCTGAGTAGCTGGGATTACAGGCGCCTGCCACCAAGCCTAGCTGATATTTTGTATTTTAGTAGAGACGGGGTTTCACCATCTTGCCCAGACTGGTCTTGAACTCCTGAGCTCAGGCAATCCGCCTGTCTCGGCCTCCCAAAGTGCTAGGATTACAGGCATGAGCCACCGCACCCGGCCCAATATCAACTATTTACAGTGGCTTCCAGGAACAATAAACAGTAATATTCTACCACTCCAGGAATAGTAAAGAACAGCAGAGAATCAGGAGTTCCTCTTGAGATGGACTACAGATAACTTGTCAGCTATACTCTCCAAGCTTGTCCAACTTGCCTTATTTTGTTGTTGTTCTGTTTGTTTTGTTTTAGGCTTTTAGCAGCCTGAAGCCATGGTTTTTAGTTTCTGTTTCCAGTGATAAGCGGAAAAGAGGGATAAGGAAGGGGCTTTACTGGCCCAACCAGAAAGAGAAACTAAGAACCCATGATTATATCCTCTCCCTTGGATACCCATTACAAGACAGTCTGGTTTCTGGTTGCTTTCCCTAACACACATGTGCCTTCCACCCCCAAGCTCATCTCCATGTCAGCCAAATAAGTTAGTTATAGAAAATTTATGACCTTGGACCAAGGGACAAAGTTTGAGGTCCTTGGAGAAGGTAATCATGGTTGCCAGACATGGAAATCAGCACATATGCTTGGGTAATTTCTTACTTATTATTTCTTATATCTAGATGGCATCAGCCATCCCATATTCCCTTCTGAAGCCTGAAACGCTTCCTCCCTTTCATCCTTATCATCTGTGAGCCATTCCAGGCCCAACCCAAATCCCTCCACCCTTGCTAAGCAGCCTTCCTTGACGACCCCTCAGGCCATTGCTAAACTCTCTCTGTAGTATATTTTATCATAGAAGATTTTCTAATCTTATTCATTTTTATTTGGTTGCAAAGGTAATACATATTAAAAAATTCAAGTATAACAGAAATATATAATGAAAAAATCAATAGTTCCAACTCATTTATTTTCTATTCATTTGTAATTCTTACATACTGGGGAAAAAAGGAGGAGAACACAAAATAAACAAAAGAACTGCAAAAGTATAATTGTATTCCCAAGAGACAACAGAAAAAAAAAAGAATTTGACGTTCCTGGTTTTTTTTCCCTATCCATATACTAATATGGGTGTATATTATCAACTGGGACAGTGGTTTTGAACTTTCCCCCAATTTTCTTCCTCTACTTGCTAATATACCTTAGACAACTTTTATCAAGTAGAACTTTTACAATCTCTAGAGCAGGACTACCTACCTTTCTGTATTGACTCTCTCCCCATTAAGTCTAGGCAGAATAAATAACACAGTAGATCCAAATAACATTAATGGAGACCACTAATTTATCATATGTTCATGCTGCATCTGGGTTGAATAAAATAACTCCCTGATCTAAGGGCCAGAGGATGGAGCAATGAGAGGCAGTGGTTGCTAGAAACCCTTCTTTGCCATAGCAATACTTCCTGGAGGGGCTACAACTGGGGGAGGGGACACATATTCTCCTTCAGCCCAGTTGAAGAAGATGGGCAGGGCCCCATCACTGGCAGCCACTGCCAGGCTCTGCAGAGAGCTTAGGAGCAGCAATGGCTGCCTTTTCTAGTCATAACGGTGATAATAATAGCAAGTACTAATTTTTGAGCACATCCTAAGTAATGTGTAGTATTAGGCACTGTGGATACAGAGATAAGTAAGACACCACCTTGGCTTGCATGGAAAACCCAAGGGACCCCTGGGAAGAGCTATCTTGAGGGATATCACAGCAAAGAGAAAAACTGTAGCAAAAGAGAAGGAGAAATGTAAGAAGTCTAGATTTAGATGTGAAAACAGAGAAGCAATTCTATCCAAAACTGACACACATCAAGAACAGAAGCCTTGCCGTATCAACGGCCTTTAGTATTCACACCCTTTGACCAGAATTCCATTTCTAGGAGTATAATCAAAGGAAAGAAAGAAATACAGACATACACATGATCAGGATGTTGAAAGCACTGTTATCTATAATGATGAAAAAACAGAAACAAATGTTCAACAACAGGAGAGTGATTAACTCAACTGTACATTCTTTTGATGAAATGCTTTATGAGTCCATTAAGAATCAGGTCTGTGGCGAGGTGTGGTAGCTCATGCCTATAATCCCAGCACTTTGGGAGGCCAGGGTGGTAGGACTGCTTGAGGCCAGGAGTTTGAGACCAGTCTGGGCAACATAGGGAGATTTTTGTCTCTATTAAAAAAAAAAAAAAATCAAGTCTTTGAAAACTACTTAACGACATGAAAAATACTCTTCTATTGTAGAGTTATTTTATACCGTTAAGACCAAAGGGAGTAAAAAAATAGCATATACAGTGTGATAGTCATTTTGTTTTAAAAAATGCACATGCGGCCGGGCGCGGTGGCTCACGCCTGTAATCCCAGCACTTTGGGAGGCTGAGGCGGGCAGATCATGAGGTCAGGAGATTGAGGCCATCCTGGCTAACATGGTGAAACCCCGTCTCTACTAAAAAATATTAAAAAATTAGCCGGGCGTGGTGGCGGGCGCCTATAGTCCCAGCTACTGGGGAGGCCGAGACAGGAGAATGGCTTGAACCCGGGAGGCAGAGCTTGCAGTGAGCTGAGATTGCGCCACTGCACTCCAGCCTGGGCAACAAAGCGAGACTCCGTCTCAAAAAAAAAAAAAAAAAAAAAAAATGCACATGCAAGTATAGTAAAAGGTAAGATTGCCTGAGTATGTACCAAAATATTAATGGAAGTTTTTTGGTGATGGGAAGTAGGATTACAAGTGACTTTTATTCTCTTTTATGTGCTTCACTATATTTTTCAGTATTTATTTATTTATTTATTTATTTTGAGACAGTCTCACTCTGTTGCCTAGGCTGGAGTGCAGTGGCATGATCTCAGCTCACTGCAACCTCCACCTCCTGGGTTCAAGTGATCCTCCCACCTCAGCCTCCCAAGTAGCTGGGACAACAGGTATGCACCACTACGCCCAGCTAATTTTCGTGTTTTTTGGTAGAGACGGGGTTTCACCATGTTGGCCAGGCTGGTCTCAAACTCCTGACCTCAAGCGATCCACCTGCCCCGGCTTCCCAAAGTGCTGGGATTACATGCGTGAGCCACCATGCCCAGCCCCAGCCTCAATATATATATATATTTTTGAGACATAGTCTCAGTCTGTCACCCAGGCTGGAGTACAGTGGCGCAATCTCTGCTCGCTGTGACCTCTGCCTTCTGGGTTCAAGCAATTCTGCCTGCCTCAGCCTCCAGAGTAGCTAGGATTACAGGCGTGTGCCACCACGCCCGGCTAATTTTTTGTATTTTTAGTAGAGACAGGGTTTCGCCATGTTGGCCAGGTTGGTCTCGAACTCCTGACCTCTGGTGATCCACCCGCTTCAGCCTCTCAAAGTGCTGAGATTACAGGTGTGAGCCACTACACCCGGCCTCAATATTTAAATGATGTTATATTATCAGAAAACAAAGCACAATAGAAGGTAATTTAAAAAAAAAAGGACAAATGCATTAAAAAGATTCAACATAGAGTTATTTAATATAAAAATATTCACAGCCTAAATATGTGTTAATAGGAGACTGGTTATGTAGAATAATATATACTCAGCCCATAAAGATAATATTTTCCAAGAATAACTGTGACATAATACTCCCCCCTAAGCTAGATAAAAACTCCTTGCCCAGCCAAATAACAAAGGGAGGAGGAAAATAGAGATGGAATAAAACACATTAAGCAAAATGCAAAAAAAAAAAAAAAAGAAGAAGATGACGACAAAATCCAAGGCAAAAAGCGTTAAAGGAAATAAACAGGAATATTTAATCCTAATAAAAGGTGCAACTCCCCCAGGAGGCTGTAATGGTGACAAATATGAACATTTGTGCACCTAACTGCATAGCTTGGAAATGTGTGAGGCTGAGACTGACAGAGATGCAAGAGAAACTGATCATCCACAGTCACTGTGGGAGGCTTTAACCTAAAAGTGAGCAGATCACCCAGACAGAGATAAGGCTGAATAGACTGTGAGGAACCCAAAACTAGGCTCAGAGTACGTGAGCTCTGCACCTATGCCTAGAATAGTGCTAGAGGGAAACTGGTAAACTATTAATGGATTGTTTTGGAGTTGGAAGACTATACATGTTCTTTTTCTCTTTCTCCTTTTCTGCATTTTTCCATAATGAACATTCACTTTTATAATGGAAAAGGAAAAAGTGCAAGTCCAAAGAGAATGAGGGGCTACATCACAACATCATGAACACAACATTCCATAGCATGTGCTGAACTCAGCTCAAATGAGTCCAGTAGCCGTGAACAGCTGTGGACAGGGAGAGGCAGGGCTCAGGGAGCGACTGGCCAAAGGCGAGCTCGCCTTCCTCACTCCACACCAGAGGAGCGCATGAGGTCCCCTTTCAGAGCTGGGCCAGATTTTCCTCTCAGGCAGGCCAGGGAGGGAATTTATAGGCTCAGAGGGATCCAGACATCTGTGCTTGAGTCTACCGGCAGTGCTAACCTTCCTGGTGAGAAGCAGATAGAGAGCCATGCAGTCAGGCTGTCCCTCCCCAGCGTCCACAAATGCTGCCTTTGTGTTGGGGTGCAAGCCCCCAGCCCATATGGGCACAGGAAGCAAGAGAGAACAAATCCTGCAGTGTCTTGCTGAACTGTGGCTGCAAGGACCACTCACATGTGTGACTGGGCTTTTAACATTTTTGGAAGTGGCTGCCAGCCCAGAGCTCTCCTGATATCCTCCTGGGCTAACTTGTGGTCTCCTGAGGAACCAGAGGAAGGTCTGCTAAGTGTTCCAGCACTGATTAGAGCACCTTATTTGGGCTTAAGTCATCTCTTCTATAATTAAAAGAATCCAACCTGAGAGACATAATTGAATATCCAAAGGAATATATATGTCTCTAAGGTGTCAGAAGCCAGGGAAAAGGAATACTGCAACAGAGAACCAAGCTGCTCAATTACAGCCTTGAGTCATTTTTGGAATAGAAAAGGCATAAATAATACACACATATGGGTAATGGATGGCTGCTGAGAGGTTTGGGGCAGCTGATACACTCTTTGTTCTCTGTTTCTCCCTTATTGGAAAGGGAACCAAGACTTAGACAAAATCGGAGAGGATGTGAAGTGAGCCCACTGAGCACCCCTTTGGGGCCAGCTCTTCCCCCTCATCCTTACTGCTCCCAGGCCACATTAAATTAGCATCCAGCCAGGTGCAGTGGCTCATGTCTGTAATCCCAGCACTTTGGGAGGCTGAGCTGGCGGATTACCTAAGGTCAGGAGTCTGAGACCAGCCTGGCCAACATGGCGAAACCGTCTCTACTAAAAACACAAAAATTAGCCAGGTGTGATGGTGGGCACCTGTAATCCCAGCTACTCGGGAGGCTGAGGCAGGAGAATCACTTGAACCCAGGAGGCGCAGGTGGAGGTGAGCCACGATCACGCCACTGCACTCCAGCCTGGGTGACAGAGCAAGACTCTGTCTCGAAAATTAAATTAAATTAAATTAAATTAAATTAAATTAAAATAAAATGAAATAAAATAAAATATAAATTGGCACCTTCTCTCAGTCTAGCTGGTGAGGGAAACTATTATTGAGATGCTAGGGCTGGAAATAATGCCATAGAAGTTGCACCGTGTGCACCAAGGTGAGTTACAAGAAGACATGTGGGGACAAGCTGGCATTCTCCATGCTTTGCAGATCATTCTGCAAACATGGCTGCTAACTCTGCATACAACTTGAGGGGTGTATTTCCATTCACTGTCCCCCCAAGGACACTCTCAAACATAAGCACATCGCTCAATTCTCTCCATATCTATGTACATTACCATTGTGAATAACTCTTCTGTTTCTGCTGGGTTGTTTCTGGCCAATATATAAAGCTTAGAGTAAGCTATTTATCACAATATTTGAAAAAATTAACTTAAAAACTTATTTTGCACTTTGGGAGGCCGAGGCAGGTGGATCACTTTAGGTCAGGAGTTTGAGACCAGTCTGGCCAACATGGAGAAACACCATCTCTACTAAAAATACAAAAAATTAGCCAGGCGTGGTGGTGGGTGACTGTAATCCCAGCTATTTGAGAGGCTGAGGCAGGAGAATCGCTTGAACCCGAGAGGTGGAGGTTGCGGTGAGCTGAGATCGCGCCACTGCACTCCAGCCCAGGCAACAAGGGTGAAACTCCATCTCAAAAAAAAAAAAAAATTATTTTGCCAAAAAAATCTTTGAGGTTTTAAAAACCAATTTCCACATGTCAGATCCTCCTTTGGGTCTGGCTTTCTCATCCTTGCTTGGCCTCAGTCTGCTGGATTTCAGACATGGCTTGATTTCTTTCTGTTCTAGTTCTCTAGGTCAATGTAAATTTCTGAGGTGAGCAAATGTTTCCTGCACTGTTACCTGTGAAGGAACCCCAGAAACAGAAGAAAGAAATTTTGCCTGAGAAGCCAAAAGAAAGATTTTGAAGGTATGGTAACAGATCTTAAAGCAGCCAGGGCTGGGCTGTAGTGGGAGGCACAGATTGTGCTCTTCCTAGGCCCAGGAGCACAAACACAAAAAGCCTACCAACTAGGCAAGGCAATGACAGAGAGTAAAGGGCCAGGTGTTAGAAGGGCAATTGGGAGAGGTGGGGACATTTGTAGGTGATGGTTGGCTGGCTGCCTAGGTCTAGCTCATTACTGCCATGTGGGAACACAGCACTGCAGCAAACCTACCAAAAGGCAATTCTGTTATATCTGGAACATAGCAATATGAGGGCAAGAAGAGCCTAATGCCTGATGAGGATTCACTCAACACTGACTGAATGAATGAGGGCCTTCCTGGGCAGAGGGTGGACTGTCCTGGGAGCAATAATGGGAAGAGATGGCTGGTAATTTGGAGGTCTGACAATCAAGGAAGGAAATAATTGCAGAGTGAACTTGAGCCACAGCCACTGGGATGGAGAGGAAAGGGTGAAATGCAGTAGACATTCTGAAGAATTTTCAAAAAGCAGTAACTCAGTGAGAGACCAGATGTGCGGGACTAGGGCAGTGATGAATCTTCCAGGGGATGCCTGCGATGAACTTGTCGAGAGGGCTGAAGAACTGGTCACAAGGGAGAAAAGGTAAACACATTCTTCTTCACTAGTTTCAAAGCCCTTCATCTTGCTCTCCCAGATGACCTTATTTTCTCTTTCCTCCATTCTCCCACAAAAGGGATCAGGGTATTAACCAGGGATCCAGCGGCCCAAGTGCTGAGAGAAACAGACCCAAACCTATAGCTAATTACGTGAGGTATTCATTCAGGAGAAACTGCAACAGAGTTAACAGAGGAACGGGCAGGGCAGGGGAAAAGCAATGGAGAGGAAGGGCATCTATGGGAAAGTAGCAAGAACCACTTGGGCTATGTGGAGTCATGACATATTGGCTGTATGGTAGGCAGGCAAGGACAGAAAGGGCTGAGGGAGAACCTCAAACAGTTCTCAAGTCATGGATTTTCACAGCATGAGGCATGCCTTGGGTTCTGGTCCCCAGTTTTCTTAAAGACTCAGAAAGCAGAGATACAAAATATTGCCAAGCAAAAGCATTCAGGACAAATACATGGCAGACTCAAGACTGCTGCTCAGCTAAACCAGGTGAGCCTTTTCATGGCATATTTTTTGTGGGCTTCAATCTAAAAGAAAATTTGTATAATTATCAAATTGGTCCAAGGGCTTGGATAAATCTCAACGTTCACTTTAAAAGATACACTTCATCAACAGTTTAAGAACAACTATAACTACTTGTTAACTAAAAAACTATCATAGTAGCTAATATTTACTACTTAGTTAACGAATTTGAAGATTAATGATTGCTAACTAAGGGCCAAGGTGTTATGCTATGCCCTTTAAATGCACTGTCTTGTAAATCTTTACAATGATTCCATGAACGTTTGGTGGCATCATGGCAAATTTACTGATATGGAATAGAAGCAAGACCTATCTGTAGGATGAAGTATGGAAAAAACATTTTTTTAATAAAAAATAAAAGCAAGACCTAGAGATGTTAAGTCACCTGCCCAAGGTGAGCCGAGGTTAGAACCCAAGGTACTTCCACTCCGAGGTCCTTAGGTCCTCATTCTAAGCCAAGGGTCAGCAAACATTTTATGTAAAGGGCCAGATGGTAAATATTTTTGGCTTTGTGGGCAATATGGTCTCTGTCACAACTACTCAATTATGCCATAGTACAAAGCAGCCATGGACAATAAACAGATGGGCATGGCTATGTTCCAACAAAACTTTATTTATGGATACTGAAATTTGAATTTCATGTCGTTTTCATGTGTCACGAAACAGCACCATTCTTTTGACTTTCCCCCAAGAATTTTAAAAAGTAAAAATCAGGCTTAGCTTGTGAGCCATAAAAAAACAGGTGGTGAACTGGATTTTCTCCACCCAATGCAGTTTGCCGACCCTGGTTGAAGCTACTAGGCTCTGTTGCCCTCCAGCTAACATCATGTGCTGGTTTCCTCAGGAGGCCCATAGATATTTTAGGAAAAAAATCGCGTGAGAGTATGTCTGGATGGGGCACATAACTCTGAAATACAATTGTGGGGAAAGGCCCAACCACAACAGCTCTGGCTCTGCATGACCCTTGACTGCAACTTGAAAAACATCTTTCTTCCTCCAAGTCCCCTCACTTGCACTCTTCTATTGAAATAAGCATTGATTCAGGTCACTTTGAAACCAGGGGAAATTCTAGGTAGGATGGGGATGTTCCTTCCCGTACACCATGATTTTCTGCAACCACAGGCCCTGTGTGCCCTTCTTACCTGCAGGGTTTGACTGAAGCGCTTTAATGGCGTGGCCTTCACGGGCGGGATGAGGTTTGCTAGCGACGTGACTCGGGAAAGGGGTTTGACCCGTTTATTACTAGGCTCCTATAGAGTTAAAAAAAAAAAAAAGTAAAATGTCAAGGTCAATTGCAAAGACAACATAACTCCATCATACAACTGTGTTCCACTCCACAAGGTACTGGTTGTACACTGATCTATGGAATATAAAGTGTCACGTCTCACTCTGGCTGTATGGAGATGACCTGGCTTAGGAGGCAGGGAAGGAGAAATGGCAGGCAGGGGATGTCAACAGAGGCAGTATCTGGGAAGACAGAAAAGGGGCAGGGATCTGCTCCTTATCCCTCACCCCCAGCATCTGCCAGCTTTTAATTCAGAAGCTTCCACTTAGTAGAACCAGTCTCCCCACCCCTTCTGTAGAGAAAAGCAGTGTCTGATTTCTCACCCAATGACCTTGTCTTTTGTTGCTTCTGGTTTCATCTCTTTAAAAACCTTTTCCCCATCTTGCCTAAAGCCACTCTTATGCAATGGCTTTCCTAAAGCACCAAGATTGTTTTCTTACTTCATTAAATTAAAAAAAAAAAATTTAAAAAAGAAGTTCTATTACTGGGCTCTTAAGAAAGCATCTTTGTATCTACAGCATATTTGAAATGCACATATTAATATTTATAAATTATAACCAGACGGCAAAAGAAAATGTATAGAGAAAAAGCCCTACCACGGACATCGGTTTCTATACTATATATAGCCACAAGTTTTGAAAATCACCTCCACATAAAACATTAGTTGCAAATCTGCAAGTTACTTCAAACCAGGCTGATAGGTGGGAGGGCGCCTACCCATTCCAAGGACTTTGCAGACAAGAATTACATAAATAAAAATAACAGCCTGGCCAGGCGCAGTGGCTCATGCCTGTAATCAAAGCACTTTGGGAGGGCGAAGTGGGTGGATCACGAGGTCAGGAGTTCAAGACCAGCCTGGCCAAGATGGTGAAACTACATCTCTACTAAAATACAAAAATTAGCTGGGCGTGGTGGCAGGTGCCTGTAATCCCAGCTACTCGGGAGGCGTGGGATTGCTTGAACCTGGGAGGTGGAGGTTCCAGTGAGCCGAGATTGCGCCACTGCACTCCAGCCTGGTTGACAGAGACTCTGTGTCAAAAAAACAAAAAACAAACAAACAAACAACAACAACAACAAAAAAAAAACAGGCTATGGGGAAGAGAATGATGATAGACAAAACATTTTACAAAGACAAAGAGAAGAGTTACCCTTGTCCTCCTAAGCTCCATCTGACCTGTAGTAGATGCTAGACAGCACATGAAGATACCAAATTTTGATGGGCAAAGCCAAAGTAGCCAATTGTGGTGGCAAACCTCAATCATTTCCAGAGGGAGCCTCTAGGTATTCATCTTTCCTTTTCAGCCATTGCTTTCAAAGTTTCGAGGGTTAAGGCAGAACTTCAGATTCTCCAGGATATTTCTGCATCCCCGTTCTGAACATAGTAGGTGCCTGGAAAAATCTTTCGTGAATTTGGAATCCTGCTGAGACACTCTCATGTCATTTTATGCCCCTGCCAGTCTCAGAAATCAACAGCCTTCTTTGAAATAGACTGTCTCCAAGCTTTCCAGCATTTGCATATAAAAATTTAAAAACTTAAAAAGAAAATTCAATACAATCTCACAATGTGGCCAGAAACGATTCCATGATTTCTCAAAGCAGTTAAATACTTTTCCAAGACGGAGAATGCAACCAGGCTGCTGGGTACCTCTCCAGCTTCTTAGCGTGCTAAGCTGAACAGACAGCAGAAAACTCTCAGAACACTAGGAAGGCTCAGTTCCAAAATGCAGAGGATGAATCTCCCAAGATGAAAGCCATTGCGTGACAATGATTTAAGTGCTGAAGGGAAAGATCTGACAGCTCTTCTGCTTCAGGTGACAATGCCCTTCAGGATGCTCCCTGTCCAGTGCCAGGCTCTTGAGCATTTGTGCTCAGAGGAGGGTTTAAAACATTTTTTTACGTCAGAGCTGCACCACTAGCGTACTGAATACACACACACACACACGCGCAAGCACACACACACACACACACACTGCCTCTTAAGCATCCCCTGAATTTGTCTAAATGGCTCCTGCTTTGGGCTGAAAATGCCAGGTTGGTGGCACAAACTGCATTACAGCAAGTGAGGTGACAAAGATTCCCTGAGGGAGCAGGACCTGGTCTCAGAGAATCCTGCCCGCTGACTCTGAGTCTTTCTCTTTCTCTCTCTCTTTTTTATGGTTAAAGCTGCTGGGTCACAGATTTTTATATCAGAATGGGGAAGCTGAAAGGCAAACGCCAACTGGGTTCCCTTGTTTTAAAAAGGGGCCAGAGAGCACTGCACGCTTGACAGGACGGGGGATGATCCAGCTGTGTTCCACTTGCTGTGTCATCTTTTCTAAGGTTCTGCTGACTTTGCTGTCCATTTTGCATGACCCAGTCGGACAGGCATTTTCTGCACAGCTATAAGATGTAGGTTCAACACAAATCCCAGCCTCTCTGAAGGTTGAGTGCAGTGCTGCTACGTGAGATTGTAATTAAAACTGATTTCCTAAGGCATTGCCGATTTGGATGTAAACATCAGGCTGCTCTCTGGCAATCTGACATTCCCAAGTAATGAACAATTGAACCAGAAGCCGTTGCTGTGTGATTTAGTGCTATGATCCAGCAATGTAAGCAGGTGCAATTTCAAAACCAGAACACTTACAGGTTATTGGATCTATGGGGGAGGCTTTATGCCTAACCCACATGAGTAAAATATGAATTATGGTGTTCTCCTTGAGGCCTTCTGTGAGAATAGAAGATTAAAAAAATTCCTGGCCTCATTAGATTTTTCTTTTCCATTTACTCAATATGTCTCCAGCTACATTTTACTGCTGTCTAAAGAGAGCCCTCAGGGAAAATGTTTCCAGATTCTTGTTAAATAGCTCTACTGAGAACTAGCAAATGCAATCGTAGGGATGCTTTCAGGCTTTACAGAGAGGTAACAGAACACAACCTGCAGGGACGCTTCCTAGTCCAACAACTCAGCTGCCAGACCAAGCTGGGCAAGGTCAATGCTAAACCCAGGAACCAAGTGTCCTGTTTCAAGTGCAGACACCACCCCCCACCACGTGATTTTAAGATAGGGCAGAAGGGTATCTCACTAAAGTTTAAAAAAAAGAAAAGAAAAAAAGACACTGAGCATTCTGTATAGACAGTATTTTGTGAATAACAGTTTGTTTCATCTTTTCCAGGCCTTATAACATTTTTGTTTCTCTTGTCTTATTGCACTGGCTAGAACCACCTGTATATTGTTGATTACAAGCCAAGACAGTGGGTATACTAGTTTAATTCTTGGTTCTACAGTGATTATTAATAAGATTTCATCATTAAATATTTGCTGAGAGCATGGGAGAGGCACCCTTTAACACGCAGAGAAAGTTCTTTTCTGTACCAACTTTGCTGTGAATTTTTATCATGAATTGGCAGTGGCTTTTATCAAATGTTTGTTCTTCATTTAGTCAGAGGACAAGGAAAGAAAAAAAGGAAGAGAAGAAAAGAAGCGACGGGTGGGAAGAAGGAAAGGAGAGAATAAAGGCATACAGGTCATATTTTTTCATAAAGAAACTGATTTGACAATTTAAAATATCTTGTGTTTAATTATGAACAAAGGAGAATAAAACACTATGCAATTTTATTCTTAGTATGAGTTTTTTTATTAAATGGATTTTGATATTCCTTCTCTAGGGGATACAATGATTTTTATCCTCTCCTCATTCTTCCCCTCAACAGGTAAAAGCCAAAGCAGACTATATGCAATGTAAGAAAATGCCTATCGTACCAATATAATCTAGCATACTTTTTTATTCCTCCAAAAATAGTTCCATTGAAACAGACTGGCATACAGGAACTCCCCACTCATTTTCCCTGCACTTCCTTTTTGCAGCCAGAGTGGGGTGAGGAATAGTAGGAATATCATCTATGTCATGTCTGCAGCTGCCCTGAGACTCTACCCCTATTGAGCCTCAAACACCACCCAGGAGAGGCTGGAAATGTAGCCACTGGCATAAGGACTCAGGCTGCTGCATTGCAGGGCAGTGTGGCTCTCAGCTGCTTTACATCTGGCCAGGAGCAAGGAAGAGGTGAGAATTGATTGTGCTAGCAGATACTCTTACCCATGAGTTGATGGAGCCAAATAAAAAAAGTCTTTCAAATGTTTGGAAATTCCAGGAAAGCCTTTTCAGGGTTCTATCTGTGTGCCAGGTGGTGTGTGGAAACTGTACTCCCAAGGGTCATGTTTAATCCACCCAGGAACCTTCTAGGTGGCTTTCATTGTCCTCATGTTAAATAGGAAGTTACAATCTTACAGTGACTGAGAAACTCTAGCATAAACAAATAATAATAATGAGCTAATACTGGTAGCAGGAACTCAGCTCAGTGCTTTACATATAGTTGCATATTTATTCCTACTAACAACCTCACAAGGTAACTACTACTACAATCCCTATTTTAAAGATGGAGAAACTAAGGCACGTAGTGAGCAATTTGCTTAAAGCCATTCAGCTAAAACAAGGTGACCAGGATGTAAACCCAGTCAGGCTGACTCCAGAGCCCATGCCCTACCCCAGGGCCTGGCTAACTTTTTCTGTAAGGGGCTACCCAGCCTCTGTCATGACTACTCATCTCTGCTTTCGGACACAAACAATCTGTAAATAAATAAGTGTGGCTATATCATATTAAACATTTATTTATGAACACTAAAATTCAAATTTCATAGTTTTCATGTCACAAAATATTCTTTGAGACAGGGTCTTGCTCTGTCACTCAGGCTGCTGTGCAGTGGCACGATCACGACTCACGGCAGCCTCAACCTCCTGGGCTCAAGCAGATCTTCCCACCTCAGCCTCTCAAGAAACTGGGACTACAGGTGCTCACCACCATGCCTGGCTAAATTTTAAAAATTTTTTTAGAGAAGGGGTCTTGCCATGTTTCCCAGACTGGTCTCAAATTCCTGGGGTCAAGCAATTCTCCCGCCTCGGCTTCCCAAAGTGCTGGGGATTACAGGGTTGAGCCACTATGCCCCGCTTACAAAATATTATTCTTTTGAAATTTTTCAATCATTATAACATGTAGACATTATTCTTAGCTTGAGGCCCATAGGAAGTCAGCTGTATTCGGTCTTCAGGCCATAGTTTGCTGACTGTTGTTTGCTGACCAGTCATGTCCTGGTCAGTGGTCCTCAGCCTCAGCTTTTTTACTGTAACATACCCAAGGACAACACTCCCAGGCACTGCACTCTCCCACAGGCACACCTAGTCATCGTCAGGCTCCAGTAGATGGCATAAGCTTGATTTGCATATTCTCCCTGCAGCTGGACATGCAGGGTCCTCCCCTGATAAACAGGGGAAACATTTGACTTACTTTTTATGTGAGTAAACCCTATTTTATTGCATTTTATTCTCTTAACTTTCTAAACACAATGCCAACTTTCCTTGACCATTTTAATATATATATATGAACAAAGGACATAAAAAGTGATATAATGCCTGGGATCTACTTCAAAATAATGACAGTGGAGAAAGTGGATGGAAAAAGAGGAAAACAGGACTGGTCACAGGTTGGTAGTTGTCAAAGCTAGGTGCAGGGCACAGGTACGTGACAAAATACATGTCAAATGGTACATGTATTTGGTACATGCCTGCCTATGGTGCATGTCAAAATAAAAAGTTTTTTTTTATTTTTTTTTTTTGTTTGTTTTTTTGAGACGGAGTCTCGCTCTGTCGCGCAGGCTGGAGTGCAGTGGCGCCATCTTGGCTCACTGCAAGCTCCGCCTCCCGGGTTCACGCCATGGACAATTCTTTAATTCCTGCTTCTGCCTCTTCCCAGCTATAAGCTTTACTTCAAATGGCCCCACTCCACCCAGCATGGGGGCACTTGACAGCTTGCTTTGTACCTTTTCTTTCAACGAATTCCTACAGATTTTCCCTCTTGTGTTAATGTTTTTCTAACAAAATGGTTGAGAATGAGCCATATTTTTATAGATTTATCTATTTTAGTCTGGCTCTCATATTCACTAATCTTGTCTTAAGCAAGTTACTTACTCAGTTTCTTCAACTGAAAAATGGGGAAATAACCTCGTAATACAGCAGTGAGAATTCTGTGGGTAGGAGCTATGCTTTACAGGGAACTTACAATCTGTGCAGGTGCTGGGCGAAGAGCTTTATAAGGATTTGCTCTTGGCATCTTCAGAACATCTTATGAGAAAGCTAGTATCATTATCCCCATTTTATAAGTGAGCAAGCCAAGGTTTAAGGAGCACAAATACACAAGATCACGTATTTCAGGTAGAGGCAAAATGTGGACCATGTACTGGACTATACACCTCTGCTTCATTATTCTGCCCAAAAACAGACAGATAATGACGATGAGCACATAGCACAGTACTTTGTGAATAGCAAGATAATTATCAGAGCCTAGAATAGGGCTCACAAATTGGTATGTTTTTGCTAAAGATTATTCCCCCTGCCATCTTTGCCTCTAAGAACAGGTGAGCTTATCTATTCCCTTAATATGAGCATACTCTTTTTCAAAACATTGATTTTGAAATAATCTTAGATTTACAGAAGAGTTGCAAAATTAGTAGAGTGTTCCCATACATCCTTTACACCACTACCTCTATGTTAACATTTTACATAACCACAGTACATTTATCAAAACTAAGAAATTAACATTGGGGCAATACTATTAACTAAACTATTAACAGAGTTATTGGGATTCCACCAGTTTCTGTTTTCCCACTAGTGTCCTTTTTCTGTTCCAGGATCTAATCTAGAATCCAAAGTTATATTTCTGTCCCATCTGTGATATAGTTCCTCTGTCTTGTTGTCTTTCATGATCTTATAGCAAAATACTAGAGCTCTCTAATTGACACTTGTGAAGAGTACTGGTTGGTTATTTTATAGAATGTCTCTCACTTTAGATTAATCTTACGTTCTCTCACGATTAAGTTCAGGTTATGCATTTTTGGCAAGAAAAAACACAAAGATGTATCCTTCCTGGTATATCATATAGGTGGTACACCATGTTGCTAAGTCTTATTACTGGTGATGTTAACTTTGACTACGTAGTTAAGATGGTCTTATGGATTGAATTATGCCCCCACTGAAAGATAAGTGTAAGTTCTTACTCCAGATACCTGTGAATGTGACCTTATTTGGAAATAGGATCTTTGTAGATAAAATCAAGTTAAGAAGAGTCACACTAGTTTAGAGTAGGCCCTAAATCTAATCACTGGTGTCCTTATAAGAAGAGGGAAATTTAGAGACACACATGGAGAAGATGGCCATGTGACAAGAGAGAGGTGGAGACTGGAGTGATGTATCTACAAGCCAAAGAACATGAAGGATTGCCAGCAAACACCAGGAACTTGGAAGAAGAAAGGATTCCTCTGCAGGTTTCAGAGGGAGCATGGCTCTGCTGACATTTTCTTTTGTCTTTTTTTTTTTTTTCTTTTTTTGAGACAGAGTCTCGTTCTGTCACTGGGACTAGAGTGCAGTGGCACAATCTCAGCTCACCGCAACCTCCACCTCTGGGTTCAAGCGATTCTCCTGCCTCAGCCTCCCGAGTAGCTGGGACTACAGGAGTACACCACCATACCCGGCTAATTTTTGTATTTTTAGTAAAGACAGGGTTTCACCATGTTGGCCAGGCTGGTCTCAACTCCTGACCTCAGGTGATCCACCTGCCTTGGCCTGCCAAAGTGCTGGGATTACAGGTGTGAGCCACCACACCCGGCCTCTGCTGACATTTTCATTTCAGACTTAGCCTCCAGAATAAGACAAACATTTTTTGTTGTTTTAAGCCACCTAGCTTATGGTACTTTGTTATAGCAGTCATAAGAAACTAACACAGGTGGTGTCTGCTGGATTTCTCCACTGTAAAGTTAATATTATTCTCTTTGTAACTAACACATAGTTTGGAGGACTTTGTGACTTTGTGCATTCTTCTTAGCCCAATTTAGGGAGTGTTTACTCAGTATGTGCAAAGTGGCCTTAATTGAAGTATACAGGTGTCACTGTTGTGGGGAATGTCTCCCAGCTGAATAGGGAGAATCAGAAGGTTGAGCCACAAAGAGTCAAGAGAGTCAGTGTCAGGTGGAGCTGGCAAGGAAGGAGCAGGTGGGGTGGCTGGAAGGCAGGGCATGGTGCGGTGGACAACACAGGAACGTAGGGCACATATGCAGCACTGAGGAGGCCTTCATAGAGCTGCCTGAGCAAAGGAGGAGTAAGACTGTGGGTACAGAAAGGGGAGCTGCCTTGGAGCTTGCAAATGACTCTTCATCTTATTTTTTTGGAAATAGAAAAAGATAATAATAATGAAATAATTGTTCCTAATTCTAAAATTTCCATTGAAATATTTTTTCTGTTCTTTTTTTCCCCTGGCACAGAGCTAACTGACCTGGTGTCATCTGTTCCCAGAAGATGAAAGACAAATAATGAGGCCCAAATCCCAACGGAAACCTGACTTCATTGATTAGGCCAAATGTGTTTCAGAATTATTGGTTTTTAACCCCCAAGGTGAGAAAAGGTCTTCAAACTCAGAACTATAATTTTCCTCTTGTATGCTTATCAGTGATTTCAACAAAGGGACTGCAAGCTTTGTGGACTTTGACAAACCACCAGGAACTGTTCCGGGAGGCATCCCTGCTATCTTTGTCTTGGCTAATCTCAAACATGGAAGCCACATTCTTGTGTTTGTTTTCTCCGGCCGTGAGTTTGGTTGCCAGTTGCCTCACATTAGGCATCCAAGGGGGATTTGATTTCCTTTTTGATAAAATGGCTCAACTCTTTCCTCCATATTAAGATAAGGTGCTATGAGGAAAAGATCCCAATTTCCTTCTTAAAAAAAAAAAAAAAGCTGGGGTTTGTTTTGTTTTTGTTAATGAGGGAACAGGGACAGCCTGGATAACTAAAATCCACAAAACACCCTGAGTTAGTTCAGTCTCAAACCCAAGCTGCAGACAGGCTTTCGGGCTGCTGGATTGAGACTCCAACAATCTCTTGCCCCGTCTCATGGAAGTGCTAAAGAGCAGATGATGAGAGAAGTCGCAAGAGAGTCTGGGCAAACCCACAAATTAAACCATCAACTCTCAGGTACATAAAACTGAACATATTAATGTTAGAGGGATGACGTTTATTCTCTGTATATCAAGCTCTGTCTGCCTGAGCCAGTCAGCACCAAAAGCAGATTCAGCACCTATGGCTTCTTGGCCAAAGTCTCCCTGTGAGGTGGTTGCTTTCGGGGGAGCCTTGAATAAGGGAGAGGTATAAGGAGGACAGTTGGCAGTTGGCTGAGCTCACACAATGCTGGCAGGAGCCTCTGAAACCATGCTCAGAGGCCCTGCCCAAACCAGCTTCCTATAAAACACAAATTAAAAAAACAGGGGTAGAAAGAAATCACACTTTATGACAATTTCTGTAGTCCTCCTAGCTTCATTTCCTCCTGGCCTCCCCTGTTTCCTTCAAGTCCAAAACACATGGTAGCAAAATACTATAGCTCTCTAGTGTTTGTAATAAACTGCATGGCAAAATGAAGGAAAGGTGGGGGTAGGCGGCAAGCGAGATGGATTTCTTCCGGTACACCCGGGAGAAGCAATTAATTTTACTACAAATTTGGAGAGGGTGAATGTTCATGGCATACCATTTTGTTTCTGAGAGAAGACTCAAGCAAGTCATTACCTTCATTCTTCTTGGTACCACTGAGTTTTTGCCCCCACATTGGAAAAGTAACCTCTCCTACTTGCCTGCCATGGGGAAATTCATTTTTGCTGAGTGAAGGTTTATGGGCTGAAAAAAAGAGCCTTGGGAAATAATTCAGTAAAATACAGGACTCTGAGAGGTGAAGCAGGCAGCAGCCTAGGTTACAAACATAATCTCTAAGCAGAGCCAGTAAAATAAAACAAAACCACTGTTTCAGACGCTGTATTTCTGGCTAAGGTTTCACTCTGCAATAACTTTCAAAGTTACTCGTTTTAGTCAACATTATAAGGGTAAGTCAACATTTGTCCTGGCAGCAAGCCCAAATCTGTTATTTTATTAGTCTGCTACTGGTTAAATTGGCCCAAGATTAAACACATCTAATAAACAGCCCTAAAACATTGAAGTTTAGCAGAAAACCACATTCAATTCTCTTTACACAGGATGTTACTATTACTTAACCTTGGGCAGAGGGAGAACTGCACACCCACACCCCTGTTAAGTTCCTTTTAGCAAACACCAGCCCCCACTGCCTGAAACTCATCTTGGTCATGCCCAGACATGATGCTACAGACCTTCAGAGAAAGAGGAAGCCAAATATTTAGCTCTCTCTGCGGTCCCTGGCTCCACATCTGCCTTCTGAGGCAGAAAGGGCCAGATGCTCAGAGCTGGAGAACTTTAAAGAGTTCAACCTCCTTAAAAATTAGGAGAGTTGCCAGCAGCATCAAGTCTCTGTGGCCCTTATGGGAAGGCCAGCCATGGGCCCGGAGGATGTTTTCTCACATCAGGTTATGCATTTTTGGCAAGAATGCCACAGAAATAACGTGCCTATAATGCCACACCCATCCGCCGGTCTGGAAAATGGGGCTGGACATCCCTGGTTGGATGATGCCAACAAGGCACCCAGAGGTAGAAAAGGTCTCCTGGTCACACAACGAGGCACCCAGAGGTAGAAAAGATCTCCTGGTCACAGCCACGGGGTCCAGAGGACAGTCTCTGTGACTTTGGGGTTCCGGAGTCAGTCATTTCCTACTGACTTCTTGGAAACCTTTGGGTGGAATATATGTTCTGCATTTGTTTATCACTGTAAAAGGGATTCCCTCGCTTCCCCTTGGGTGGGGTTGGAGAAGGAGGAAAAGGATGCCACTGGAGTTCCATTCCTGCTTCTTTAAGGACATTTTCTGGGCTCTCTCAGAGCTTAGGAATAATCTGAATGCCTCTGCAGCAAGTGACAAAGTTCTTATCACTCTGGCCCAAAGAGTGCATTGATTCTTTGCAAAGGATCTAAGGATAAAATATGAGCCAACCTGTCTGGTCAGAGTGCAATACCCTACGACCTTGGGCCCAAAATATAACCTCTATAAGCTAGTTTCCTCTACTGTGAAGTGAAGATGACTCTCCTACCTTCTCACAGAGTTGTTGGGAGGATCACAGGAGACTAGGTGTATAATATGCTTGGCAGACACCCGCCTGTTAGTCCTCAGTAAATATCAGAGTATTGTCCTTATTTCTGTTGTCCTGGGAGAGGCATGGTCTCTCTGCCAGCCTGCGCCCCTGCCCTCTTCTATTCCCTGCAGCACTGGATTTTGCCTTGATCCTTCCAGGGACAAAGCTAGAGTTCCACGTCACCTGCCAGAATCATACCAATAACTGCTCTGGCCACTGAGGCTGCTACGAGACCATGTATTTTGATGCCATATTCCTGCCTTCCTTTTCTTCCTGTGGTTTTATCATCTGTTTAGTCAAGCTCTGGCTGGATACGGCAAAACTAGCGGTGGTCTGGCAGGATTCAAGGCTATATTGGAAGAAAGGAAAGCAGTAAAATCTCAAGATAAGGACCCAAGTCCTAATCTTGGGTCCTTATAGATGGGTCTTGAGGTTTGCATTATCCTCCCACCCGCCCACTGCCACCAACACTGCTGAATTATGGGCTAGAAGAGCTGGTCTCCAGTCTTGCCAGATCCCAATACTGTCTGGAATTAGGCAATGAGAGGAACTCTGGTCATTCAACCCATGTCGGATGTGCAAGGTGAAACTTCACAAAAATAATGTGTAACCAAGAAAGGACCACACAGAACCACAGAAAAGTCCTCTCTCTTTCTCATCCATCTGTCGTTCTTTGAAGCTCAGCATTATCTTGCTTCCCAGAAGAGGAAAAAGAAGTAGGGAGATGAAAAAGGGTGCTCAGATCTTAATCTCAGTGTCCCAAAGGAAGGACAGACTGTTCCAGCTGAATCTGGGATGATCAAACACATCTCAGGCAAGCAAAGCTGACAGTCAGGTCTGTCATCCGACTGAAAACTAGACAGGGACCAGGGATCCTAACTGGTTGCTGGGTAAAAACTACAGGGACGTCTGACCAAGGGCACTGGGTCTGCAGAAGAAAATGGATCCCCTTCTCTTGATGTCTAGTTGGTTTCCGTTTTTGACAAGAACAACGGTTTTGAGCAGACAGGCCTTGCAGAGATGTGACCTCCAGAAAGAAACACAAAATATGTTCAAGATGCTCCCTGGTTAACTCCCAGCTGTCCCTTCTAGCACAAATTATCCCTTCAAATGTTTGGTCCATGTGTGTCCTCAGGAGCACATGTCCACACTTAGAACCAGGGGACACAGCACCCGGGTGTTTTAGAGCACTCTGCTCCCAGCCGAAAACAGAATACATTGAAATCTGATTATTCAGAATGGAAAAAGCTACTAGTCAAACAACCACATGGGATTGATTAAATTGGAAATAAATTTTTAAAAATCTTAAACTTTCCTGTTTTTGGCTTTCAGCTGACATCTTACCACTCACTGAGCAAGGGTATGCAGATAAATAAGATACAAAGCATGCTGTTCAGGAAACTGTGAGGTAAGTAATCTATAATGGATTCATCTGGCATTTCTGTTGCCCCCACACCCCCCAAATGAGCAGATGAATAGCTTCAAAATGTTATTCTTTGGGAGGGGTGTATGTGCATGTGTGCACAACACAAAACTGATTTCATTTGTTGAGACACTTTCCATCCTGTAGTGCATTTTTAATGACAAGAATTTAAAAATACCCAGTAACAACGGATTTTTCCAAAGGTTCATAACAAACACTGGCTCTCAGTGCTGTACATCTGCAACCTTGAAACATAGTGATTACGTGTTATTTTGAACTCTCAGCAATTAATATGCAACCAGATGTATCATTATCTACAGTTTATTAAAATGCAGAAGCCTGTGAATATAAAAAAATGATGCAGCACACAACAAAGAAGGCAAGGAGCTCAGAGACTCAGCTCTGCTCCCAGCATCACTCTCAGCTAGTTTCAATTCCAAAGAGATAATGGGGAAAATGGGTAGACAGTGGCAACTGACTTAAAATGAAAGAATAAATACAAACCTGTGATTTGGTTGTTGGGTTTTGTTAAAAAAAAAAAAAAAGTTGGCTAGCCATTGTAGAGTCAGTGGTAAGGGATGTCAATAAAAGTTTCCAGAAAAGACAAGGACATTCTGGTGGTAAAATAAAAATGGTATTTATTCCTGAGGCAAAGGATGCCTGCAGCAGAGAGCAGCAAGGTTCTCAAGTGTTTTCCAATATGGGCCATCTACAGAGGGGAGGATTCCTTTGAAGACTGCTGGGAGTCTAAATTGGCAAAATAATTTCCTTGGTAAAGGTTTCCCAAGCACTGCCAGGTTGGGAAGGGCACAAGGATGAAGTGGAAGGTTCTTCTTTTACATGCCAGGCCCTCCTTCCCTCTGCCCCAACATTTGAGAGTCAAGCGAGGGGCGCCCCTGAGTTTGCAAAGCAGGACTGTGCAGAGGGCCACTTGACCCTGCAAAGCTTCGATCAATTGCGATTAAATAAATTATACCCTGCCAAGGCACTTGCCTACTCATAGACTCTAGCAATTTTCTAGAAACAGAGCAGTCATCCTACTACACCTGACGCAGGTGTGACTCTTGTGACTCTGAAGCACTATATAAACAATGAGGGAAGCCTAGGAAAGGAAAGGAGGCACTGAGAGCCATGGAGTCACAAACGCTCTCATCTATGCCATACAGCAACCCCGTTATCCTGTTTCATAGAGGAGGAAGCAGGTGTTCAGAGAAGTGAGATGACTTCCTCCAAGTCATACCCAGTAATTAACTGGCAGTGGTGAAATCTGAATTCAAATCTACCTGCCTTGAAAACTTTCCCCGCCACCCCGACACTGGCTTCCCAGGATATACAACTTCCTCTGATAATAATAATAATAATATAATAGCAATATACAGGAGGACTTTGTGCTAGGCTGTGCCAAAGTGCTTTCTGTGCATTATTTCCTTGACTTCTCTTAAGTTAGTGCTATTAATATACCCATTTCACAGTGTAGGCAACTGAGACTCAGAGGCGTTAAGGGCCTCGCCTGAAGTCACACAGTCCAAATTGAGCCCAAGGCTATTAACTCAGCAAGGCCTGGGTTCTTAATTAACCACAGCATTGTTAGTTTCCTAAACCAGGGAGGAACCCTGAAACGAATAGGCTGTAGAGGCAGAAAGGAAGTAGACACTGACGCAGGGTGTGGAGGAGGACAGAATGTTCATTTGGCATTCAAGCCCTATCACTCTGGAATCAGCAGCTCCTCTTGACTCCTCCCTCAGAATCTTAGTGAGCCCAGGTTCAAAGGTGTCCCGCTTATGTGCCCCCAGAAGATGCTGCCCTCTGCTAAGGGCACACTTGAGGACTGGGGGGTGGCGGGCATCCAGCATCAGGGAGCCTATTGGATGACCACTTCTCAGTATTCCCCCTCCATAGTCTGCCAAGCTCCCCAATGAAATTGCCTGCTTCTCCCCCTCCTCGTGGTTGACAGTCACTACCCGTATTGTCGTGTTGTTAATGACTTGGTCAAACTGAAGTAGAAGTTCCTTGAGGACAGAAAGCATGGCTTTTCTAAACCAGGGGGAACATGATACACAGAGCCAGGTCTCAATAAATATTTATGGACAATTAAAGAGCATTAGGGGTCATTTTTTAGTTGTCTAGCTCTTTACCAGCTCATATCCATCACACTATGGAGTTTCCCTACATTTCCAACAAAGGATCTATTTATAGTTAAAGCACCCTGCAAATGAATAGGGCATGAAGAGCTCAAAGCAACCTAATCCACCCTCATCTGCTTGCCTTGGGTCTGTGTCCGTGGTTGGCACTTGGCTAGGATTCTCAGATGATGCATGTCAGGTGGGAGCCGGCCTCAGGACAACTTGCTCCCTACTCCTCTGGCCAGGGTGCCTCTCTACCCAGAGCTCACACACCAACCCCTGTCTGAAAGTCATTCTGGGAACAACCAGAAAGCCACACTAGATTTTTTTGTTATTCTACCTGGCAGAAATGAATGTGAAGCTTGCCAGTATGCTTGGAACATCTTTTGTTTTAAAAATAATAATGCCCAATGCTAACTCTGATCTCTTTATTTCCTACAAAGGAAGGAGCTACCTCCTAGCAGATGCCTTGCTAAGTATAACCACCTATAGCTTCTACTCAACTGATCTACGTTCAAGATAGATGCTGCTGCTGCTGCTGCTGCTGCTGCTGCTGCTGCTGCTGCTGCTGCTAATGACCTATTAAGTACTTGTTTGGTGGAAGCCCTTTATATGCCTATTTCATCTTCACAATTCCCTTGCAAATTCCCAATTTTCAGATGAGGAAACTAGGGCTTAGAGGATGAGACACAAGTCCAAGATCTCTCAGCTCACAGGTGGCCAAGTGCGGATTCAAACTCAGTTCAGGCTGACTTCCAAATCCAAATTCTTAACCAGTACATTCTAGGGCTGACTCCAATTAAAGTGTAATCTCACCCAATCCTTCCCACCAGAGTGAAGGAAAAAAGGAACAGGATGGTTTGAATCATTTTAGCTGGCACTTTGGCATGTTCTTTGACGCTTTGAAAAGAAAAAGATTTATGTTCTGAGAACAGAAATCTACTTTTATTTTTTAAGTTGGCTAACGTAGCACAGATTCATTTCCTATAACACATTAAAGCCAATTTTTATCTACTTAGTATCTGAAATTTGGGTCCTATGCTAAATGTCCAAATTTCAAGTTTAGTTTGCAAGTGACTGTGTCAAACTTGGGAACTTATTGTAGAATTCTAATCCTAGAAAGCCCCTCAGAACATGCCTTGTTCACTGTTTCCAAACTCTCTGTATTGCCATGATAATTTTTTGCCATATGTACATATCACCTGAGCTATTATGTACTATTTCCTTAATTAGTCATTTTTTACTTAAAAACTTATTGTAAAAATAAACTCTATCACTGCCTTAAATGGAAAATCACTATCACCTGCCATAAACAGAAACTAACTTTAAAAAATGAACCCTGAGGCCTACACTTAGTTACACAGGGAAATTATCAAGTGATGGGGAGGTGTTAAAGACACACTAATTCCAAGTGGAAACTTGAAATAATCAGAAGGATCAGATAATTTAAAAGGGAAAGTGATTAAATTATTTTGTGATTTGTCTTTATAAGATTTGAGCTGCCCAAGTGGTATGAAACCCACCTTCTGGGAAACAATGAACTAATCCAGTCCTCTCATTCCAGAAACAGACTCTGAAATTCCAAGAAGCTAAGCCTACCTTTGCCCTGTCCCCAGCTACTTGGGAAGCTCTTATAAGAACCAGCTTAGAAATAAATGCTGCATTTAAGAGACTTCCGAAGCAAGCTCCTGTTCCTCGATGTTGGTGCCAGAATCAAGCTCACTCTTCTAGGCCTTTGGAACCTGGGCATAAAGCATTCAGAGACTAATAAGAGAATGCAACATGTCTTTTCTGATGCTCTCTCCTTCAAAGCTCTCAGATAAGTCACCACCAAACATCTGAGGAGGAAGGAGGTGGAGGTGACAGTTCATCATGCATCTGTGGCTTACACACAAGAAACCATCAGTTTTCCCTCTTCTAACAGCTTATTTCCTTCTTTACAGTGGTTTCTGACTCCTTCTGCAAGATCACACCCAGACATCCCCAACACAATCACCAGGATGGCTGAGAAAATGAACCAAGACTGCCAAAACCTAACATGATATTGATGAGCCACTTCCACCCCTCCCCAACCTGTGTGAAGTCAAAAATTAAAAATAGTCTTCCCCAGTGACCTTTAGTTATCTTCTCTGTATTTGCCTGGGGTCGTTCTTGAAATGCCTGCGTGACTTGCGATTATGAAATGTTAGTATGCCAACATAAGATAGCACACTTGAAATGGGAGCTTGCCCTGGCCTTGGGTTCAGAAAGCACCCACAGGGAAGACTTACCATTTTGCCCCCCTCGGCCATCTGGCCCAACTCCATCTCTTTCTGCCACTAGCTTGTTCCCTTTTTCTTTCTGTAGCGTCTTCCTCTAGGAAGACTCCACATTTCCAAATCTGACAGCCCATGGCAAGTCCAAAACATTCACCTTTCTTTTTTCCTTTTCACATTTTTTTTTCAAGGTTCTGACATAGGCTGTCAGCTTTATTTAATTCAATCAGGTTGCCAACTTCTAATGCTAATGGTATCTACAGAAAGAGTGCCCTCAGGAAATGCTGTATTTCTTCTTACTATTTATCACCTCTGCTGCAAACATTAGGTCTGCAGAGTTCAGAAAGACATCATTTTAAGATATGTCGTGGCCAGAAGTGGTGGCTTATGCCTGTAATCCCAGCACCTTGGGAGGCCGAGGTGGGAGGATTACTTGAACCCCGGAGTTCGAGACCAGTCTGGGCAACATAATGAGACCCTGACTCTAGAAAAATAAAACAATTGAAAGAAAATTAGCCAGGCATGGTGGCACACGCCTGTAGTCCTAGCTGTAGTCCTAGGACTACAGCTGTAGCTACTCTGGAGGCTGAGGTGGGTGGGAGGATCGCTTGAACCTGAGAGGTTAAGGCTGCAGTGAGCCATGATTGTGCCACTGCACTCCAGCCTAGGCAACAGAACAAGACCCTATTTCTAACACAAACCAACAAACGAAATACATCACCTATGTATACAGAAGTTTTTATCTATCCATTCCTTGTGGGCTTTTCGTTTTAACAGTGATCTCACATCAAATTTAAAGTAGGGCCTTGCAGTTGGAGATTACTCTGCACAGTGTTCTGGCTAACTTTAACGGGGTTCACTTAGAACACCCCCAGAGAGACAGTGCTGCTTATCACCTACCCAGAACCATGACTGGCTTAAGCCAACATTGTGGCACGCCAAGAGGTCAAGGCTGGGCAAGGAGGGACCAACATTTGGGCCCTGCCTCCTAATTTCTCTGAATCTCTTTTTCCTCAGTTGACAAACAAAAAGGACAGCTTCAGAAAAAAAGAAAAATGAAGAAAAAATGAAAAACTAAAAAAAGAAAACCTAAAAACAAACAAAATAGCAAAATTAAAAAAAAAAAAGGACAGTCCTTGCCTTGTCCAGCTCCCTCAGCTAATGCAAGGCTCAAAGGAGATAATGCATGTGAAAATAAGTGACTGCTGGCTGGGTGCGGTGGCTCACGCCTGTAATCCCAGCTACTTGGGAGGCTGAGGCAGGAGAATCGCTTGAACCCAGGAGGCAGAGGTTGCAGTGAGCCAAGATCTTGCTGCTGCACTCCAGACTGGACAAGAGTGAGACTCTGTCTCAAAAAAAAAAAAAAGAAAAGAAAAGAAAAGAAAAGAAAAGAAAATAACTGACTACTATCTGAACAAAGGGTGGCATTGCTCTAGATTTATTGAGCACAATGAAAAAGGAGGAAGGTGTCTTGATTGCAACATGCCTGTCCCCTCTTCTCTACATCCCATATGCACACATATAGGTTTAAATTGGTTATAATGAGTATATAATCATGCTCAACTTTTTTTCCTCTTTATTTGTTCCAGGAACACTAGGGTATTTCTGTTTGCTAGTGAGTAATGGCTGCAAATGATGTCACTGACCCCTGTGCCAGAGGCCATGGTCATGGAGCTATTGCTCTATTGTAGGACAGAGAGGTTGTTGGCTTTTCTGGCCAGTTAAATAGGAAAGGATGCTAGACTGGAACCAAACCATCAGACTTCAAGCTCCAGCTAGGCCATTCCCAGCTGTGTGATCTTGGGCAAATCATTGGACCTCTCTGACCCTTGGTATCTCGTCTTTAAAATGAGGACAATTATATACTCAAGTAAGTCAAAGAATATGAAAGTGCCTAAAACTGTAAAATGCACGAATACAAAGCATGGCTATTATTGCAAATAATGTCATTATGAACAACTTTGGAAACACAGCCTTTTCTCCACTAGAGCTAGAATACTACGCCCAAAGATCTGAACAATTTTTGTCTTTTAGTATGCACAGAAAGTGTGTTATTTTCTTTTTCTTATTTTTTTTTTTTAAATAGAGACAAGGTCTTGCTATGTTGCGCAGGCTGGTCCCAAACTCCTGGGCTCAAGCAATCTGCCTGCCTCAGCCTCCCAAAGTGCTATGATTACAGGCATGAGACACTGTGCCCCACCAATAAGTGTATTATTTTCCTGCAACATTCACGGCATTGGGTTTTTTTTTTTTTTTATTTTTATTTTTTTGAGACAGAGTTGCACTCTGTTGCCCAGGCGGCAGTGCAGTAGTGCGATCTCAGCTCACTGCTACCTCCGCCTCCCGAGTTCAAGCAATTCTCCTGCCTCAGTCTCCCAAGTAGCTGGGATTACAGGCTCCCGCCACCAGGCCCAGATAATTTTTTTTTTTTTTTTTGAGATGGAGTCTTGCTCTGTCGCCCAGGCTGGAGTGCAGTGGCGCAATCTCGGCTCACTGCAAGCTCCGCCTCCCGGGTTCACGCCATTCTCCTGCCTCAGCCTCCCGAGTAGCTGGGGCTACAGGTGCCCGCCACCGCGCCCGGCTAATTTTTTGTATTTTTAGTAGAAACGGGGTTTCACCGCGTTAGCCAGGATGGTCTCGATCTCCTGACCTCATGATCCGCTCGCCTCGGCTGCCCAAAGTGCTGGGATTACAGGCGTGAGCCACCGTGCCCAGCAATTTTTGTATTTTTAGTAGAGACTGGGTTTTACCATGTTGGCCAGGCTGGTCTTGAACTCCTAAGCTCAGGTGATCCGCCCGCCTCGGCTTCCCAAAGTGCTGGGATTACAGGTGTGAGTCACCATGCCCAGCTTGGTTTTATTATGTCTTAAAAATAGTTGCAACATCAGTTAGGTATAAAATAGCACCTTATTATTGCCTTTTTCATTTCTATAATTCCTACTAGAGTGAACATTTTAAATCTTTACTGTTCCTTGTGTATGAACTACCTTCTAGTATCTTTGGCTTATTTGTCAATGAATATCTTAGGGTATTTTTTAAATATCTGTATAAATTATTTATATGACAAAGATGTTAATCTTTAGTCTGTCATTTTTATTTCAAAAATCTTTTTCAATATATTAGTGTACTTCTCTTGTCTAAAGAAGCATATTAAGCCTAAAAGAAATCCTGTTTGTTGACATAGTATCATACAGTATCCTTGCACTTATTAATACTCAAGTTTTTCAGGCACACTAAAGATGTCCAGAAGAAATAAGCAAGGACAGGAAAGAGATAGGACAGTATGTCACATTTGGAAAAGTTAAGGGAACCAGGAATACCAGGCCAGGAGAAGGAAAACATCTGAGGGGAGAGAGGGAGAGGAGAGAATGCACATGAGTGTGGAGTGGGAGAGGTGCAGAGAGAGAGTGGTTTTCAAATACTTACAGGGATAACACATAAGAAAGTATTACTGGGCCAGGCATGGTGGCTCACGCCTGTAATCCTATCACTTTGGGAGGCCGAGGGGGGTGGATTATCTCAGGTCAGGAGTTCGAGACCAGCCTGGCCAACATGGTGAAACCCTGTTTCTACTAAAAATACAAAAATTAGCAGGGCGTGGTGGCGTGTGCCTGTAATCCCAGCTACTCGGGAGGCTCAGACAGGAGAACAGCTTGAACCCGGGAGGCAGAGGTTGCAATAAGCTGAGATCGCACCACTGCACTGTAGCCTGGGCAATAAGAGCGAGACTCTATCTCAAAAAAAAAAAAAAAAAAAAAAAAGAAAGTATTACTGAACATTGCTGCAGGAAGCAATGTTACAACTAAGAAAGGATTTTCTCATCATCTATACTGAACACAGACGGAGTACAGTCATCCTTCAGTATCCAAGGGTGATTGGTTCCAGAACCCTCTCAGATACCAAAATCTAAGGATGCTCAAGTCCATGATATAAAATGGCATACTGTTTGCCTATATCCTACACACATCCTCTTACACTTTAAATCATTTGTAGATTACTTAGAATATCCAATACAATGTAAGTGATAATCGTTGTTATCCTGTATTGTTTTTTATTTGTATTATTTAAATTGTTGTATTGTTATTTTTTATTGTTTTATTCCCTGATATTTTCTTTTTTTTTCTGAGACAGGGTCTCCCTATTTCACCCAGGCTAGGGTTGCAGTGGCACAATCTCAGCTCATTGCAGCCTCAAACTCCCTGGCTCCAGCAATTCTCCCACCTCAGCCTCCCAAGTAACTGGGACTACAGGTGTGTGTTACCACGCTTGGTGAATTCTTTGATTTTTTTTTTTTTTAGAGATGGGGTCTCGCTGTGTTGCCCAGAATGGTCTCAAACTCTTGGGCTCAAGCAATCCTGCTGCCTCTGCTTCCCAAAGTCCTGGGATCCAAATATTTTTGACCAATGGTTGGTTGAATCCGTGGATGTGGAACGAGTGGATACAGAGGGCCAACTGTATACAACCTGAAATGTTGTCCCTGGAGGTGTTAAGCAGAGATTGAATGGATCTGGCAGCAGATAAGAATTGGGCTACATGTTCTCAACAGGCCTTTCCCACTCTGAAGTTCTCTGATGCAATGACCCTGGGTCATTTCCTGGAGGCTGGATTTGTTTGCTTCATAAATCCTCAGAAAAAAAGAGCCTGTTTTGCTACTCCTTTCCTCCTCATCTTAAGAGCCAGAAAGAAGAAAAAAGTCTAGTGAACTTACCGTTAAGGTTTCTCATTCAGCTTCAATTAACTGAAATTTACTAACAATCAGGGCTACCTTCTCTCAAAAGGACACAATGGTCCAAACAGAAAGTCCGGGCACAAGTGTTTCTAGACTTAAAAAGAGCCACTCCTTTCCCAGCCAGTAGAAGGTTTGGAAACCTTTCCTGATTAACTTGTGACACAGTCTCTCTCTCTTTTTTTTTTTTGAAGATGGACTCTTGCTCTGTTGCTCAGACTGGAGTGGCGCTCGGCTCACTGCAATCTCTGCCTCCCAGGTTCAAGTGATTCTCCTGCCTCACCCTCCTGAGTAGCTTGGATTACAGGTGTGTGCCACCACGCCTGGCTAATTTTTGAATTTTTAGTAGAGATGGGGTTTCACCGTTGGTCAGGCTGGTCTTGAACCCCTGACCTCGTGATCCGACCACCTCAGCCTCCAAGTGCTAGGACTACAGGCGTGAGCCACCACACTGGGCATGACACAGCCTCTTCTAAACTAGTTATTGGTGTCAACTAATTAAAAAAAAAAAAAGGAAGGCAATAGAAACCACTGGCTTTCACTCCTGACAGTCCATGAGCCAACATAAGAATAAATGGCAACGCAGTCACGGCAATTTCCTCATTTTGTGTGACCTCTACCCATTATCAAGGCTGACAAATTATGGAAGGCAACTGCACACATACATGACAAAGTAGCCCTTCCAGATACACACATCATCAATAACAATTACATTTACACAGGGCTTTGCAAAATTAGGTTGTGATCAGTAATTTATTTTCTTTCAGTAGTTATGAAAACGGTGGCATCTGTCCAGGATTTTTACGGGCAATCACAGGGTGTCTCGAGAAAATGACACAATTTGCAAATATCCAGATGGTATTTGGGCCTTCCAGTGATTGGTTTACACAGAAGGCTTGTGGTTAATATAGATAAGCAAAATGACTAACAGAACTGACGGTGGCACCTCCACACAGCTAAGCATGCAGAATTCTGCCAAAGACCAGCTCCTTGGTCTTGAGAAACACAAAATGAAAATTACTAAAACCCTCCCAAATGGGGGCTTGCAAATCCCACTCCCGTGGGTTGCAGCCGTTCTATGAAGTGGGCTGCCAGAAGTATTGACTAATGGTGGGGTTTCCTACCCAGACACTCAGGAAAAAAATGGGCCTTTGAGCATCAGGCAATTTTTTGGGCAGGTGGGTTCATCCTTCACGTGTTATGAGGTGAGAAGACCAATGATTTAGTCACTTAGAGGCAATGTGATGTGGTTGGAAAAGTACAGACTTCAGGGTCAACTGGGATTTTAGTCTCATCTCCTTGACCCAGCATTAAAGCCATCCTGGGAAAGCCACTACCCTGTTCTGAGCCTGTTTCTTCTTCTACAAAACAGGGCATTAATACCAACCTCATAGGATTACTGTGATGATGAAAGGACTTACGGTAAAGCCCCTAATGCACTGCTGTGTGTAAAACAACATTCAGGAAATTAGGCTGGTGATCATCATGTTTCTTAAAACCATTTTAAGAATCTTTTTTTTTGAAATGTAAAGGTCTTAATAATAATGACATTTTTTGAGCACTTACGACATGCTAGGCACTATGGTTAGCGCTGTATATGAAACATCTCGTTTGACCCTCACTATGGTCCTAGGAGTTAGAGCTCTCATCATCTCCATTTTACCATTGAGGAAACAGGTTTGGAGAGGCACAGTAGCTTGTCCAAGGTCACATCAACTAGCAGGTGGTGGAGACAGCATTGAGACTCAGGCAGTCTTATTCTAGTCAATGCCCTTGAACAGCATTAAATGTACACATGTAAAGTCAACATATTTTCCTCTTCTGTTGCTAGTTCATGTGCATTCTTAAGGACCAAGATTCCCAAAATAATTTTCCAACTGAACAGCCTCGGAATGATGGCTCAATGACCATAACCAGATCCTATAGCAAGTGATGGCCTTTTTCTGGGTAGCTCCGTGTGGCTTCCCATCCAGCAAGATCTCTGAGGTCATATGATTCCTGGAGTCTATTTAATCATCTGAAGAAATTACAGGATTCTAACTGCAATAACTCCTTATGACTAGTTTCATGTGTGTTCAGGTATACTATCTGTTCAATACAATAAGATACAGATTCCAAGAAATGTATAGATTACTAGAAACCAGTAACCCTCTGGCTTTTCAGCTGGCATTCAAGAAGTACAGCCCGAGGTGCATACAATTTTAAAATGCACATGTTGACTGATAGAGGCATAAATCGTGGCAGGAGCATAGGGTTCACCTTGCCCTTTAGAAGTGGGCCTTAAAGGATACCTTCTCAGTTATGTAAGGTGCTCAAGGTTATACTTAAAAGATAATATTTTAAAGTATTTTGCATGTCTGTTAAGTTTTGTACTACCACCCCACCTTTTATCCCACAAAGGTAAACACCCTTAGGTGCTACAAGGGATGCTGATATTAAATGCTGGACGGAATCCATCAGGAAATTTGACATTGGATCTTGGCTTAGCTGCTGATTTTCTTTGCAGCTTTCTGCAAATCGCTTCCCCTCAGTGTCCTTATTCATAAAGTGGAGAGAACAGTACAAGCTTTATGTTAACCTTATTACAAGTGTGGGGTCTCAAGTGAGACACTAGACATGGTAGACATAGAAAAGGAGCAGAGCTCTGTCATTTCTAGGTGCATGTCATTATTCTCAGGGTCATGCAAGGCTACTGGCTAAGTCAAAATAAGAACCTATACTTTGGAGACCCAGGGCAGTATTCAGCTATTCATGAGATAGGCCTATGGTCTATGGCACTACAAATTTTTAAAACTGCTGAGAGTCAAAAGCAATGGCTACAAATACCATTAACTAAATCAGGCCTAATCTGACCAATATCTAAGATGGTAAATTTTAAAACTGAAAGTAAGTTGTCCACCAAGTTGTCAGATATATTCTTACAAAAATAACAGAAACACCTCTTTGTATTTTGATTAAAAATGAACTGGACCTAAAACTCTTAAAAGCTTCTCACAAGGCTCTAGCTTCCTTAGCCAATGTGTGCACCTTACCTGAGCTTGCTTCCTTTTCTTTACTTCGTTTTTTTTTTTTTTTTTTTTTAAGCCTTCTTTTTAAAAAGCAAACCTCACTACGGGGAAATATTGATTTTTAACTTACAATCAGGATAATTCATTAGAGGTAACACATTTTCTTTTAGTGATTTGATCAGGTGTTTAGCGCAGCTATGTAGACCAGTCCCTTTTGGCATGGGAAGTAGATGACCAATAAATACAAAAACAGATAAACTGAACAAAGCTGCATCAAAGATCAGAAGAAATAAACTTAATGCTCGTATCATATCACATTTTTCTGTGAAATTCTAGAGCCATGAACTAAGCTCCTTAGATTTCACAATTAATGATTACAGCCAGCAGGACCTCACTGATTATGGATATTAAAATTAAACATTTGCCAACCAATTCAAACCCCCATGTCATAAGAAATAGCAGATTAAGAGGCAGTATTATACTAACAGACATGCAATATTATAATCCCTGTAGAATATTTTCAAAAGCTTAAAATAGATCTTTTAAAGAAAATAAAAATACATTTTAAAAATATCATTTTTTGCTTTCACTGGAAACTACCACAAATAAAAAATTACAAATCACTTAAATCTTGAGTAGAAATTTTATTTGCTTTTAAGAGAATGCTTATTTTTGCATATTTTTTTACTCAGTGTACGGTATCAAATGCACATCAATGCCACTTGCCTGTTCCCCAGGAGCCTTTTCCTAAGTGATTTTCCCCAGTACACTTGCTGCAAGGATAGGAGTCAATGCTAGAAGGCACTTCCCAGTGCCATGCTGTGTGCACTGTCCTACCCAAGGCAAATTCGGAAGGAACAGCCATTACACACGGCCATTAAATGTTTAAAGGGCACAGGTGCTCTGTTGCAACGGCCTTTGAAGGTCAACAAGTCCTGTTTTCCTAGAAAGGCCTCTGGATAGATCTATTTTTCTTTTTATTATAACCACATTCTTTCCACAAAGAAAACAATCACTCTTAAAAAAATACTTTCAGAGGAATTAACAGTCAATGCCTAGCTTATAAACAATTATATAATCATGTTTTTCAAAAGGCTGACAAGCGAATGCTATTTTTTAATTTATGAATACTGACGACACCTACTGGTGGAAAATATATTTTAGTTAACTGCTTATGGAGAAGCTAGGCCTACAAGGGTTGGCTGCCTTTTGCGCTGATAAGGAAACCAGAAAACTACCCACTAAACTCACTTAGGTTTCTTTTTCCAATTTTGCCAATTTCCATTATCAGGAAGTGATATGCTCATCGATGAAGCTAAAAGATATCTCTGCCTCAAAGTGTATAAAGCATACTTGATTTAGTGTTTAAATCAAACACTAAAAAACAAAAACCCCAATAGTGATATCTGAAAAATATTTACCAACTATTTCCAAAACTATTCCAACCCCTTCCTTATTTCTCACATCAGGATATCCCCATACGAGGAAAATAAGTCATATTTTATAGTCTAGATCCAGCTACCAATGAAGAAAATTAATATTTGACATGTGATAAGTTTCATATTTGTGATATATAGACATATCTATATTCTATGTATAAGAATAAAATGAAATTAAGCAGGCAAGTTTTACCTAAGCCTTTAGCTAAACTACTCAAAAACACAGGACTAAGTAATAGTAGGAAGGGACTGGTTAGAGTCCTCAGCTATCCTCACTATTCTTTTCTTTGGCCCACTTCAATTTATTAATTTATTGGTTATGCCTTTCTTCCTTACAAGTGGAGTTTGAGTGGGCACCAATTGCGCTGCTCCTATGTTGATTAAATTAGGAAGTTCCCACTGAAAAAATATTATATCCATTCCAGGCCTGACCAACCTGAATTCTATGCAAATGCCACTAGGGCCATCACACTTTCACAGCTGCTGGCAACAAAAACTCTTTGTGATAATATTCGACTGAGCTGGAGTGTAGGGTTGGGTTTGAGTGAGGGAGAAGTTAGTTTGTGCTCAGCGTATAGAAAGCTGAATACAACCAGAGACTGCTTGGAGTCCTGTCAGCCTGGAGCAGCTCTTGCTAGAGGAAATGAATCTTTGATGGTGTGCTCCCGAATATACATGATTCAGTGAGCCAAGTGCATACAGCTGAGCAGACCCAAGGAAGGCGAGTGGGTGGAACCTCAAGAATGCTGTGACAAGGCCGGATGCACACCTGCCTTCAGCCTTTCCCCAGTGGTGGTGGTGATGTTTGATGTTCGCAGAGTGAGGTGTGGGAGAGTGGAAAGCTCCCAGATACACGCATGAGCGGCAATGACTAGCTGGGTCCTGTGGGTTCCACCGCAGCTTGACCACAGCAAAGCTGTAATCTAGCGAAAGCGACTGTATTCCCTAAGACCCTCAAAGAGAGGGATGCTTTCTCCTCCAGCTGAACCCAACCTTTAAGGCCAGTGAGCTATGTGCCAGAGAAATAACACGCAAGAGGAAAAGGCAGACTAAACATAACCTGGGAGCACTCCTTCACATCGCCCGCAAGGCACAGGAAAGTTCCCAGAAAGAGAAATGTTTCCAATGTTCCAAGGCAGCTTTCCATTGACCCTAAGGACTTTAATTCATTTTCAAGATCCATGTGGGAGACACTCCAATTTACTCATTTAGCCCCAGCCCCCCGGCTGAATGACCCTCACTGGCCACAGGTGATAGGCAGAGGCGCTGTGTCCTGTTTTTGCTGCCAAAGGGCTGCAAGGCCAAGTCTGACAGGTGAGAGGGCTGGTACGTCCCTCTGCTCTCACAACCCAGGCAAAAAAAACTCGCTTAAAGGGTAGCGACACTGGGGCTTGCTGACACTTCCCTGACACTGGGGCTTGCTGACAGTAGGAGAAAGTCCCTCTGAGAGTCCAGACAGAAGATGGACAGTCTGAGAGCCCTGCAAAGGCAAGGAGGCAGTTGCTCCCAGACCGGCAGGTAGAGGGACAGGGAGAGAGGAGGCAGCTAGTGCTTGGTCCACAGAGAAAAAGCGAGAGAAAAGGAGACAGGGTGAGAGATGGCGACGGGGAGACACAAAGAAGACTGTGGGAGAGATGTAGAGAGAGAAAGTGGCACACACGGAGAGTGAGAGATGGAAACAGAGACAGTGACACTGGACGGGCGCCGAGAATGGGAGATGGAGGCAGACGAGACAGGCAGATGACCCATAGAGGTCCAGGTGCAGGGCGCGGCCCTACCTCAGCGTCCTTGGCCGGACCGCTGGCCGGGGGTAGCTCCAGGCTGCAGTTCGCTCTCTTGACCGTGAGGTAGAAGGGGTAATCCTTGGCCACCATGGCGGCTGCCGGGCCTGCCCTTTGGGATGTCACCGCTGACCCTAGGCGACTACAAAACTCCCAGGCAAAAGGGGGCCCCAGCTCCACGATGCCGGGCGGCGGCGGCGACACGGAGACCGACAGCCGGCTTCTAGCCGGGCAGGACTCGACTGGGCTCCGGAGCCGAGTGGGCGGGACCGTGCCAGCCACGCCTTGATGGGTGGGGAGGGGGCGGGCCGCCGGCTCGGCACCGCCCCACGCTGCCGGGAGGGCCCACGTGCCGCAGCGCGGACACCTCCTGGGGCTGCGAGGGGCGTGGGGCGGTCCCGCGGGTGGAGAGGGACCTCTCTCTCCCCGCTGGTATTCGACTCCGGGCGCCCCCGCAGAGCGTGGGCCGCGATTGCGGGGCAGGCAGACCCCATGATAGCTCCTTTCGGGCTCTTTGGCACTCTCCGGGTGAAAGGCTGCTGGTAGAAAGGAGGCTGGGGCGAAACCGGGCAACGGGGAGAAAGGAGGCTGTAGTGACACCTGGAGGCAGGAAGGAGCCTGGGGGGAAAAGCGAGCGTTTTAAAAGCCCACATTAGAAAGGGGTGGTGTTCTCTCTTACCCTGTTCCCAGGCCACTGCACGTTTTTTTTGTTTTGTTTTGTTTTTGTTTGGTTTTTTAAATGAATGTCAGTGGAATATAATCTACAAATGGCAAAATGCACCCATTTTAAGAGTACCGTTTGTTGAGTTCTGACAAATGTAAACACCCGTATAACCACCTCCACAGTCGGTATACGAAACATTTCCACCACCCCCGGAAAATTCCCTCGAGACCTTTCCCACTTTGCACCAACTTTTAAATTTGACTAGCATATTCAGAGGCTGCCTGACACTCGAGGGCAATCTGACAGAGTGTCCTTCAAGTATAAAGCTGTGCATGGATGACCTGGCACTACCACACCTTTCTGGATCCTTTTTGGAGAAACAATGACATTATAAATGCCCAAGAAGGCGATTGATCTTAAGGTTGTTTGCAGCAGCCCTGTCTGGGGCAGTAAAAAATAAAAAATAACTGGAAACAATGGTAATATATCCATCAATAGGGAGTGCTTAAATAAACTTTCTTCACTGTGTAATACCGCTTAGCAGCAGTGAAAAAGGAGATGGGTCTATGGGTGTGGCATGGAAAGATCTCCAATGTATTAGACTCAGTTTAAAAATAATTGCAGACTAAGCATAATACAATACCATTTGTGTTAAAAAAAAATACAAGTTTACCAAAGAATATCATATATTTTCTATAAAGACATATTTGTGGGTAAATAGCATTGAACACTGTCTACAAGAATCCACAGCAAGCTTTTACCAGTTCCCCTGTGGCTGAAGGGAGGCACCTGGGTTTAAAGAATTAAAGATAGTGAACAAAAGGGACTTAAGCTTATAGCTCATGTTTTAAAATTTTTTATAAGAAAAATACAGCCTGGGCAGCAGTGAAACCCTGTGTCTACAAAAAAAATACAAAAAATTAGCCAGGGATGGTGGTGCACACCTGTAATCCCAACTACTCCAGAGGCTGAGGTGGGAGGATCACTTGAGCCTGGGAGGCAGAAGTTGCAGTGAGCCAAGATCATACCACTGCACTCCAGCCTGGGTGACAGAGACCCTGAGAAAAAATAAAAAAGAAAAGAAAAAAAGAAAGAAATAGAGGAAGGAAGAAAGGAAAAAGAAAAGAAAAGAAAAGAAAAAAGAAAAGATGGCTAGGTAGAGTGGCTCACACCTGTAATCCCAACACTTTGGAAGGCCAAGGCAGCAGTGTGGCTTGAGGCCAACAGTTCAAGACCAGCCTAAGCAACATAGCAAGACCCTGCCTCTACAAAAAAATTTAAAAATTAGCCAGGTATGGTAGTGCATGCCTGTAGTCTCAGCTAATCCCGAGGTTGAGGTGGGAGGATTCCTGAGCCCAAGAGTTCAAGGCTGTGGTGAGCTATGGTTGCACCACTGCACTCTAGCCTGGTGACAGAGTGAGACCCTGTCTCAAGAGAAAAAAAGAAAAATACCTTCATTCATGGCACTTCTTGGGAAATTATAGTTTTTTAAAATATTATAATTATCATATTTTCTTTCTTTTTTTTTTTTTTGAGATAGGGTCTTGCTTTGTTGCCCAGGCTGGAGTGTAGTGGCATGATCTTGGCTCACTGCAACCTTCTCCTCCTGGGCTCAAGTGATCTTTCCACCTCAGCCTCCCAAGTAGCTGGGACTACAGGCCTGGACCAGTGTGCCCAGCTAATTTTTGTATTTTTGTAGAGACAGGGTTTTGCCATGTTTGCCCAGGCTGGTCTCCAACCCCTGAGCTCAAGCAATCCACCTGCCTCAACCACCCAAAGTGCTGGGATTACAGGTGTAAGCCACCATGCCCAGCCCTAAAATGATCATCTCTCAAAAGTTATTTTGTAGACTGTACTGTTGAATCTTTTTCCTCCTCATGTGGAAAGTCATGACTACATCAGGTGGTGATCTATGGAGACACTATCTTTTGTTTTTACTTCCTGGGGATGCAGGGGATAGTGGGAATGGTGATATCCAGTCCCTGTTTGCGTGCTCTTTGCTTCTAGCTGAGGTCAGAACCCAGCAGTTCCTACTTCTCAGGCAGGACACCTCATAATACATAGCTCTTCATCCCAGGTATCAAATCCACACCCTCACACTAAATCCACTTACTTTCCTACCCAGCTAGTGCAGACAAACTGCCTTTGGAGGCAGAAAGAATTGGGCCCTGTGTAACCAGCCTGTTATTACCACACATGTAAATGAAGCTCCTGAATGGGTGGAGGTTCCAACTGAAATTGAAGAGAGCACCTGAGTTTTTTTCCCTCGATAGATAACCTGAAGCAATAGGAAGAAAACTGTCTCAGAAGAGGTATGGGGCAGGAAAGAGCACCTCAGAACCACTGATTTTTCCTATTTGTATTCCTGAACACAATTTTATCCTTTTAGCCTGAGCTGTGCTGATGGGGAGCTCACACAAGTGCTCCAAAAGCTTAGCCAAGCTTGGTGGGGGTGTGAGAGTAACCTCATCTCCAAGTAGCCCCTGATTAACTATGCAGCCAAAGGCAGGGCCAGAGGCAGTGACATGCGTCACTCAGGGCTTGTCTGGCCACCAAGAACCTGTGCCCAAGTACCCGAGCCACTTCTTATTCCTCTTTCTCTGCCTGCTCTTCTGGCCCTCACAGTCCACTATCTCAACTAGAACACATTTGCCATCAAAGCCACTGGCTTTGACTCCCAGAAGAGCTTGCTGGGCCGTGTTCTCAAGTTGGAAAATATACTTACAGCACTTGGTGAAGAAAATAGTCACCCTGGCGACGTCTGATAGCCCTGGGACTGGGTTGCTCATTGCAGTATCCTTAGGGCCAAGCAGGGAGTCTGACATACCATAAATCCAGTGTAACAGTAAACAAACCCTAAGAAATATGTTTATTTTATTTTTTTGAGACAGGTCTCACTTTGTTGCCCAGGCTGGAGTGCAGTGGCACAATCTTGGCTCACTGCAGCCTCAACCTCCTGGTCTCAAGCAATCCTCCCGCCTCAGCCCCTCAAGTAGCTGGGACTACAGGCACACGTCACCACGCCCAGCTAATTTTTATATTTTTTGTAGAGATGAGGTTTCACCATGTTGCTCAGGCTGGTCTTGAATTCCTGAGCTCAAGTGATCCACCCACCTCGGCCTCCCAAAGCGCTAGGATTACAAGCATAAGCCACTGTGCCTGGCCTCCGAAGAAATGTTAAAGTGCAACTTAGGTTGAAGCACAACTATTGCAGAGCAATGAACAGTCATATTGATTGATGAGAAGGCTGCCGTATCCATCTTCTCTTAAAACATTTCTTTGCTTTCCTTAAAATATACTGGAGCCATAAAAATCAATAAATACACAGGGCTACACAACATATATATGACAAACATACCTCTTTTCCACTATACATGCTAGGCAAAGAGAGACAGACAGAGGCAGAGAGATTACTAATGGCCTGTAACAATTTAAATAGTGCTATAAAAAAGCATAAGCTACAAAAGGAAAGATGGGAATCTGGAATTCTCTTGGGTGGTCTGATTCTTCCAAGCTTCTTATAGCACGAATGTCTCACCATCCAGAATAGGATTCTGGTGTTTAAATACAGATATTTTTGGTACAACAAAGCCTATAAACTCAAGCCAGCAATTTGGGGTGCATACAAGCCATGTATATGGTCCTTGAGGCATTTAACAAATTTTTCAGGAGTATTTTTTTTTAACTTCCATCAGTATATAGGTTAAGGTCAGGATTAGCTATTTCAGGAGTATTTCTGACCTCATGCAATTTCCACCTTGGTCCCTGACTTCAGCACCTTCCCCATATGTAATGCACTGCTCCACCATTGACAGATTGGGGTTTTAGGCAATCTGCCTGAGACACTATCTGGGGGTGTCCGTGAACAAAGACTGTCAGAAAACAGGCACCCCTGCAGGAGGGCCTCCAAGCATATCCCTAAGGTTAGTGTCACAGTTGAGGGAAGCTGGTCCAGTCCTGCAATGCCGCCAAGCTAAGTGGCCCCAGGAGCCCAGAGCTCCCCATTCTGCCTGTGTGTGTGTTTACGGGCTTAGGAACAACACTGCTCTAACAGGCAGCTTCACTCAAAGAAACGGCACAAAGTGTCTTTCAGAACTTGCCTTCGGCATAGCCCGTTATAATCCTATAAAATGCTTCACAGCCGGGCAGTGTTCCTTGCCAGCCAGAAGCCTGGAGACTGAAATAAAGAGGGCTGTTCTGCATTTGCAGGAACTGTGCCAAGCACAGGGCCTGTGGTCTTGCCTGTGTTGAGCGGGGGTCATTTGGGCTGCTGGTGGAATGGTAGGCCTGAATACAGAAGCCCACCACTGGTTATTAGCTCCTTTTAGACTTGCAGACAACCAGGCATGGCTTGGAGACCATCTGTCAACTCCTTAAATCCCAGTCCCATGACTGGGAGCAGAGCAGGCCTAGCCTGAGGATAAAACCAGAAGCTAACATGGCTGTGACAGCCTTCTCAGCCAACAGGACAATGCTTTGTCCTATTAGCGTTATATTTTAACATAAGGAATAGCGAGTTCCTTTTTTTTTTTTGAGACACAGTCTTGCTCTGTTGCCTAGGATGGAGTACAGTGGTGTGATCTTGCTCACTGCAACCTCCACCTCCCGGCCTCAAGCAATTTTCCCGCCTCAGCCTCCTGAGTAGCTGGGATTACAGGTACACACCACCACGCCCGGCTAATTTTTTGTGTTTTTAGTAGAGACGGGGTTTCACCATGTTGGCCAGGCTGGTCTCGAACTCCTGACCTCAAGTGATCTGCCCCGCCTTGGCCTCCCAAAGTGCTGGGATTACAGGTGGGAGCCACCGCGCCAGGCCTGAGTTCCTTTTTCTTTAAAGGCTTGTTCATCCATCCGTTCATTCATTTATCAAATAATTAATGAATGCTTATTACAGTCAGGTGTTCAATTAGATACATTTCTCCCCTCCTCTTCTCCACCCATTCCTGAACTTCTATGCCAGGCAGATGTTTAATACATACTTGCTCAAAGAATAAGGCCAATTTTAAAATGTGGCCTTTCAATTGTAACCTATGTGTTTACATTTGAATAAGGAGCTCAAGGAACAGTAGCTGATCCCCGAAAGCCTGGGCCTCCAATATGTGTACCTCTGTTTGCTTTCCCTGGTATCTGAAGTCATCTCTTCTACCTGCTAAAGTGGCATGGATGTGTAGGTATATGGTGGGCACATGAGTGTTGCAACACCTTTCCCCTCCCCTTCCATTTGGGTGACATTTCCAGTTAATGACCAAGCCCCCCTCTCCTCTCTCTAATTTCAGTTTTGATGGGGAGGGAACCTAAAGAAGTTCTGGCAGTGAATTCTGGCAGATCAGGACTGTGATTTACTGCTAGATAGGTAAAAATGGCACAAATGAAGCAACCATCATCTCTAAACTCATACCAGTATTACTATTCTCCCTTTGCCTGAGGAGCTGTCCACTGACTCCAGTCTAGATTTACAAAAATGTATCTCTGGGCTGGGTGCAGTGGCTCATGCCTGTAATCCCAGCACTTTGGGAGGCCAAGGCGGGTGGATCGCCTGAGGTCAGGAGTTCAAGACCAGCCTGACCAACATGGTGAAACCCCGTCTCTACTAAAAATACGAAAATTAGCCAGGCATGGTGGCGGGTGCCTGTAGTCCTAGATACTCGGGAGGCTGAGGCAGGAGAATCACTTGAACCTGGGAGGCAGAGGTTGCAGTGAGCCGAGATCGTGCCACTGCACTCTAGCCTGGGTGACAAAGTTAGACTCTGTCTCAAAAAAAAAAAAAAAAAGTATCCCCGGATAGTCTAAAGCTGGAAGGCTTAATTCTTGCATTTTCTTTAAGGTCTCATTTTCTGAAAAACTGGTTAAAGGAGAGTATCTCTCTCTCCCAGCTGAGCTAATCCTGTGGATTATCAGCTATAAAGCAAAAAAAATAGTAATAATAAATTAGCCAGTCACAGTGGCTCACGCCTGTAATCCCAGCACTTTGGGATGACGAAGCAGGAGGATTGCTTGAGCGCAGGCGTTCGAGACCAGCCTGAACAACATAATGAGATCCCCATCTCTACAAAAAAAGAAATATCCGAAAAGTAGCTGGGCGTAGTAGCATGTGCCTATGGTCCCAGCTACTTAGGAGGCTGAGGTGGGAGGATCCCTTGAGCTCAGGAGGTCGAGGTTGCAGTGAGCCATAATCATGCCAGTGCACTCCAGCCTAGGCAACAGAGTGAGAACCTGTCTCAAAATAATTAATTAATTAAAATAAAAATAAAAAATTAGCTATGAAATTAGCAAATTTTTTTGTTTTTTCAAAAAAATAATAATATTGAAGTGTTTTGCCCTGAAACATCATAAACATTTGCTAGCCTCTGGTTCATAAGAGCAATACTTCTCAACCAATGGTGATTTTACCTCCCAGCAGATATTTGGCACTGTCTGGATGTATTTTTGATTGATTGTCAGTGGACAAGGCCAGGGTGCCATTGGCATCTAATAGGTAAAGGCCAGGGATGCTGTTAACACTTATGATACACAGAACAGCTTCCCATAACAAAGAATTAGCAGGTCCAAAATGCCAATAGTGCCACTATTGAGAAACGCTGTGGTAAAGAGAGAGTGGTCCTGAAATATGGTATTGGAGCCAAGGGAATCTGTGGGTATTGACCTCAAGGTATTTTCACTTCAGACTTTGATCATTGATTAGTATCAAATATCAGCTTAGGCTTGGTGGGGCAAAGAAGAAATGCTTGAGTGCCAAGAAACCCCAGAACAGGGCAATGAATCAAGTCTTCCCTGATGCCCAAACCTGACCGTTGGCTGAATAACAAATTCCATAAAACACAAGACAGACAAAAGAATAAAGAGGAATATAGGAGTAAGGGAGTGAGGGGACAGAAAACTGTCTTAAACTGCTTCAGGTACACAAATATACTTTAAAACACCAGTGAAAATTAAAATTTCAATGAAATATAATAAAGAAGAAACCAGGGAAGAGGGAATTTTTTTCAAGTCTTATTCTTCCCCAGGACAACCTTTGCCACTATATTTGTTTTGGGGGGCAGAAATGCAAACTCAGTGATTAAATGAAAACCCTAAGGGGTTTAATTTACTATTTTCTTGATATATGGTGTTTCTGGATGCACAGTTTGTATAAACAAAAACCTGTCTCACTGAAGATTTTGCAGTAAGAAACCTGACCTTCTCCAATTTGAACTTATAACTATCAGCAGGCTTGTTCTGCCCACAGAAGTAATAAAACATTTTCTGTGTACTACTAGAGTGTCTTTGAATTTTCTGGAGAGTCTGCCTTTGAGAGTATTTCATATTTGGGGGTTAAGGATTCAATAAATATGTTATATTTAATTTTTAAAATATTTTTTACTTTACTTTTTTTTTTTCCTTTGTGACAGAGTCTCACTTTGTCACCCAGGCTGGAGTGCAGTGGTGCAATCTCGGTTCAGTGCAACCTCCACCTCCCAGGTTCAAGCGATTCTCCTGCCTCAGACTCCTGAGTAGCTGGGATTACAGATGTGCACCACCATGCCTGGCTAATTTTTGTATTTTTAGGAAAGACTGGGTTTCACCATGTGGGTCAGGCTGGTCTCGAACTCCTGGCCTCATGTCATCCACCTGCCTCGACCTCCCAAAGGGATTACAGACGTCAGCCACCGTGCCTGGCCATATATTTATTTAGTTATTTATTCCCCTCAGACTACAACTAAGGTATTCCTTTATGTGGGTTTCGTATAGTAACCATTATTCAGAGAAATTAGAACCTAAAATGTATACATTCCAGCTTTGGATATTAGAGGTGTTTTCTCCTCCATCAACTACAAACTCAGTAATCAAAGTACCGTATTTTGTCGAACCTAAGACTGTAATATGTGCTATTATTTTATGTACTCTCTAAAATAGGCTGGGTGTGGTGGCTTACCCCTGTCATCTCAGCACTTTGGGAAGCTGAGGCGGGCAGATCATTTGAGCCCAGGAGTTGGAGACCAGCCTGGGCAACATGCTGAAACCCTGTCGCTACAAAAAATAGACAAAGTAACTGGCATGGTGGCACACATCTGTAGTCCCAGCTACTCGGGAGGCTTGAACCCAGGAAGCAGAGGTTGCAGTGAGCTTGAGACTATACCACTGCACTCCGGCCTGGGTGACAGAGAGAGACTGAGTCTCAAAAACAAAAAGAAAAGAAAAGAAAAGAAAAATATTGTCAATTAAATTATATGATCAATTGTAAGACCCTTGGCAATTCAAGAGAAGTTAACATGTGGAGGAAAATGTGTAAAATAACAAAATATGGCAGTATTCATATCATCTGGCCTGAATTTGAAAACCCATACATTTATAGAGAAATGACTTCTGAGGAGTCAGGGACACTCCCAGAGACCACCTGCTGTGAAATTGACTAAGAAGCTTATCAAATCCATATATATCCCTAAGGCCCACTTTGGGTCCAATGAATTGGAATCTTTGGCAGCAGACCCAGAAATCTGTAAAATACCCTCAAAAAGCACTGTTCGAGTAACATACATAGTGTTATGAATCAGAATGATCAGCAAGCCCAATAATGATCCCCCAGCCACAGGCTAGAAATGCTCTGACCACAAATCTTCAGTCCTGAGGTGCACAGGGGGTAATTAGCCCAATGGCTGTAGCATCAAAACCCAGAATGGGAATAAGGAGCCTCTTAATTTGTTCATCCAAACAAACGTGCACTGAGGAACTACTGTGTGCCACACCATGCTATATACAGATGGGTGCCTCAAGGATATGATGAAAAATTGACAAATCTATACTCCGAGTAAACTACCAAGTAAGCCACCCACTAGGAGATGTGTTCTGGCTCTTGGGACTTGATTTACAATCTGGTATCCAAGGTTCCAATTTAAAACATGCTTATCTTCATAGCCAGAGGGCATGACAGCATTTACGTTTTTAAAAAATTAGCTGTAGAGCAGAGAATGGGAGGAGGGCACTTGGCTTGAGATGTTTACTTGAAAAAAGACCTAGGGCTGGGGCTGGGGCAGATGGTGGGGGTGGGGGCATGGGCAGAAGACTTTAATTACAGAACAAGTTCAACTAGTAGAAACAGGTTCGGGGACTCCTGGCAAATATGTGTCTCATCTGGTGGGAGTGGAAACTGGCTGGCGTATGCTAGAAGCAGCATATTAGCTGAAAGTGTTCTGTGTGCTGTGGGTATTAGACACGCTTCACAAAGGGGCTAGTTGGTGTGGGTTAACTGAATGCTTTGGTTAAGTGGGAGCTGAATTAAGACAGTTTCTGCTTTACTTGATTTTTTTTCCATCTCAGAGCCAAAACCAAGCTCAGCAAACATAGTTCGCATGTGCCCACAATTCTGATTAAACCAAAAGCCTTGGCAATAGAGGACTGAACAGAAGCACTTAGTCACTAGTTCCCCAGATTTTATCATTGCACTATCATTTGATTCTTCAACTCTAGCATTAATAAGTACAACCAACTGATAGCTGTGCCTAGCTAATTCCTCTCATTCAAGGTTGTCTGTGACCCCCAGGCAAGGGTAATCCTTGTTTTGTGCCCTCAAGGTGCCAAGTACCTCTTCTTCCCCAGTAGTCAGCCTGCTCATATTGACTGATTTTATGTCTGTCTCCACTGCCTGGCTGCAAGCTACAAGGGGACAGGGACCATATCTATCTTGCTCATCACAGTAGCCCCAGCTCCTCCTATTACGCTGGCACATAGCAGACTCTCAGCTCATATTTGTTGAAATGAAAATTAAATTGAAATGGGGCTAATCAAAGAACACGTCACGGAGGAAGCAAATCCAGAGAAGATTTTTGCAAGGAGGAATACACCATATTTAAAACTTCTGAGATGGGACCAAAAAATAATATGCAGAATACTATAGTGGGCTGTTTGAAATTTTGAAAGGTAATTCAAATAGGCCCCTAATTTTAATGTTTAGCTTCTTGAAGAGTCCAAACCACTTTGAGAAACGGCTCCTACAGTGTTAGACTGTGGGGGCCTCTCAGATATGATAGAGCTTTCAGTTCCTTCCAGCTGTTTACACACTAATTCCTGAACAAGGTGGACTTGCCAGGAAGGCTGAAACTAGTGACAAAGGGACATCAAATAGCTTATTTTCAAAGACACTGTGCAACATGCTCATCTGCCCTTTTCCTTCCCTTTAAAGGTTATTTCTTTCATTCCCTTCTCTAGGTTTTTGATTCCAGGTTAAACTCTACAAAAATGTTTTTTTCCTCTTAACTTGCCATGCTCACACCTAATGCCATTTGTATCAAAACTCTGTTTTCTTGAGGTGGGCCCCAAGGGGCTGACTTTTAAGGGAGGGGGCAGATTTTGCCTGATGTTTCTGCAAGATTAAACATGGTGCTTATCTGAAGTTCAAGGCTGATGATAAATTATAGACTCAAGAACTTTTTATTCAAAGAAGCCAAAGGAAGAAGGAAACTTCTCTGCTAGCTGCTCCACCAAAGGGGAGTCATGTTCTCCCCTCCTAGAGCCTTACAAGAGATAATTTTGAGAGCTCATTCTGGTTTAGAGACAATACATGGTGAACAAAGCTCATCTGTCATTGAGTGGGAGGTAGGGAGGAAAGAAGGTAAGAGAGAATTAAAATTGTAAAGCCAACATCATGTGGATTCCTCCTTGAACTTTAATAACCCAGTGCTGCCTGCAGGCTCAGAAAAACCAAATGCAATGGGTAGGTACAAGGATTGCTCTGGTGCCAGGAAAATGCAATAAGACATAACTTTTATAAGGTAGGCAATGAAAGAGTGCCCTGCAGGAACAAAACAGGCTTTTAACATCTCCAAAGTTGGCAGCCAGATGCCTGAAACATTGGTTTAGTGCATCCAAAACACACAACAGATAGAACCACTTTCTTTAAGATGAAGTCATCTTCCAGGAGAAACAATAGCTGGGAAGGCTGGGTTTTTATGATTCATGGGAGGAGGAGAATTTGATCTGTATTTTCTTTGCCACAGTCTATCCCATTTTAATGCATGTTAGAGGTTTTCCACATGTTAGGCAAATTTTCTAGAATGTTTTGAAAGGGAAAAAATTCTGCAGACTGCCTCAGTTACTGAAAGAGTTCTCTTTCTCCCCTGGCTGGGGAGGGATCCAGTTCTGTCTCACCGTGTTATCGAAAAGATCTGAAACTACAACTCTTCATTTGGATTCTGCTGTTATGAAATGCAGTTTGGGGTATCTTGTTACACTTTACTCCCAGAAGTGTTAAAGGAAGTGCCTGTCATCAAAATTCAAAAATAAATATAAAAATGATGCTGGCAGAGCTCAAAAACTAAAAGGATCAGCATTTTGCTTCAGTTTCCTGTTCATAAAACTTTATAAAAACAACCCACCCATTTAAAAAAAACCTGTAACAATAGTTCACTATTCTTTTCCTAAATGCTTGCCTCATGCCACTCTGAAATTAGGTGCCATCACGTTTCCTGAGTTATGGGCCCCAAACACCACATCCTTTTCCTCCCTCCCACACCCCCACCCCACCTGGCATCATTCCTGAATTTAGATGCTTCTCCAGTTTCTGAGCTCAGTAGACAGATGCCAACATTCTCCCTCCTACCTGTCCTGAAGTGGCCAAGCATCTGTACCAGCTGGAAGCAGGAATAATTGAGGCTTCCTTCCCCCAAATTAATTCTCACTTCCTAGAGAAGCTTTTAATATGGAAGGTTAAATTATAAAGTGAAGAGCTAGTAAACTGAAAAAGAATAAGATATTTCCCTCCCACTCTGCCTTTACAGCAAAATTTTCTTTGTGGAATACTCAACACTCTGTCCTTCTTTCTGGAAGAACATAGAATACAAGCTCTAGAACAAGCTTTTCCAACCCATGGCCCACAGGCTGCATGCATCCCAGGATGGCTTTGAATGTGGCCCAACATAAATTTGTAAACTTTCGTAAAACGTTATGAGACTTTTTTTTGCGATTTTTTTTAAGCTCATCAGCTATTGTTAGTGTTAGTGTATTTTATGTGTGGCCCAAGACAATTCTTCTTCCACTGTGGCCCACGGAAGCCAAAAGATTGGACACCTCTGCTTTAGAATGAGAAGCCTGGGTTCAAATACCAAGTTTTCACTTGCCAACTATATGACTTTGGACAGTTTACTTAATGATGACAAACATCAGTTTAAGCATCTATAAAATGGGGATATGAGAGTTTCAAGGTTTTAATGAGTTAAAAACACATGAATAATCCAATAAGATAATATGTATGTCAGATTTCTAAGCATACAGTTAGCACGTCATGCTATTATTAACCCTTCCGGTAAATAAATCATCCTTCTCCCTTTTTTTTTAAATGAATTAAGGAAAAAAGGTGGAATTTGGAGAACTTTTCCAACACTCCTTGCTTCCAAAGACATTAATTCTTTGATTTAATCTTATAATTTCAAAAAAGGATATGACTGTTGCACATATATAAAAGAAGCAGCAGAGTGAAGAGTGAACTGACCTAAATTAGAAGACATGGGCCAGGTGCAGTGGCTTACACCTATAATCCCAACACTTTGGGAGGCCAAGGTGGGAGGATCACTAGAGCCCAGGAGTCTGAGACTAGCCTGGGCCACAAAGTAAGACCTCATCTCTACAATAATAATAACAATTATTATTATAACAATTAGCCAGGCACAGTGGCATATGCCTATGGTGACAGCTACTCAGGAGGCTGAGGCAGGGTGATTGCTTGAGCCTAAGAGTTTGAGGCTGCAGTGAGCTATGATCGTGCCACTGCATTCCAGCTTGGGCAACAGAGCGAGACCCCACCTCTAAAAAAATTAAAAAAAAAAAAAAAAGAAGACATGGTATACAATCTGGCCCTACCATTAAGTCTGTGGTCTTGGGCAAGTCAAGTGATCTCTCTGAGACATAGATTCTTGAACCATATAACAAGGTGATTTAAACATAAATGTGTATGCTTCTGTGATTCTATTAAACAGCAAAGACTGAAGTGTATATGGAGTATTATCTTGATTTTATGCTATTTAATTTCAGGAAAGCTTTCAAATAAAAATTCATATCTTATGTACTGATGAAAGCACCCTGTCTAAAATTAGCATGTTTGGTATAGGCAGCCCACATTTTGGGTTGGTTCAGCATGGTAATATTTTATGAAGGCTCATCAGAAAATTAAGCTCAATGTACTCATTTGTCAAGAAATGCATATGCATATAGATTCTTTTAATATCAAATGGCAAAGCAAACAAGAGGTTGAAACAGAGGAAAGATCAACTATGAGAAAAGAATTACTGAGGGAAAATGGAGACAGACTACAAATGGGATAGAACTGGCCTAAAATATACCACTGTCACTTAAAAATAGGTACTCGGTTACATAGTGCCTGTGTTATCTTTACAACAGCATTTGGTTCCTACACTGTCTTCTTCCTACAGGCCTGTTATGACTATGAGAGCTATCTGTTCCTTCAGTGGACCAAGTCTTGCTGCCTTGTGGATTCTGCCCAGTCACAGCTTCCCTTCTGCCCTTCAAGGGTGGGCTGCTTGCATCTAAGTGGTAGGGCCATACCTAATTCTGTTCTGGATATAACACAGATGACTGACTGGGCTTGGTGGCTGATGTCTATAATCCCAGTACTTTGGGAAGCTGAGGCAAGAGGATCACTTGAGGCCAGAAACTCAAGACCAGGCTGACCAACATAGTGAGATCCTGTCTGTACACAAAATGTAAAAATTTAGGAGGGCATGATGGTGCATTCCTATAGTCCTAACTACTTTAGAAGCTGAGGCAAGAGGATGGCTTGAGCCCAGGAGTTGGAGGTTACAGTGAGCTATGATTGTACCACTACACTCCAGCCTGAGTGACAGAGCAAGACTCTGTCTCTAAAAAACAAAACAAAAATACACATCTAGATGGTTGCTGGCATGAGATGCTAAACCACAGGCTTCTCAAAGCTGAGGGTTCTGTGCAACCCTGGCCAAACTTCTTACCCAAAATACTTACTTACATTAATGTTGTCCATTTATAAGAATTAGAACTAAAAACAAAGATACCTTGCAGCAACTTCTAAATAGTGCCCCATAAATAACAAATAGCACTAGAATTACTTAATAAATCATAATCTTCATTATTCTCTAGCATCTGTTTCCCCTACTAGATTGTACGCTCCAAAAGAATCATGAATCGCTTGTACAAGGCTACATCCCCATTGCCAAAAGATGCCTGGCAAGTGATGAGAGCTCAGTAAATGATGCTGAGAGCCGAAGAGGTGTTTGCTCTCTGCCAGGCACTGTGCTTTGACTTTAATGAAGTATCTCAAGTAATCCTTACAACAATCCTATGAAATGAGTACTTCTATAGTAGGAGAAACTGAGGCACAGAGAGTTCAAGCAACTTGCCCAAAGTCACACAGCTAGTAAGCAGCAGAGCTGGAGTTCAAATGCAAGCACCTTGCTTCTAGAACCTCAAGTTCCAATTCTGAAGCGGAACGTTAATTCACAGGCCAGTCACAAACCAGGGAGTCCTGAGGCCAGAGCCTATGATGCAAGGGTCAAGGATTTGAGCCTATATGATATGACTGAAAGAACACTGAATGAGAAGCAGTGCTGACTTGGGTCCAGTCCTGTGACGTTTTTGCTCACCAGCTTCCCCTGCTGATCAATCAGGGGGTTGGATGCTCACTCAAGTCCTTGTCAGGTGTCAACCCCAAGTGCTAGAGTCACCCTAGACATAATCTCACATCCAGAAAACTACAGAGCACAGTGTGCTCTTCCACCTTCCACGAGGGAGAACCACCAAAATATCAACCATCAAGCAAGTTACTCAGTCTCTCAGAACTTCAGTTTCCTCATCTGCAATCAGGACCAAATAGCACCTACTTCAAAGGGTGGAGGTGAAGATTAGAGAGAAACCTGGTTAAGGGGCTACCACATAGTAATAATTTCATAAACAGTAGCTAGGTTTATTATGGTCCCAAACAGAGCGAGGAGATAAGTCTGGAGGAGGAACGAATCTCTTCAAAACCCAGGAACCAACCAACCAGTTGGAAAGACAGCTCTGAAACTCAGATTTTTAAACAATTTCTAACAGTAGACTACATGTGTGGCACATCATCCAAGCAAAAAGTTCCATATCAGATTCTCTTTCAACAAATGGAGTAATAAAGACAGGTTTGAGTTAACTTCAGCTGGAACAGAAAGAACCATTATGACTTGGGAAGTTCACACCTGAGTGCTGAAAAGCTAGAAAATAATGTTAGGTGCCATTTGCCTTATGCCAGACCTGTGACAAGCATGTGACATATATTACCTTACTGAATCCTCACAACCTGCTGAAGAGGGTACTGCCCTGTTGTATAAATGAGGGCATGGAGGCTCAGAGAAGATAAGTAACTTGCTCAAGATCACACAGCTACTAAATAGCCATGCCAGAACTTACTTAGTCTGCCAGAACGTTGATGGTCTTAACCACAAAGCTACACCCTTCCCCAAAGATAGCGTGTCATTGGCCCCAGCATGCCCCGTACCCACAGGGCAATCATGTCCACACCATGGGCAAGTGGCTTTATAGGAAGGCCACGCATGGGGGATCAAGTGGCCTTGGGTTTTGGTCCCTGTTTACCCACAGACTGTGGCAGCTATGGACAAGTCATTTAACTTTCCTGGACCCTGTTTTGATCAAACAGAATGTACTGGATTAAAGTTTTTCAGTCCAAGTCTTGTGGAACATTAATCACTTACATTTTATACCCGAGAGGTTAGGGATAAAAGAGGAGCCAAAGACATAATGAGCTAACCCTCTGTCCTGGGACTCTGGCTAGGGGAAGAAGTGGAACACATTTGTTACCAAACAGAACTGGGTGACCCTCAGTTCCCTTCTATCTTGAAAATTCTGAAACTCTACTGAAAATTCTGAAATTCTCCTGAAAATTCTGAATTTTATGTGACAGGAGAGGACAAAGAAGAAAAGGACTTCAGGGAGTCATGTGGGAGGTGGCAGGGTGGCCATCTCAAAGCTATGTTTGCACAGCGACTACAGTGTACATGCTTAGCTGGTAAGCTTATTTGAGGTGCTTCTGGAGTGAGGGGGCTGGTGGAGATAATGGGAAAGGAAGCTAAATTCCTCCTCTTGAAATGACTAGTATTGCATACAGCAAGCACTCTATAGATGCTGATAGAACTGAATTCAAAGGAAAAAAGACCTGGATCAAACTGATAGAAGTTGAGCTGCTGCTCAAGATGTATGAATATCTCAAAAATGCTAACAATTGCTTTTGTTCTCAGCCACCCACCCTGCCATAAGCCATTTTCAGTCTCAAGATCAATTCTTTTTCGTGAGAATGAGCATACCTCTTTCAGCAGGATAACCACAGGTAAACCTCCCCCTGCACCCCCTGCTGCCATCCTACGCGCTTGGAATATGAACAAAGGTGAACTGTCTGGCTGATAAAGAATTCTGCTTGTTTTCATTTGTATCTTTGCCCAGGGTCGTGGCAAATATTGTTTCATGGGTTTCCAGCTTTGTTTTTGGAGCTCAAAGGATAAAGTGCTCCCACAAGAAAGAATAAAGAGAGAGGAAAGAAGGTAACGAAAAAAACTATTTCATTCAAACAGCAGAAGTCCTTTCTTCCCAGGAAAGGTGACAGTATGCTACATCCTCTGTCTGAGCTGCCAAAGTCTCCATCTAGAGATACTGACAGCAACAATAAACTTAAAGAATTTTTTTATACTTGTATTCTAAAAACAGGACTTAAGAGAAGACTAAAGTCTTCTGATTCCCAGCTGATGTTTTTACCATAAAACTAGGCTGCCTCATGAACATATTCCCTGGGCCACAAAAAGGTTGACTCATAATAGGCACTCAATAAATATTTGTTGAATGAATTAAAGAACAAAAGAAAGGAAAAGGCACAGAAGGTATGTATCAAGGGCTGTCAACATAAGAGGACCAATTGGTTGACATTTAAAAAGCTTTGTGTATCTTTGAACTCAGGTCCAGAATAGTCCCTCCCTCATCCTTCTCCATGTTTTAAAATACCATTCATTATTCAAGTCTCAGACCAAGTTTTTCTTCTGAGAAGCTTTCCCAGGTCAACCCAGCCCTGTGGAGCTAGTTTATTCTTTTGAGTTCTAACAATTCTTATTACTACCACTTAATTAACCATGTTCTACCAGGTGGCAGTTTTTTTTTTTTTTTTTAAAGACAGAGTCTAGCTCTGTCTCCCAAGCTGGAGTGCAGTGGTGCAATCGTGGCTCACTGCAGCCTTGACCTCCTGGGCTCAAGTGATCCTCCCATCTCAGCCTCCTGAGTAGCTGGGACTACAGGTGCACCACCATGCCTGGCTAATTTTTATTTACTTATTTATTTTTTGTAGAAATGGGGGTCTTACTACGTTGCCTAGGCTGGTCTTGAACTCCTGGGCTCAAACAATCCTCCTGCCTTAGCCTCCCAGAGTGCTGGGATTATAGGCATGAGCCACTGCATCTGGTGCAACTTTTTTTTTTTTTCTCATTTTGTCATCCAGGCTGGAGGTCAGTGGCACAGTTGTGGCTCACTACAGCCTGGACCTCCTGGGCTCAAGCATTCCTTCCATCTCAGCTTCCCAAGTAGCTGGGACTACAGGCGTGCACCACCATACCCAGCTAATTTTTTTAGTTTTTGTAGACATGGGGTTTCACTATGTTGCCCAGGTTGGTCTCAAACTCCTGGGTTCAAGTGATCCTCTCCCCTTGACCTCCCAAAATGTTGGGATTACAGGGGTGAGCCACTGCACTCAGCCTAAGCTAATGTCATCATTTATTCCTACATTCAACTTTTATTGACCTACCAGTTTAATGGTCAATTGAATTTTTGTGCTGTTATACTACTGCCAGGGGAGGCCAGTAGCAACTGGTATCTGCTCAGCTGTATAAGACTCTACCCAGGGAGGTACTGTAAGGATGTGCTGTGCCCTCAAAATAACTTCATGCTAAAATTAAGGAAGATGCTTATCAAACCTCCAGATCTACTCACCAGTTTACAGAAAACGGGGATAGAGGAAAACATTAAAACACATAATGAGAAAGCACACCTGAATCCTGGCTAGAAAATATTCTGCCAGAAAAATGACCTGGTTTCCTCAGCAAGAGGGTAAAAAAAAGGGGGGGACAGTGAGATTTTTCACAATAACAATGATAAGAAATGGGTGGACCAGTCAGGCACAGTGGTATATGCCTGTAGTCCCAGCTACTTGGAAAGCTGAGGCAAGAGATCACTTGAGCATAGGAGTTTGAGACCAGCCTGGGCAACATAGTAAAGACCTTCTCTCTTAAAAAAGAAGGAAACAAAGGAATGAGTGGACCATGTTGGGATACTGATTCAAACAAATTAACTGTACAAGGACGTCTTTGAGACAAATTAACAAGAATTCTTCAGTATCACCAAATGTGCAGTCTGAAGTAAAATTTGAATATGAGGACATGCAACTTTGGACTGAATATTAGATAACATTGAGGAATTATTGTTAATCTTGTCAGATGGGATAAGGGATGGTGACTTATGAAAAAAAAGTGGTGGTTCATGCCTGTAATCCCAGCACTTTGGGAGGCCAAGGTGGGTGAATCACTTGAGCCCCAGGAGTTTGAGACTAGCCTGGGCAGCATGGTGAAACTCCACCTCTACAAAAAAAAAAAAATACAAAACATTAGCCAGGTTTAGTAGGTGCATGCCTGTAATCCCAGCTACCTGGGAGGCACCTGAGCCTAGGAGACAGAGGCTGCAGTGAATGCAGTGAGCAGTGATCGGGCCACTGCACTCCAGCCTGGGCAACAGAGTGAGAGACCCTGTCTCAAAAAAAAATAAATAAATAAAAAAAATAGGGTCCTTATCAGGTAGAGAGGTATAGCAGAGTACTGATGAGTAAAGTGATATATGGCCAAGGTTTGCTTAAAATACTCCTAAAAACACAGTGTAGTGAGACTGGGAAGAAGTTAGTAATTGTTGAAGCTGGATGATGGTGACCAGGTGCTAATTATACTATCCTCTCTACTTTTCCAGTATAAGCAGATCACAAGGTATCATGATTAACAAACTAAGTTATTCAACTTAGAAAGTTATAATTTCTTGTTATATGCTGGTGAGGGTACAGTTTCTCCAGATATCATATTTAACACTAAATTATCCAACTTAAAAATTATCATTTTTGGTTGGTCAATGCCATTGAGGTTATAAGTGAAAATGGCATGTGTAGAACCATTGATGACAGTAAAAACTACTGTGATATCTAGAGATGTCAATACCTACCAAGAGCAATACAAATATGCAAATATCTTAGCCCAATATCTCTACATGTGTGACTTTACCAAAATAAAATAATCCAATGGCTGGGCTCACACCTGTAATCCCAGCACTTTGGGAGGCCGAGGTGGGTGGATCACCTGAGGTCAGAAGTTTGAGACCAGCCTGGCCAACATTGTGAAACCTTGTCTGTACTGAAAATGCAAAAATTAGCCGGGCATGGTGGGGCAAGCCTGTAGTACTAGGTACTCGGGAGGCTGAGGCAGGAGAATCGCTGGAACCGGGGAGGTGGAGGTTGCAGTAAGCCAAGTCGCACCACTGCACTCCAGCCTGGACGACAGAGAAAGACTCTGTCTCGAGAAGAGAAGAGAAGAGAAGAGAAGAGAAGAGAAGAGAAGAGAAGAGAAGAGAAGAGAAGAGAAGAGAAGCGAGGAAAAGAAAAGAAAAGAATCTAAAAGAAGAAAAGATTTTCAGTGTAGTGTCATCTAAATAGTGATAATTAGAAATAATAATAGACTAGCTACTAAGTATGAAGAATACACTATGTACTAGGAACTATGTTAAATGCTTTATATACGTTATTCTCCTCTGAACAACCCTTTCAGGAAAGTATTATCATTCCCATGGCACAGATGAAGAAAGCAAGCCCTTAAGATCGCACAGCTAGGAAGTGGCACAGCAGGAAATCTGGGTCAGGCTGGCTCCAGGGCCCACACTTTCCAGTCCTGCACTAATTGCCCTGAAATCCAAATGTCAGGCAATAGGGAATGTTTAATTAGATTATAGGACATCCACTGCATGAACACTGCATAAACAAGTATACTGATGAAGCCAAGCAAAATGGGAACATGCTAAGTTAATGAAAAGCAGGATGAAAACTGTTTATGAGGGCACCTATATGTATATATATATGTGAAATATACATGTGGAAAAGCTTGGCAGGGAAAATACACAAAATAAAAATCACGGTTGTGGCCGGGTGCAGTGATTCATACCTATAATCCTAGCACTTTGGGAGGCCAAGGCAGGTTGATTGCCTGAGCTCAAGACCAGCCTGGGCAACACGGTGAAACCCCATCTGTACTAGAATTACAAAAATTAGCTGGGTGTGGTGGCAGGCACCTGTAATCCCAGCTACTCCAGAGGCTGAGTCAACGAGAATCACTTGAACCTGGAAGGTGGCGGTTGCAGTGAGCCGAGGTCATGCCACTGCACTCCAGCCAGGGTGACAGAGTAAGACTCTGAAAAAAAAAAAAAAAAATCACGGTGTATCAGAAGGAAGGTCTCCCAATGATGGGCCATGTGGTTATGTTGTTTTTATTAAAAAGGGGAGAGGTAATGGAACTGAGGTGCACACAGCTGCTGATAGAACCAAGGCATTTTGGTAGTGGTGTTTCCGTAAATATTGTAAACCATCAGTCTCTTCAAATTTGTTTCTTCTTCTTTGGAACACTACCAAAACTAAAAGAAGAAATATTCCACTTTTCCTCCCCATGTATCTTTCCAATGACCTCTGCTAGGAATTCACCTACTTTTGATCAGGAAGCAATCATTATTATCCTATAGTTTCCTCTTGCAGCAGATGCAGAGTAAAATGTTACAATATAAATGTATGTCTTAAATATAAGAGGGAAAAAAAGACAACAGCTCAAATGAATCTATAAAGGCTTGTTTAATGATTGAAGTTCTCTCTGAGTCTTGTGAAATCCTCTCACAGGTCATTTGTTATTAGCATGACTGAAAAAGTCACCAGAAAGCAGGAGCCCCAATTCTCCATCTTGTCATGGTCCAGCCAGGCATATCCTAACTGCATCTACCAGACTGCTAATCACCTCAAAATCCAACCCCACAGCCCAGCCTCCTGTTCTCACTTTTCTCCTCCTGCCCTTCACCTTGCTTGGAAAGACACATCTGACTGGCTCCCAGAATCAAGTTCACTGGGAGATTGTGGACTTGGAAGTGCTTTGGAATCTATGAAATGCTCTACAGATGGGAGGTTATCTTGATTAAAAAGCTGATATGTGCCCTTGTGTATTTCTTTTGCCATAAATGAATTCCAGAGATGTTCCTTGGGGAGAGAAAGAAAACCCCAAATAACTAGACCCCAGGTTATTTTAACTGCCAGAACCAGGGTTGCAATAAATAATCAGCTTCTTATGACAAAGCTTTTGTAACTGCCCAGGGGATAATTATCACCTGAAAAAGGCACTAATCTGTGAGCCAAACCACATGACCATTTGTGAGTCTATGTGGTATTTGTCAGTACCTGTCACCAAGATAACAGCTTAATCTTGAAAAGGGGAGTAAGAATATGTTAGAGGAGACTTTCAAGAGATTCCCCTTTAAAAAACTAAACAAAGAGAAAAGATCTTGAGGAAAGGAAAAAAAAAAAAAAAAAAACAGAACGAGCCAGATGGACGAGAAGGCTGTACTAAAACCAGTCCTTCAGGGAGTTAGTGCAAACTTTTGTCAAAGATTATGGAAAAGCTACTGTTTCAAAGCCTGTGGACATCAGAGGAAAAAACACAAGAGATAGTTTGCTTAACAGAGAGCTTTAAGCAATTCAAGTTCAAACAGAATTCCAGGAATTAAGAAGAGAGGAAATTGCAAGGTGCTTTGCAAACCACTGCAAAGAAAAAGATGTTTACAAAATGTCAGTGATAAAAATGGAGATTTTGTTGTGGTGGTATTTATTTTGGAGGGGGAAGGAGTAAGAATGGGACATAACAATAGTAATAGTAATCATAAATGGTTGCTTTACTAGCAGCCAGGCTTTTTTGATCACAATTAGGGGCAGCATTGTGCTGAGCACTTTGTAAGTATCATCTCCTTTAATCCCCAGGACAACCTTTAGAGCTCAATCCTTCTAATGACTCCCATTATAGATGAGGAAACTGAGATTCGGTCAGGCTCTACTACTTCTTTGAGGTCAGAGTGACAGGATTATGATTCAAACCCAAATTTGCTTAAAAGCCTAGCCTTTGAACCATTTACACACTAGTATATAATTACCAGGTCTCACAGCTCAATACTGTTTTTGAAGATTATTGGCAATTATTAAGTTCAGAGCTGATGACCAGCTTGGTCAGCTTTCCACGTGCTTGCCTTCTTTCCTAAAGATAAAATGAGAGGAATGAACTACTATCCAGTCCACTTTAGCAATTGTTTAGGGTGTTTTCTGGAAACTGTGGGAAGGAATGGATTAGAAAAATCTAGGAGTTCATTTATAGCCCATCATTAAGAGCTAATGATATAACAGGATTCTCAGAGTAAAACACTTCAGTGGCATCACTGTTTAAAGATTTTGTTAAACGATGTATACCTGTAAAAAAGAGTGAAGAAACTCTGTGAGGTGACAAGGTCAGGGTGACACAAGCCAGTTAATTATGCAGCACTGTTAGGAATCCATATACTGGAGTGTAGCAGCCCCAGTCTGGATTCTGATTCCACCAGTAATTTGCTCTGAGACCCTGGGTGAGTGAGTAATCTTTCTGAGCCTCAGTTTCCTCGCCTATAAAATGGGGATGAAAAGAGTACCTCCCTCATAGGGCTATTGTGAAAACTGCATGAGATGATGCAGTGAAGGCACAGGGCACAGTGCCAGGCATGGTAAACGTCAGCTAATATTCCTGGCACAGCCAACAAAGTAGCCATGCCACTCCATTTACAGAGACCCCTGCACTCCACGCCACATTCTTCACAAGCTATAGAATATTCAGGTGTGGAATGAGTTCTAAAATGACGTTCACAAAAGCACCAATTTAAGAATCCAGCCCAATTTGAGACCTCATTCTTTTTCCAAACTATAGTCAGCAGTTGGGAAGAGGGAAACAATCCCTCTCTATGTTCTTTTCTGCTGGGATTTGGTATTTGACAAATGCCAATTACATGATGATAGCTTTTCTGACAAATTCCATTTAGGATCTCAGAAACCCATCATCAGTAATAGGCAGCAACATTTTCTGTTTGTTTAGTTTTATTTTGTAATGCAGTTGAGAATCGACTAAAGTTATTGCTCTTATCACATGACAGCAACTCGGTGAGGCTTCATTTTTATAGGCTTAACAGAGTCCATCTACTCTATTCAAGACTTTCATTGTTTGTGATGCTGGCCACCTGGAGCCAATTATTTAAGAGCTTCAAGAACAAGCAGCTCATACTGCGGTGCATTCTGGGGCTTTGGCTCACTCAGCTTTGGTTCCTCCCTTTTCTGATCATGGCTCTACAACTTTCTTTAGGGAAACTGCCTCTCCCCAATTCTCGGAGCTTATGGTTAAAATGGGACTGAGCCTGCTATCAGTTTCTTTGGGAGTACATGTGACTCAGGACTGACCAATCAGCAACCCTTCCTTCTAGTAACTGGTTCAGTTCCTTCTAGTAACTGGTTCAGGAAGAGGCATGAGAACCAGGCTTGGGATTTTTGCAAGAGAAACTAGACAAGAAAGTACCCTTAAGTTAGAAGGGGGTAAGCTTGGCACTCATTGTTTGTGGTCATCTTTCTACCAGAAGGGGAGAGCATATCTGAGAATGAAAGCAACAAGGAAAAATGAAAGCTGAGAAGTGAGGAGAAAAAGAGATTCCTAAGCAAAAATAAGCACCTGGATCCAGCCATGCCTGAAGGTTTGACTGTTACATAAGCATGACACCTGGTCTTTTCTGTTACCTAAACATAAATTCTCTATTTGCTTAAAGAAATTTGAGCTATGTTTCTGTCACAACTAGAAGCATTTTGATTCAAATATATACAAAAGAGACTCTACCACATAAATGAGTAGCTGCCTTCTTACTTTTTTGCACTATTCAGGATTTATATTATATATCTAAGTCTTGCTTCCCTCAACAAGATCATAAGCTCTTTGAGACTAGGAGACAAGCATAATAACCTATTGATACAGCCATACACTTTGGCCAAAAACAAACCCATGAGGGCTAAGGAATTATTTCATAACGATATCAAAGAGAAGAAAGTAGGAAAATGTCAAGGATGTTTCACAGGTTAGGTTTTGAAGGCTGATGGCATGGGGAGTCAGGGATCTCATAAGTATCCAAAGCTACCTCCAAAAGCTTCATTTGTTTAGTTGCCCACTCCTGAACCTCACATTTTACACTTTACCAGCTCAGCAGATGGAAAACCCCTACCAAAGTATCAGACTAAAGGTCTTCTAACTAGAACTGTGAAGAACTCACTGCTTGTCACCCAATGGTACCAATAAATCTGCTTTTTTGCTTAAATGAAAATTCACTACCCCAAATATTCTTCATATGCCAACTCTGACCACATTTGGATAGGATAATTTTATTTGAGTGCTTTAAAAAGTGTTTTTTTATTTTTTAATTTTTTTTCACATTGTATACCAGGATAAGCACCAAATACATCAAAGATGTAAATGTAAATATGAAAACATAAAAGAGAAGAAGATGGGCCTTTCCCTAGTGTAGGAAAGACCTTGCTAACTATGACTCAAAGTCCGGAAGCCAGAAAAGATTGATAAAATTTGTATCCTAAAATATAAAAAGATAAAATCACTTTAAACACTTTTACATGGCAAACAAGAACAACAATGAAAATATAAGCAAAGACAAATGACAAACTGGGAAAATATAGTTACAACTCGTATCCATTTCAGCACCAATCTCTGTAATATATAAAGACTTCCTAGAAATCAAGAAGCAAAGGACAACCACTGTCTCTGTATGACTCATTCATGTTACAACATCACAAGGAGCAATGTCAATTATTGGGCATGAACATTTTAAGAGATAGCAGGGTGTTTATGAGTTAAGGGCATGAACTGAGTGGTCCAGGTTTAAATCTCAGCTCTGCCACTTTCTTGCTTGTGACCTGGGCAAGCTGCCTCACCTGCTTAAACCTCATGTGTAATGGGGGATTATAATCTTCACCTTGCATGGCTGTTGCGAGGATTAAATGCACATGAATGCACTCAGTGACAGCCTCACTTACCAAGTGCGCAGTAAATGTCTGTTGTTGCTAGTAAAGCAGACATTTGAAAATTAAGAGCGTACCCTGGCCAGGTATGGTGACTCACACCCATAATCCTAGCACTTTGGGAGGCCAAGGTGAGCAAATTACTTGAGCCTAAGAGTTCAGAGACCAGCCTGGGCAACGTGGCAAAACCCTGTCTCTACAAAAAAAAAAAAAAAAAAAAACAGAAAAGAAAAAAAAAAGCCAGGCATGGTCGCACACTCCCGTAGTCCCAGCAACTTTGGAGGCTGAGGCTGAGATAGGAATATCACCTGAGCCTGGGGAGGTCAAGGCTGCACTGAGCCATGATCATGCCACTGCACTCCAGCCTGGGTGACAACATGAGATTCTGTCTCAAAAAAAAAAAAAAAAAAAAAAAAAGGCATACCTTAACCTCAAGATCTTGCAGGTACTACTCACAAGCCAAGATATACGTGAAGTACACCAGGAAAAAAAAAATTCAACATTGCTATAACAGTAAGATTTTTCATTTTACATACATTGTTATATTTACAACCATGAATGTAAGTATTGCTATTCCTGTTTTACAGATGAGGAAACTGAGACTCAGAAGGGTTAAGTGACTTGCTTATCGTGGCAGCTACTAAATGGTAAAATTTAGATTTTACTCCATCTATGACTGGCTTTAAAAGTTGGGTGTTCATGGCCGGGCACGGTGGCTCATGCCTGTAATCCCAGTACTTTGGGAGGCCAAGGTGGGTGGATCATGAGGTCAGGAATTCGAGACCAGCCTGGCCAACATGGTGAAACCCTGTCTCTACTAAAAATACAAAAATTAGCCAGGCGCAGTGGCAGGAGCCTGTAATCCCAGCTACTCAGGAGGCTGAGACAGGTGAATCGTTTGAACCTGGGAGGCAGAGTTTGCAGCGGGCCAAGACTGCGCCACTGGACTCTACCCTGGGTGACAGAGTGAGACTCCATCTCAAAAAAACAAAACTAAACTAAACCAAAAAAACCAAGTTGGGTGTTCATTATACTATATCAACCTGTCTCTCCCTCATTTAAAAGCTAGGAAACAATTTGTCCAGCTAAGTAGTAAGAAAAGATACCCAGAGTTGCCATAGTTCTAAAAGTCCCAGCCCTCAGGCGTAAGAACTGACTCTGGTCCAGCAGTAAAACCTGCCATCTGTGGGAGCCTGTTTCTCAGTGGAAGGAGAAGATCCATCCTGGGTTATGGCACATCTTTAACCACGTGTTGCTACTGGTCTTCCTTTTTGTTACATAGAAAAGTTAAAGAGATCCCTTGTATGGTTGTGGGTGGAGTGGTACACACACCACTGTTTCTCTGGGACATTTATTTATTAATGTATTCATTTTTATTATTATTATTTTTTTGAGACGGAGTCTCACTCTGTTGCTTAGGCTGGAGGGCAGTGGCGCAATCTTGGCTCACTGCGATCTCTGTCTCCCGGGTTCAAGCGATTCTCCTGCTTAGCCTCCTGAGTAGCTGGGATTACAGGTGCATGCCACCATGCCTGGCTAAGTTTTGTATTTTTAGTAAAGACGGGGTTCCATCATGTTGGCCAGGCTGGTCTCAAACTCCTGACCTCAAGTGATCTTCCCACCTCGGCCTCCCAAAGTGCTGGGATTACAGGCATGAGCCACCACACCCAGCCTGGGACAGACTTTTATATTGTACAATTGCCCTCCATCCAGGGCCTGCGGAAGACATGTCTTTGGCAGTGAACGTGGGCTCTCATGCAAGCTATCTGAGCTCCCGGTGAGTGTACAATTGGAGGGCTTTTCTCACCTCCTGGAAGCTAGTCCCCTGGCTCCAGCAGCCTACCTGTAGAAGGCATGACAGAGACAGCAATGCCCCCACATTTGGCCCAGGTTGTTCAAAGCCCATAGTTGGAATACTCAGGAAGCTCTAGCTATCCCTGCAGCCCTACAGCTGAAACGAGAATCTGCCTACAGTGGAGAAATAAAATGCCCTTCCCAAGCCTCCCTTTAAGAGGTAATAATGCCTCCCGAAGAACATCTGCCAACCCCCACAGACAGAGCTATCTGAAGCAAGCACAGAACCTTGACACTCTTTTCTGTGGAAATTCCAACACATATTTCTTTGCCTTTAAATCTTTGGAATGCTGATTTAAAATCCTGAAGCTAAAATGTTCTGACAAACAGCAGGCTGTCTTGTCTCTCTGAAACAGTGGTATTTCAGGGGTCAGGGAGAGAGCCCTCACCATCAGCCTCATCAGTCAATGGGTTACATAAGCAGGGATTTGTTTCCAGTCTCTAAGGAGGATATCCACAGAATGTCAGGACTTTAGCAAAGTTCACCAACTCTCTACCAAGCATGGTACCTTATACCAGTCCCCAAATAATAGCAACAGACAGTTTAGGATTTACTATCCGATGATCGTGTTATGGCACTTCACAATGTCCTATAAGGAAAATACTACGATCACCCCATTTTACAGCAGAGGTAACTGAGATACAGAGAGGAGGTGTAATTTGCTCAGGGTCATAGAATTTGTAAGTAGCAGAGCTGGGGTTTCAATACAAGTAGTATAGCTTGAGTATATACTCTTATCCATAATGCTACACTGTCTCTCCCAAGATGATAATGATGGGATGGTGGTAATGACAGTGGTGACGGTGGTGATAACAGTGACGATGATGGCTGGAGTGATGGTGGAGGTGGTGCTGGTGGGGATGGTTGGTGCTAGTGCTGATGATGATAGGGAGGCTGATGATACTACAACCTTGGCCCGTGTGCTAAGTATTTCCCACATATTACCACATTTCATGCAATCTTCCAACAGTGTTACCTTATCCAACTACTTCTCTTCACCTTGCCTATCTGCCACTATCCCAGCCTAAACTGTCATCATCTCTCACCTGGAGTAGTACAATAAACCTGCTAACTGGTCTCCCTGCTGCAACCAGTGCCTACAGAATGCAATCTCACTGCATTACAGCAGCCAGAAGGATATTCTGAATGGTTAACCTAGATCTTAGCACTGACTCTCTTGCCTGAAACCTCCACTGGCTTCCACTGCACAAATCCCAATTCCTCACCACAACTGGATGAGGCCCTGCGGGATCTGGTGCTGTTCGCCTCTCAGCCCCCCTTTCCTGCTTCTCTCCTCGTCACCCATGATGCTCCAGCACAGTGTCCTTTCCCTCCTGACCATGGCACCTTGTTGCCAGGCCAGGACATTTGTGCCGGCTGTTTCCTCTGCCACCAAATCTCTGCAGGATTGGCTCCTTTTTGTCATGGAGGCATCAGCTCAAATAACCCCTCCTCAGAGTCTTTCCTGACCTCCCAGCTATAGGAGATTCTCAACTTCCATCTTTCTTCTGATCTCATCTCCCCTGCCACCACCTCCTATTCCCAGCCCCAGTCACAGCCACCTCAAGACTGGACTGTGTCCTTGGTTGATTTGCTGTTATTTACCATCTCCCCACCTAGGCTACAAGCTCTGTGAAGACAGAGATCTTGTCCCTCATGTTTGCTGTTTCATCACCAACACCTCAAACAGTGCCCAGCCCAGAATGGAGTCCAATAAATATTTACTGATGAAGTAACTGGGTTATCTCATTTACTCTTCTCAAGAACACTTTTAGAATTGAGGCAACAGCTATGTTTTAATAACAGACCCAAGGCCGTATGGCGAGTAAATGGCATTTAACTCCAGAGTCTACACCCTTAACCTCCATTCTGTAACTGGCTTTGTCATCTTGACTTTCCATTTCATTTCTCTGCTTCTCAGTGTCATTTTTACTCTAAAATAAGAAGATCTTCCATGCTTATTTACCTTCCAAGGGTATTTGGAGTTAAGAGCCCTTGTTCTTAACCACTATCAGGGTTGGAAAACTTTTCCTGTAAAGGGAAAAATTCTAATTGTTTTAGGTTTTGTGGACTATTCAGTCTCTGTTGCAACTATTCACCTCTGCCAATGCAATATAAAAGCAGCCACTGACAATAAATAAATAACAGTGTGGTTGTGTTACAATAAAACCTTATTTACAAAAGCAGACAGTGGGCCATTCTTGGCTACAGTTTGCTGGCATCTACACTAGACCACTGGAGAAGCAATCTTTGGTTTCCATCTGTCATTCAGTTATTATGAGGCCTGGTAATCAGAGATGATCTCTTCCCAGCACACTGGTGTGTACGTTCAGAAAACATAATCAACATTTTAAGAAAGGTCAAGGTCTTCTGTCCAGTTCCACATCAACCAGTTACCATGTTGACAGAAACAGAAATGGCTCTCTTCCATTTTTTTCTGGACCTAAATTTGAGCAATCTTTGGGTGAACTTGGTGGCAGAAGGTTCTCTAACAACAGGCAAGAGGATTTGTGTCTAGACTCAAGGAAGAGTCAGAAGGGCAAAGGTATGATCGTGAGTTACCGTGGACTTGAGAACTTTGACGTTCTTCCTAAATCAGGAGTATAATGATGACTTTGGTCGAGAGGGGCCAGTGGAGGCTATACAGAAAGACTGCACAAACTAGAGGGTCCAGGATCCAGTGGGATCTTAGCAGGCAAAGCAGGGCTCTGAGCTGGACAAGCAGGCAGCTCTTTTCAACCTGACCCCATGCCCCTTGGGCCCATTTCAGATGTACCCAGGCCTTTTGTATTTGCTGTGATTTATTTTTCAAAAAAGGTGAAAAATCATAGCAAATGCAATGGGTAATATAATAAATACTGATATTCTTACCATTCAGATTTAACAACTCAACATTTTGTTAAATTTGCTTCCAGGGCTTTAAAAAATATATGTAAGTAGGGGGTTTACTTAGGCCAAGTGTGAGGATTGTAACCAGGAAACACAGATTCAAGTTGCCCTGAATATACACTCTCCCAGGGCTTTTTTAATGGATAAAAGAAATAAAACATTACCAGCATAGCTAACATCTCCTCTTCCCACCACCTCAGTCCCACATTCCATCTTTGGCCACCCCCAGTGACAACTATTATCATGGAATAGATATATATCCTACCAGTCCATTTCATTACAGAAAATTATCATTAGAGAAAATTTTCTATTGAGATAAAATTTATATAACATAAAATTTACCATTTTAACTATTTTAAAGCACACAATTCACTGGTGATCATTATATTCACAATGCTGTACAGCCATCTCTACTATCTAGTTCCAGAACATCTCAGTTATCCAAAAAGAAACCCTGTATCTCCCAAATCTCCCCTCCCCTCAGTGCCTGACAACCACGAATCTACTTTCTGTCTCTATGCACTTGCCTTTGCATTTGCATATGAAATGCCTGGACATTTCATACAAATGGAATCAAATAACATATGACCTTTTGTTTCTCACTTATTTTGCTTGGCATAGCGTGTCTAAGGTTCATCCATGTTGTAGCATGCATCAGTATTCATTCCTTTTTATGGTTGAAGAATATTCCCTTGTTTGGATATACTATTTTGTTTATCCATTCCTCAATTGATGGAATAATGCTGCTATGAACATCCATGTGCAAATACCTGTTTGAGTACCTGTTTTCAGTTCTTTTGGGTATATACCTATGAGTGGAATAGTTGTGTCATATGGTAACACTATATTTAACTTTTTGAGGTACTGCCAAACTCTTCTCCACAACAGCTGCACCATTTAAATTCCCACCAGCAATGTATAAGGGTTTCAATTTCTCCACATCCTCACCAACACTTCTTCTTTTTTATTTCCCTCCTCTTTTTAAAAATAGCCATCCTAGTGGGTATGAGGGATAATTGTGGTTTTGATTTGTATTTCCCTAAAGCCAACTGCAACTGAGCATCTTTTCATGTTTTTATTGGCCATTTGTATATATTCTTTGGAGACTATCACTTTTTAACTCTATATTTATTCCAGGCATCTACAAATAGTGTGCAGTATTGTTTTCTAAGTGTAAATATAAATATTTTCTCCACTTAGCATTGTTTTTGAGCTCCCTCCATGTTGTTGTATATAGGTCTAATTCAAAGCTGAACTGTATCCAGCCTTCCCTACACCACATTTTATTTATCTGTTCTCTTATTTATGGATATTTACAGATTTTCCTTTCTTCACTGTTACAAAATGTGTCGCACTTCCCTATACACGCCTCCTTCTGCATTCCTGAGATTGGTTCTCTAAGGCTCAAACTTGGATTTATAAGGCAGGATCACAGAATATGCACATTTACAATCTCACCACATGTTCACTTTCTTTTTTAACATATGTTTGGAAAAGCAAATGCAAATTTGGATCACACTTCAGGAGACTCAGCCCCCAGTGCATATCACACTCACACATTCACCAAGCTGGATAACTGTTCAATTTTTCTGGATTTTCAATATTCCAATATTCTTTGTTTTCCCCCCCCAATTTTTACTCTTGTCACCCAGGTTGGAGTGCAATGGTGTGATCTCGGCTCACTGCAGCCTCCACCTCCCAGGTTTAAGTGATTCTCCTGCCTCAGTCTCCTGAGTAGCTGAGACTACAGGTGTGTGCCACCACACCCGGCTAATTTTTGTATTTTTTAGTAGAGACGGGGTTTCACCATATTGGCCAGGCTGGTTCCGAACTCCTGACCTTGTGGTCTGCCCGCCTCAGCCTCCCAAAATTCTCGGATTACAAGCGTAAGCCACCACGCCTGGCCTGTGAATGTATTAAATGCCCCAGAGCTATACACATTAAAATAGTTAATGTTACGTGAATTTTACCTTAATTAAATAAAAAGAGAGCTACTACATGGAAAATGTTTCACATTGGCACTAGGTATGAAGTAGAAAGCAGGTATCATTATTGTAAAAGATGAGGTTCATAGTAAGAAAAACTAGAAGCATACTATATATCTAATAACGGTGGGTTAATTTAATAACGCTATATCCCAGTTAAACAATCTGATACTATGTATGTATTCAGAATAATAAGGTCGTGGTCGGGCCTGATGGCTCACACCTATAATCCCAGCACTTTGGGAGGCCGAGGTGGGTGGATCACCTGAGATCGGGAGTTTGAGACCATCAAACTTTGTGAAACCCTGTCTCTACTAAAAATATGAAAATTAGCCAGGTGTGGTGGCACATGCCTGTAATCCCAGCTTCTCCTGAGGCAGGAGAGCTGCTTGAACCCGGGAAGCGGTGAGCTGAGATTGTGCCATTGCACTCCAGCCTGGGTGACAGAGTGAGACTCTGACTTACAAAAAAAAAAAAAAAAAAAGAATAACAATATCCAGGTATAAATATGAACAGGAACAATGCTGATGTGTACCAAAATAAGACAAGCAAGACACAAAGCAGTATCTGTGCATCATGTGATCCTATTTGTGTGTCCATGTAAACATACATTTGGCAGGGCTATACTCCAAAATATAAAGAGTAGCAAAATGATGATTTAATAGTCTTTCTTTAATTTACCTTTATTTTATAATTTTCTACAACATCCACATACTGCTAGTATAATAAAGAAGTAAAAGTTTGAAACATGTCAAAATAAATGCATTCTGGTACTTTTTACTTAAAGATGAATTGTGATGAATTATTACCTAAAAGTATTCTAAATATAAATTCTCTAAATTATCTTGTTTTGTGTGTTCATAATTTTAACATTAGGCTTTTTTTGTTTTGTTTTGTTTTGTTGGTTTTTTGAGATGAAGTCTTGCTCTTGTCCCCCAGGCTGGAGTGCAATGGTGTGATCTCGGCTCACTGCAACCTCTGTCTCCTGGGTTCAAGCGATTTTCCTGCCTCAGCCTCCTGAGTAGCTGGGATTACAGGCACGTACCACCATGCCCGGCTAATTTTTGTATTTTTAGTAGAGATGGGGTTTCACCATGTTGGCCAAGCTGGTCTCGAACTCCTGACTTCAGGTGATCCACCCGCCTCGGCCTCCCAAAGTGCTGGGATTACAGGTGTGAGCCACCATGCCCAGCCTAACATTAGGCTTTTTAAAAGCACGTGTACACCCCTATTTCACGCATTAAAATTAAATAATTATAAGACATGCTAAATAATATGCTGAATTAATGCTAAATAACAGCATTAATTCAGAGTATGATTTAATTGTTTAATTAATTGCTATCTCCACTTCCAAAGGTCTAAGCCACGTGGAAGGACTGAATGGCCTCCTCAGAGTAACTATTTAGCTTTAGCAGAAAGACTTAAAATGCACCACCTCTCTCCCCCTTTTCATACGACACAGAACATGACCCATAAAGTCCAACACACCCCAGGCCGGATAGCTAAAATGGGCCTGATAAATAAAGGGCCCTGTGGCTGAGTCACCCATGGTTCACCCCTGACCTCTGGGGAAAAAAGAATACAAAAATTGAATCATGCACCTCCACACAGACTTCCCGTGGAAAAAGGATTTCTCAGAGAGTCAAGAAATGACTTAAGTCTTTGTTTCCTCAGTTTCCCAAAAGGGAGAAAAATCATGTCTCTTAGAAAAACTGTTGGTGTTTAGCATGAGTATTTCTGTGGTAAAAATGACCTTCGTGACACAATTCAGCAGGCCAAGGTATCCCGTTCACATCTGATTAATGCAAGCTGCCTTATCACTCCTGGTCTTTCCTTATCCTTCAGAGATAGCTCCAAATGAGGCTGAGTTACCAATTTTTGGAAAAAACAGACTGAAAAACAGATGTGTATTTTCGATCAATAGTTCATGAAAAACTCCTAATGAATAAAGTTCATCTCTTTCCTTTAGGGAAGAAAGCCAGCATTAGCATAAGTGTTTCAGGATTTCTTCATACTTTCTTTGTGCACAGAAATGCTCTACTAACTTCAATCTATTATTATTCTTTGGGAAATGGGATATAGTTGGGGAAACAATTTAAATTAAAAATTAGTTCTGAAACATTACAAATCTCACCATGAGATTAATTAGTTGCCTCATTCACTCATTCAGAATGTATTTTTTCAGTGACTCATTCACTCACACACCCACAGAGTCCCTACAATCATGTTTGGGATGCCAAAGCGTTTTCAACCCATTCCCTGCCTACCTGGATTTTTTTCTCGTTTTGCCTTATTCTGAATGATACAAACCAGTTCTAAAGATTTTATACAACAATCAGACAAGATACAAAAAGTCACTGTGGGCCAGGCGCAGTAGCTTACGCCTGTAGTCCCAGCACTTTGGGAGGCTGAGGTAGGAGGATCGTTTGAGCCCAGGAATTTGACACTAGCTTAGGCAATATGGCAAAACCCCATCTCTACAAAAAAATACAAAAATTAGCTGGGTATGGTGGTGCATGCCTGTAGTCTCAGCTACCTAGGAGGCTGAGGTGGGAGTATCACCTGAGCCTGAGAGGTCGAGGCTGCAGTGAGCCGTGATTGTGCCACTGCACTCCAGCCTGGGTAACAGAGTGAGACCCTGTCTCAAAACAAAACAAAAAGTCACTGTGTAAAGGCCAAGGATGATGTGAAAGAATCAGTCTGCATTACGTAATCTTTATTTCACCCTCTTCCAGAAGACCCATTCTCCAAATATGCGGCATGAATTCATGCTTTCAAGGATGCAGAACCTGCAGAAAGTACACTTTATTTGATAATCAAATGGTTTCCTAAAGAAAGTGAAGAGTCAGGATCAGAGTCAGGAGGTTCAGAAAATGTATTTTTAGCTTTTGCAAAGATTGGTGCTGATTAAAAAAATGGTGACTCCTATAACCCAGAAAAGAGTCTAAATAAAAGAGACTTTACTTAAAAGGAAGGGGAGGGAGCAAGCAAAGAGTCCAGACGTTTTTCTACTCTGCTACCATACTCTGAAAAGAGCACGGTTGACCGAGTTCATGTAGGATCAAACCCTTGTCTTGTGGTCCTGCATTAACGCCACAATCCCACCAGCTGAGCTAACTGGAATTGACTGCTCAATGGAATTAGTCTTCCATCTTTAATTGGCTAGAAAACTTGCCAAGAAGCTCTGCCTGACAGTCCATCAGGCAGAAAACATGAGGATAAAAGATGGTCCAATAATTACCAATGGGAATTGAAGAGGACGATTATTCAAGAAATAGACCATTTCATGAAGCAACTAAAAGCTGGAGGGCAAAAAATGTTGTATGGAGCAGGGCCTGTGGAAGCTTGCCTCCTTGTAAACCCTCCACTCCAAGGCCATGCCTTCAGCAGATGAGGTCACAATAAACTGCGGCAGGTCCTGACAAACGGTTTCCTCCCAGGAGTCAATAAGTTACCTGAAAATGCTTAGTTCTGACTGTTTGAGTTCACTCTACCATGAATACATGACCAGCGATTCTGGTCAGGTCAGGGCTGTTTCCTGTGCCATCATGTGCACACAGCCACCTGAACAACATGCTAGAACGGCAGGATTACAAGCTTCCTCCAGCAGCCAGAAACTTACATATTTCTAACACACTGCTAAATGTGGAAGTAGCCATGAAGAACCATCAAAGTGATAATTTTTGACTCAATAATTCCACTGCTGGGAATACAGCCTCTTGGATGTGTGCAGAAGAAAACTGTGTGCAAAAGTAAGAATGTTTATCACAGGAAAATACCTATTTTTTAAAAATAAAAACAATGTAAATATCATACTCCATGGGCTAAATACAGCCATAACATGTAACATTATGTAGCCTTTAACAATAATGGTATAAAAAACAACTTACCTATATTTCCCAACTTTTCTACAATAAACAGTTTTGTAAAGTATGTAAAAAATACTGTGGGGGGGAATAATTAAAAATTTTACATAGATCAATGTTTACCAAATTAAATGATAATTTAAATGCATGGAAGAACATAATACTGGGGTGAATGTTTTTTGTACGAATCTCTACATAAGACAGAGATTCACTCCCATATTTTTAGCTGTTAAAATACGATTCTATCACTTAAATTATTATTTCACTTTTCATTGGTTTTACCTCAAAATCTGATCCAAAACTGGGAAATAAGATAATAAAAAGGCTTTTTAAAAAGTCATAAAATACACACAGTAATGTTCTCCATGTGCCTCATTTACAGGTACTTTTCTTTCCATAATTCTAAGAAGCCCCAGTACATAGTTATATCATCTTAACAGTTAGCAGCTGCAGTTTAGATGTGGGAAGGAGGTCTGCACAGACAAAAACGCTGATAGCAGAGAGAAGCAACAGCTGACAGCTTAGTAATGAGAGGGGAGCTAGAAATACTATGACGAGCTGACCTGAGAACTCAAAAAGCACAAATTCCCGGGACCAAACAGCCCTAAAATACCAAGAGATCAACACACTATAGCAAAGTACAATGACAGATGGTCATTGTGTGTCATTTAAGAAAGGCAAACGATAATTTGTATAACCTGGCCGGGTGCAGTGGCTCATGCCTCTAATCCCAGCACTTTGGGAGAACAAGGTGGGAGGATCATTTGAGCCCAGGAGTTCAAGACCAGCCTAGGCAACATAGTGAGACCCCCCTATCTCTACAAAAATAAAAAAAATAAAAATTTACTGGGCGTGGTGGTACACACCTGTAGTCCCAGCTACTCAGGAGGCTGAGGTGGGAAGATCACTTGAGCCTGGGAGTTCAAGGCAGCAGTGAGCTGTGATTGTGCCACTGCATTCCATCCAGGGTGATGGAGTGAGACCTTGTCTCAAAAAAAAAAAATTTTTTTTTGTATAACCTGTCTCAAAAGGCAAGAGAACATAATATCCATTTACATAACCAGATACATTTGTGCATTTGCATACACACATTTTAAAGGCTGGATTATATATATATATTCTTGTGTATTAGTATATGAGTATTTGTGATGTGTGTGTGACATTAGTTTTTTTAACGTTTTGGGTTTTTTTGAATTTTTTTATTTTCATTTTATTTTATTTTACACTCCAGGTAACTCACAGAACAACATTTTGGTTTTTAAAGAAGACTGTGTGGTGAAGTCCAAATAAAGTCTGTCATTTCCTTAGCAGTACTAAACCAATGTTACTTTCCTGATTTTGACAGATACACTGTGTTATGTAAGATGTTAACATCAGGGGAAGCTGGGAAAGGTACATAAGAACTCTCTGTGTTATCTTTGCAACTTTTCTGTAAATCTAAAATTATTCCAAAATGAAAGCTTATTAAAAATATAAAACAACGAAACAAAGAAGAATGAGGTCTTGGTTGTCTAATCAAATTGTCTACACTCTGCGCCCTATCCCCAAATCTCAAGGGGTCTGGCAGCTGAGCTTTCACTGATTTGGTCTGGTTGCATCAAATCATCATTGCAAGGATGCTTTGACCCTAGAAAGCTACCCTCCTTTAGAACCTGACAGCTCACAACACAGGATCACATTACCACCTTTTACCCACCTGAGGAAGGGAGGGTCTGGTCCCTAGGTCTGCAAAATCTGGGAAAGAAAGTGGTACAATCCCGAAGGCTCCTGGTGCTCTCGAGCCCGGACACGTTTCATCTGACAGGAATCCTCCTGGGAATGACTTCAACCCCCAGATCCCAGGCATTATCTCATCTTGGCCGTGTGTCATCCTCTGCATTTTCCTTCAAGTTACTAAGAGGAAATGGAGGATCAGACGGAGCTCTGGCAGCCCACCTTCTTCTTAGGTGGATATTTTTAGCACTTTGAGACAAATAACTTGCTTTTTAAGACCATCCCAGACATTCTTCAAATGAGAGGTACAAGCTTTCTCTGCTAGACTCAGTGAAAAAGGCATGCAGTGCCTAGGAGAGCCAGCCAACAACAGTCAACAACAGGAAAAAACACCCCCATTTAGGGGACCATAAATATTTACAGCATCCAATGGTGTATTTACTATTCAATGATCCTGCAAAACAAATGTTCTAGGACAAGAAGTGGTCTGCATTTCTGCAGGATCCCAGAGTTTCAAAGCTGGAAAGGGAACAGAGATGTGTCCAGTTTCCACACTCTACAGGTAAGAAGGTTGAGGCTCCAAGTATGCTCCCATAAAATGTCTGCTTTTTAAAATATCTCTATTACAACATGCATTCCCTGAGCCACAGTTCATTGTTTACAGACCGTCTCTCACAGAAGTGGGTGTTTGCTGAGGGACTCAGCGCAGTGCCGTGAGTAAGCACCATAAACAATCAACAAAACCTTGTTTGAGACACCAAGATGGAAGCTCATCTCTGCCCTGACTCATGTTTCTGGGGACCTCTTCTCTGAACCTAATTTTAAAACTGAGAAGACAAATCTTATTCCTGAATGGCTGAAAGAGCAACCAGGAGTGCATTTGGAAATTCACCTGCTAACATATTATAACATTAATACTATTTGTTCAAAAATTAAAAAAACAATTTCATTTCCTTCATGAGATGAAGACTAACATTTTTCATTTTCTTTGGTAAGAATTTCTAGAATGCTGCTTTATTAAATTTCATGGTTAGAAAGATTTACTGAGATAGAAAAGGTTTTTTTAAAAACTGTAAGATTAAAACAGCAAAGTTATTAACATACACACAGTTAAGCAGTACCAAAGAAAGCTGTTTGCACCAGAATATGTCACCTGATCCTAAGAATATTTAAATTAGCATTTTGGGATGCAAAAACACGGAAAACCCCTTCTCTTTGCCCCCAGTAGATAAATACTCCTGGCTCCTCATCTATACTGATCAAGTTCAGGTCAAAACGGAATGACGAATTATTGAGACCCCTAGATTTGCCCACTGTGACATCTCAATGCAAGAGTGAGATGAAAAATTAACCTTGGCTGGGATCTTTCCCTAAAGTAGCAATGGCAGGAAAAGCTTGAGTCAACCACCAGCTAGTCAGGCAGAAATTTCAAAGAGGTGGTGAGAAGAACTTGCTGGCTTCTTATTGGGTGGGCTTCCTCAACCAAATCCCCCTTTCAGCTATAGCATGCTCCTGGTTGTTAGTCTTACATGAGATCTTCCATGTCCTCCATTTAGACATAACTTACCCAGTTAGTTGCCATCAGCTCTGCACAGCTCACACTCCCACTTTCTCCATCACGGCAGTCACTTACAAGCTGAGTAGCTGAATAAACTTCACTTTTCTATGCACACAGTTAACCAGAAATTTTAAAAATTTAAGTTTAAACATAAGCACCCACAGTCTGATGTTTCTAAGTCTTTAGTTACATAGTTTCATACTCAGAGACCTCACCCCCACAAAGAGCATTTAATTAGAAAAATTCTTGGGTGTGATTCTATGCATTTCAGAGTAGCTATGTAATCACTGTGATTCCATGCTTTACCTTTTTCAGCCATCAGATTGATTTGAAATAGGTAATTCCATGAATTACAGTCAAAGTATTAATAAAAAGAGGACCAAAAAGTGTGTGTGTGGAGCGCCAAAACCCACATACACATACAAATTCCCAAAACAAGAAGTTGAACACTGAACCATCCTCAAAAGATGGCATCTTTTGCAGAAGTTACATTTAATCAAGGTCTTGGCATTTGTTTTATTATTTGCAAAAGATCTTTTTTTCTTTTACTAACATTTTGTAGGTACTACACATTATCCTTTATAGACACTAGCTTAAGTAATTCTGAAAAATGCCATATGAAGTAGGAACTACTAGTAAGTCCACCCTGAGATGAGAAAATGAAGGCTAAGAAGGTTAAGTTCTCGGTTACCAAGTTAGTTATGGAGGCAAAATTTGAACTCAGTTCCTCCCCAACGCCCAGGCTAATCACATCTCTTGCAGTGTTTCCCCAAGCATGGCCCATGCATCACCAGTCAAATGTGGGATTGTAAGATGCATGTGTATAAATACATTTTTATTTTAACAGTTATATATGTCTTTATTTTAATGTGGATTAGAAAAAATTGTCCAGCTAGCAGATCTTTCTTGGATCTTATTGCTTGGGACCTAGCTAATTTTGCATCAATTACATGCTTTGCAAGAGCTAGAAAAACAGTTAAGCTCTAATGCCATTTCTTCTAAGAAATAAGTGATTTGACTCACCAAGGAATGGAATCCATACTAGCTTCTATAGACTGCTTCCCAGCTGAATTAATCAGCCTGGATATTAAATGATCCCTAGCAGATGTCTAGAAACCAATGCTTTTAACTTCAAAGAAGAGTTTCTTCTGGTACCCTTCTCTTCTCCATCATTTAACTCCCTCATCTTTTCCCCTGCCCCCTACAATCATGTAGCCCTGGAAGATTACCTAAGCTAAGACAAAATGGTGAAGAGCAGAGATGTCTGGAAGGAAGCAGAGCTGCTCACTCATCCTTCTGTCCCCAAGATGGCTCATCACGGAACTCTCCCTAGGGTGGTCATAGCTGATCCCTGAGCAGGCGCCCCATTCAGATAATGGCCAGACATCAAAGCCCCAGCTGACACAGAAATCTCTGGAGGAAAAAGCCATCTTGGTGACATAGTATTTTTAGTTCATCCTTTTCTTTATTGTCAAAATGACTTACAAATAGCTCCAACTTTTGACCGTGGCTAGTCATGCCACCAGTTGGCTGACTTTGTGTTCAATATTTTACTTAAAAAAACCCTCAAACTTCTAGTTATACAAGTAACACATGAATTATTTCTCCTTGTAAAAACTTTAAATATTAAATGTTAGACTGCCACTGGAGCCACCAGGCCCCCTCCTCAGAGAGAACCAGTTTAGGGTTTTAACTCAGAATCAATTTAATGAATTTAGGGTGTTATCCTTTCAGACTGCTTTCTATGCATGGATGTATCTTTGAAAAATAAGCAGAATTGTTCTGTGGTGGCTTAGCTTAGCACACAAATGATATCATACTTAAATTTCTGTAACTCCATTTTTATTTTTTATTTTTCTAAGACAGGGTCTCACTCTGTCTCCCAGGCTAGAGTACAAGGGCATGATCTTGGCTCACTGCAACCTCTGCATCCTGGGCTCAAACGATCCCCCTGCCTCAGCTCCCAGGTAGCTGGGACTACAGGTATGTGCCACCATGCCTGGATGACTTTTGTAATTTTTTTTTTTTTATAGAGAAAGGGTTTCACCATGTGGCCCAGGCTGGTCTCAAACTCCTGGACTCAAGTGATCTACCTGCCTTGGCCTCCCAAAGTGCTAGGATCACAGGTGTGAGCCACCATGCCCAGCCCAAATTTCTGTAACTTGAAAAAAGAAATCTAACAGTATGCCTTGGCAATCTTTTCATCTTTCACCATCTTTCTTTCCTTTTCTTTTTCTTAATGCTGCGTTATATTCCATGTATTCCATAGTGTAGATGTTTTTTATATTGTAAAGTGAAAATATCATGCAATTTGACCTTTGGCTTTTCTATAATACTTTTTCTCAGAGAGCAATGATATATAAGAAGAAGATTCCCTTTACTTTCTGCCCCTTCTGATTTCTAGAAAACTGCCACTAATTTCAGGAAAAGTAATACATGAATGGCAATTTGAGGGAGGGATTGGCATTAGTTCTGTAATTCCCAGTGCAACGGCAGGTTAACAGGACATAAAATCAGGCAGAATTGTGACTCACAACTGTATGGCCTTGGACTCATTAAACATCCATGAATCTCAGACTCATCAATTGCAAAATGAAGAGAATAATATCTACCTTTCCAGGTCACTGGCAAGATTCTGTAAGAAAAGGAAATTAAGAACAAGCAGAGTACCTGGCACTTTAGTGCATGACAAATTATTTAAAGCTGCGTGGCAAAGTTCTGCTCGACAGTGCAGAATACAAATATGTTTCTATTATGTAGGATTTTCAGTTTATGCTCAAAAATTATTATTTCCCTTTGGAATATCTTGTTAGTATGGATACTGCACCCTGTGGATTTATAGGTAGGGAAATTGAGACAGAAAGATATGCTCAAGGTAAATCCATCATGGTGCCAGGATTAGCTTTTCTAAGAACTGTTAAGCTTCTTTTCTTATGACTTATTGTTAAACTAATAAACAGAATGCTTGAAATTGCTACCTGAAAACTAAGCATATTGTCTGGAATCTTGTCTGCCTCTGTTAATTTTCCTCAAATGACTATTTAGAAACAAATAAAAGATAGAAAATCTTTCAGGTAAAGAAGATAATATTTAATAAAATAAAACAAAATTAAAAGGAAAAGGAAAATAACACCAATACCAACTACTGCTGCCACCAGGATTCCAGCCAACAGGTAATTAAACAGGTTTTGCTTCAACCTTATAGCAGGGCTAAAAACAATCAGCCTGAAGGATTAGCAGGGTGGGAAGACTCTGGATCAATTTCCCAGGATTTCATGGAACAAGGATTACATGTGTGTACAAAAACACAGGGTGGTTTTGTGACAACCCCAATGTTTTCTGGGAGCCTTCACCAAGTCACTAAACATTACACATAGCAGATGGCCTCTTAAGATGTCCCCCATGATCCCTGCCTCCTGGTGTTCACATCCCTGTAGGGCCAGAATAGGCTGGCATACTGATTTTCTTCTAGCCATATAGAACATGGCAAGATGACAGGATGCACATGATTATGTATTATGATTACATTACATAAGATTGGGTTATGTACTCATATTTTGAGGCAACTCTTTCCATTGCTGGAATCAAAGAAGCAAGAGGCCATGTTGAAAGGCCCATGTGGCAAAGGGCTGAAAGTGGCCTCCTGGAGCTGAAGGTGGCCTCCAGCCAACAATAACAAGAAACTGAAGCCCTCAGTCCTTCAACCACAAGAAGCTGAATGCTGCCAACAGTCATGTAAGTTTGGAAACAGACCCTTCCCCAGTCAAACCTCAGATGAGACCATAACCCTGGCCAACGCCTTGATTGCAGCCTTGTCAGACCCTGAAGTAGTAGAAGGCCTAGCTAAGCAATGTTGAACTCCTGACCCACAAAAATTGCACCATAATAAATGTGTGTTGTTTTAAGACTAAGTTTGTAGTAATATTGTTACAGATAACTAATATATCACATTTTCTTCCATGTCTCCATCTGAACACAGGGGAGAAATCATATACAGCCTGGTCTCACCAGCAATGAGGGACTGAAAATCTATATTAGAATTGAGCCACATGGTCTATTTGGTGATACCTGAATTGAAATGAGTCCTACAGCATTATTCTAAAAACCAGTGCTATATTTTGTGTTTCTTTGTTGATTTTCCCTTTCCTTTCACAGTGAGAGAGAACAGTATACGTTTTAATATATGATGTTCCTTCATGAGCAAATTATCTCCCTGGGAGATTTCCCTGACTTCCTAATTGATTTACTAGTCAGCAGGCCCTAACTTCACTAAGCCATTCCTTCAGTCCTTGACCTTATTAAAATACCATTCCAATCAGATCATATCCTTCTTCCAAAACCTTCACTGCCTGGAGACTCAAAGCCAAACCCTGTAGGAAGGCCCCAGAGCCAGGTTTGTTGAATGAATAAAGAAATGAATAAAGGTGTCTGGTAGAACACAAACAGACCACACCGAAGTTGTGCTTGCATGTGGCAAAGACTGCATCTCATTCATTTTAATTTCCCCAGTGCCCAGCATAGTGTTTACTCTGTAGCAGCTGTCCCTAGACTTCCACTGTGATAATGAAACAAAAATGCAGCATCACTCGCTCTCTCGCTGCTTTAAGGATCTCTGTGTTACCCTTGTGTCCCTGAGTCTGGTAACCCATGCTATTGAAAATGAACCCAGACTTTCCAAGGTCATTAATCTGTTTGTTATAGAGTAATGTTTAACATGTAATCTCCTTAACAGTTCTAAAATTCCCATTTGGGTCCATAACAATTCCTTCTTCACTCCAACCTAAGGGAGCTTTATATATGTCTTTAATATTTTTTACTCTACTTCATGCCTCAAAGGAGCACAAGAACACAAACATGGTTGGCCAGAAATGTAGAAATTAGAAAATGGGGCAGGAGGAAATAGGTATTGAATTGGAACTCCAGATCATGGTCTTATAGCTCAGGGAGAGGTGTAGATCCTGAAAGTGGGCTTCAAGTGCAACGACAAGTAACAGGAATTAATCATTAGAGACGGTGAAAATGACTAGAGAACTTCCAGGACTGGGTGATAAAAAAACTTTTTTTAATAGATGTAGTGGGTACAAGTGCTGTTTTGTCACATGGATATATTGCATAGTGAAGTCTGGGCAAAAGGGGCACATTTGTATAAATTGCTGGGAATGGGCTCAAAGTATGTGTAAGCTGTTTGATTCACTGTATTTGCTGCTTTGAATGGGCTCCTGTACACCCAAAATTATATGGTAGTATTTTAGAACAGGACTTGTATGGACTAACTTCACAACTTTTTTCCCATATAATTACCCCTCCTCAGACCCAGCCATGGACCAAATTTGTCTCTAGTGATCCCAGGGTCTTGTGTCCTCTTCCTTTCCCTTCCTTTCCCTGTCAAAGCTCTAAAATGCTAAGAATCACCCACAAGGATAGACTGCTATTCAAAGTGCTCTCCTCCAAAGGTTGCATTTTAACCAGGAAAACATTAATAATTGCATTTTAACAAGGAAAACATCAATAGTTCTTACAGGATTTATTTACAAATTACTTTGACACAAACAATCTTACTTGATGCCCAGTGCCCAGCACTTAGTAGGCACTTAGTAGTATTTACTGAATGGATGGATGAAGAAACAGAGGCTCAGAGAGGTTTAAGTGACCTGCCTAAGGTCACAGTGAATTAGAGTCAGAATAGGGGGTGGAGGGGTTAGAACATAGGTTTTCTGACTCTACCTCCCAAGCTCCCTACATTTTCACCAAATCATAAACTACAGATAGAAAGATTCACAAGAAGAATTGTAACTCAGGGGTAATGTGGTCTTCCCAGCTCCTCATAATTCACTCCATGAAAGCAGTTTCTTCTGTCTTGGAGCCAATTCAACCAAATTGAGGCATAATTCTAAGACTCAAATTTGCAAATTCAAACCAAATTCAGCCTCATCTTATACCTTCAATTTGGTTTCCCAAGCATGTTTTTGGCCAACTGTGCTGTACGTTTAGTAAGATGCTTTCAAGGTGGAAGCAGCAAGCTGGAGGTGAGGAGGGAGCATTTTATCACCTCTTTCATCAAAGATTCTCTTGTTTTTCTGGCATTATTCGAAAATAGTGAACCCCCAACTTGTAAAAGTTGAGAAGTCTTTAAGAGCATTTATCCTTGATTTTATTTGTTATCTTATTTTAGTTTTGAGACAGAGTCTCAATCTTGTAGCCCAGGCTAGAGTGCAGTGGCGTGGTCTCGGCTCACTGCAACCTTCGTCTCCCAGGTTCAAGAGATTCTCCTGCCTCGGCCTCCCGAGTAACTAGGAACACAGGCATCCACCACCATGCCCAGCTAATTTTTGTATTTTTAGTAGAGACAGGGTTTTACCATGTTGGCCAGGCTGTTCTTGAACTCCTGACCTCAGGCAGTCCTCCCGCCTTGGCCTCCCAAAGTGCTGGGATTACAGGTGTGAGCCACCATGCCTGGCCTACCCTTGATTTTGTGAACAGTAGTCAGGCCCTGCTTACTCAGTGTAGAGTGCAGTGCTATGCACTGTGGTTAGGATGTGGGGGAAGGAAGGCACAGCTCCTGCCTTTGAGAAGCCAACACACAGAGATGGAGACATCACGACTACAATAAGCACCATGGACTCGGGAAATGTGCACTGGGGAGCAAAGAAAGGGTTGGGCTGAGTAGGAAATAGCTTTAAAGAGAGAAATGTTAATGTGACATTTAAGCTACCTTAGGGTTTTATCTGTGGATTAAATGATAGGGTGTCTGGAATTTGCTTTAAAAAAAAGTATGTGGATGAGGGAATAGGTAAAAGAATAATGGTAAACTATGATAACTGTTAGGACTGGGTGAGTGATAAAGGGACTTCACTATACTCATCTCTCGAATTTTGTGCTTGCTTGAAAATGTCTATAATAAACAAAAATAAAATATTTGGGGAATCAACTCTAGGCTATGCCACATGCTAGCTCTGTAGCTTTGGGCAATTCACTTAACTCCTCAGACCCTCGGTCTCCCCAACTGTACAATGGCTATAATACCCTCTCCCTTAGAGGGCTTTTTGGGACATGTAAATGGTAAAATAATAAAAATATAAGCAAAGGATCTGGTACTATTCCTGAAAAATGTAGGAGCTCAACAAAAGGTAATTTATTGTTGTTATCACATAATAAAAGTCATTTGGTAGGGGGTAGGGCTGCAGAGAACACAGTCTTACATATACACCGTTGAACAATGGCCACGCAACTCTCTCCCACTAAGACTTTATTTGTTTATTTATTTTGAGATGGAGTCTTGCTCTTGTTGTCCAGGCTAGAGCGCAATGGTGTGATCTCGGCTCACTGCAGCCTCTGCTTCCTGAGTTCCAAGCAATTCTCCTGCCTCAGCTTCCCGAGTAGCTGGGATTACAGGTGCCCACCACCACAGCTGGCTAATTTTTTGTATTTTTAGTAGAGACGGAGTATCACCATGTTGGCCAGGCTCGTCTCCAACTCCTGGCCTCAGGTGAGCCACCCCTCTTGGCCTCCCAAACTGCTGAGATTATAGGCGTGAGCCACCGCACCTGGCCCCACTGAGGCATGTTAATACACTTGATGTACCAGCGGCTTTTTAAAGAGGCTGAACTGAACACTAATTATTATCAGCAGGTATCCGCTCTTTATTTAGTAAAACCACTAAAAGAGCTTTATTTTTATCTTAATTTCAGTGAATCAAGCCTCACTCAGCTCCTGCTGACGTGAGAGCAGCCTTTTGTGAGGCTTCTTCATTCTGTATGTTCCTGGGGATTACAAAATAGCACCTAAGTGTCCTGTACCTACAGAATTAGAAGGTCTTTTACCAGGAACTTACATAATTCTTCTTTACAAGTGTGCATGAGAAGCTAAAATTCTGATTTATTTAAAATAAAAATTACATGTGTTTGATGAGGTTTTTTCCAGGTAAATATATATACAATCTGTACGTATATTGACACACAGCTTAGTGATAGTCTCTGGATTCATTTTAGCAATGTAAAGATACAGCTTTGATCCACTTTCTTCACCTCTTCCAGCTTCATATTTTTCATCAGTAAAAATGGGAACAGTGATAGTAGCAACTTCCCAGGGTTGTGGAAAGGATTAAAGGAGAAAATACACGCTAAGTCCACAGAGTAAAAGCTAAATGTTAGCTGCTTCCCTCCCACAATGCCTGTGTCCTGTTGCCTTAAAGATGCTGTTATGCCAACCCTAGTAGCCCAAAATAGATGGTCCCTCCTCATCTCTGAGTAAAAAAAAAAACAAGAAATTTAATCACCAGACAAAGAAAACACAGTTTTCTATTTCTAGATATCAATCTTAAAGTAGCACAAAGAGTGGAAAAGTGTCTCTGAAAACACATTTTCATCTAGGTTGGCTGTTTCTAGAATTTAGAGAACAATGCATTCTAAAAATACTGTGCCTGCATTCATCTTCCCTTGTTTTCCCGCTCCGAGGGCCACTTTATACTCCTGCCGGGATATGACAGCTGAAAGGGCCTTTTGGAAAACACGCCTTACCAAATGGAGTCCTCGGGCCTTAGATCTTATCAATTTTTGTTCAAGATCCAAAACTAAGTTGTTTTATGCATTTTCTGGGTTTTAAGTATTACCCTTCCCCCGCACCCACCACCCCCTCACCAGTAACACACAGCCCGAGCCTTATCAACACTGTTCCTAAGCCCTATTTGTTTCTTAATTGATGCTTTCCCACATCATCCATCACATGTAGGTACAAGGCACTGCAGTTCCTGGAATTTTTGAAAATATCAGCAGTCCCCATCTGATGAAATAGTTACATACCAGAATTTCTTTATAAACTTGGTTATTTGGGTCTGGACACGGTGGCTCATACCTGTAATCCCAGCACTTTGGGAGGCCAAGGCAGGGGGATCACTTGAGGTCAGGGTTTCGAGACCAGCCTGGCCAACATGGTGAAACCTTGTCTCTACTAAAAATACAAAAATTAGTTGGGCGTGGTGGCACATGCCTGTAGTCCCAGCTACTAGGGAGGCTGAGGCAGGAGAGTCACTTGAACCTGGGGTGCAGAGGTTGCAGTGAGCTGAGATAGCACCACTGTACTGCAGCCTGGGTGACAGAGTAAAACTCTTGTCTAAACAAAACAAAACAAAACAAAAGTTGGTTATTTGGAACCTGAAATGAAGTGGGGTCATTTTCCATAAGTAGGAAACAAAGCCCTCTAAGTTCTGTTTAACTCATGGTATAGTCAAAAAATAATTTACAAAATTGAATTGTGTATTCGTTTGACAACTATTTATATACCTGCCTGGCACTATGTGAGGCTCTTGGAGAGAAGCCAATTAAACATCCATTCCAGGCCTTCAAGGGGCTCACACTCTAGTTTCAATTTTTATCATCAGTCATTTTATGGAGCTTACTACATGCCAGGAGCCATGCTAAATACTTTAAAAATATTAACTAATCTAATCCTATCCTCATAACAACATTATGAGGTAGGCACTATTATTATCTCCAATATATGGATGAGGAAACTGAGGCACAGAAGAGGTCAAGTCACTTGATGAAGTCATGTAGCTAGTAAGTGGTAGAGTGAAGACTGAATCCCAGGCGGTCAGGCTCCTAGCTTTATCTCTTCACCGGTTTACCACCTTGTTTTTTGGTGGAGAATTCCCTCAGATTCCACCTGAGGGCCCTGGTTGTGTACTAAGGGTGGGTACATGTGTCCCCCATATCCTCACTTCCTCTGTGCCTGCAGGGACACCCTCCCTTCTCCCTACCCCATTTCTCCTCCATCCGTCTCAGCTCTAGTTAAGGACAAAAGGCTATTGAGTCCTCATGATCACCTTCCCACCTCCCTCCTAGCACTGTGGATTCAGCTTGAACCTCACCTCTCTCCTGCCCTCCTTCAATACCCGAATCATCCTCACCTGGACTATCTCTATCACCTCCTAATGGGCTTTTGTCTCTCCAGTCTTTCCTTCAATACTATTGTCTTAGTCTATTTTGTGTTGCTGTAACAGAATACCACAGGCTGGGTGGTTTGTAAAGAAAAGAAATTTATTTCTTACAGTTCCGTAGGCTGAAAGAGTTCAAGCAATTCACCCACCTCAGCCTCCCAAGTAGCTGGGACTACAGGTGCACACCACCATGCCCAGCTAATTTTTGTATTTTATGTAGAGAGGGGGTTTTACCATGTCGCCCAAGTTGGTCTTAATCTCCTGGGCTCAAGTGATCCACCCACCTCAGCCTCCCAAAGTGCTAATATTACAGGCATGAGCCACCATGCCTGGCCCTCTTTTCTTTAAAAACAATTTGTTTTTAAACTTGTAAGTAATATATAATCTCTGAAGAAAAATTAGAAGATACAGACAAAGCAAAAAGAAGAAAAAATTAAGTTACTCAGGGCATTCACAATGTTGCCCAGGCTGGTCTTGAACTCCCAGGCTCAAGTGATCCACCCACCTCAGCCTCCCAAAGGGCTGCAATTACAGGTACGAGTTACCATGCCTGGTCTTACGAACTTTACTTTTAACAAAGATTCAGTATTAATGTTATGCTAATGGGTCATATCATGTCTGGGTAAGAAAATGTCAGTGGTTACAGGTGGCATCCAGCCTTGTGGATTTGGCCCTTGGAGCCTCTGTTATCTGACCCTTACCCTGGAAGGGGTGGTCACCCCTGAGGACCTGTGAGTCTTCCTCATACATGACTCACTGTGCTTCCACCTTAGTATTTCCCAAACCTGGACCTTCCCTTGGGCAGGGAAAGCCTACTAGACAGCAGAGCTATGGGTCATTCCGGAAAAAATTCCCTAGTGTAGAAGTGAGAATCTTCCTCCTGAGCACCCTCTGTGATGAAGTCTCCAGGGCCCCATGGTGCCCTGCATGTTCGAACGTATTTTCATTTTCCTTCGTTTTCTTGATTTCTTAGATGATTTCATCTCACAGGAGGCAGAATCTGAGTAAGTGTTCTTTTGTAGTTTCTTTGAATTGAATCAGAGCCCAGAGATGTCAGAGACCAGATAAAAGGGGACTGCTGGACCTACCACACTGACCCTATTGCAGTACCAGTCCCCAGAAGGTACAGCCTGACACACTTACACACACATGCGTGTACACGTGCACACACACATCCAAAGACCAAAACTGCTGTTTTTTCAAATTCTCTAATGCGTCAGCAGAAAGCTACAGAGCTATGATCCTTTCTCCTTATCTCTACAGACCAAAATCATAGCTAGTTCTCTTTTGTTTCATGGGATTAAAGAAAAAAAAAACCTACCGAATTGTCACAAGTTGATTCACATGCTGTAAAAAAACCCAATTGTATAATATGCCATTCTTAATGGTCAACTTGGAGAAGAAAATGTGAAATATGCAGCTGATAATCTTTTCAGTTTCGGGCTGGGCTGGCTGATTCATCAAACCCTGATCTGACATGTCCCCTCTATCCTCTCAACCATTTCCTTGACTCACTAGAATTATTCCTTCCAAAAAGGAACCTTGTCTGCTCGATGGATGTATAGACCATGCATTGCATTTTAGAAACAGTAAAAGTAAGGGCTAAAAATAGCCAGAAAGTGCTTTAGTCAAGAATCTCTAGTTGAAATTCAGGGGCATTTGTGTTCAAGAAAACAAGACCTCCCAAGAACAGCAGATTTTTAAACTTTGAATTTGATCCAAAAATGGAAATCTATACATATGATGAACTGTGTTTCTTATTTCTTTCAATTCAGCACCCTCCTGTAGTACCTGAGCATGGGGTACAGAGGTAACAGAACAGAGGACATGCATTGTTAAAGAAAAATCTGGGGTGGTGACAAGCCAAAAGTCTACCAGCCAAAAGGTCGAGAGATTGTGTAGAAGGAAGCTCACATCTTCCACACTCAAAAATATAACTGAGCTACTTTGCTGCTCAACAGTTATTGCTCAATTTTTATTTATTATTTTTATTATTATTTTGAGATGGAGTTTAGCTCTTGTCCCCCAGCCTGGAGTGCAATGGCACCATCTCGGCTCACTGCAACCTCTGTCTCCTGGGTTCAAGCAATTCTCCTGCCTCAGCCTCCCAAGTAGCTGGGATTACAGGCATGTGCCACCACGCCTGGCTAATTTTTGTATTTTTAGTAGAGACGGGGTTTCACTGTATTGGCCAGGCTGGTCTCGAACTCCTGACCTGATGATCTGACTGCCTTAGTCTCCCAAAGTGCTGGGATTACAAGTGTGAGTCACCATGCCCGGCTCAATTTTTATTGTAGACTATGTTGCTCAATGTTAAGAACCAAAATTAATGAATGCTTTAAAATTTATAACACCTCTTCCACAAGCCATGGATGCTCATTCCTTCCCTTCCTTTGTTGAGTATTTGTGACGCACATACTACATGCCAAGAGTTATGCCAGGCTTTGCAGGCACTTACACGCCAAGTAAGAACATGGGCTCCTATGGAAGCCTTCGGAGGGGTCACCTCTGTTTGAGGGTCAGGGGAGGGCTCTCAGTAGAAGTTACATAGAAAGACAATTGGCCAGGCGTAGTGGCTCACGCCTGTAATCCCAGCATTTTGGGAGGCCGAGGAGGGTGGATCACGAGGTCAGGAGATTGAGACTGTCCTGGCTAACACGGTGAAACCCCGTCTCTACTAAAAATAGAAAAATCTAGCCGGGTGTGGTGGCAGGCGCCTGCAGTCCCAGCTACTGGGGAGGCTGAGGCAGGAGAATGGTGTGAACCCGAGAGGCAGAGCTTACAGTGAGCCGAGATGGCGCCACTGCACTCCAGCCTGGGTGACAGAGCGAGACTCCATCTAAAAAAACAAAACAAAAAAACAATTAGGCACAAAAAGGGTGAGGACAAAGGAAAGAAAAGAAAGATTCCAGGCAGAAAGACCAGAGGGTAGAAAGGACTATGTCAAGGAAGCCCAGATCTGTTTAGCTGGCATATGGAGAAGGAGCAGTGCAATGGAGAAAGACACAAGCATGCAGGGGCTGGGTCTCAAAGCCACGTTAAGGAGGAGTATTTATCCTCAGGCTTTCTCTGAAGGAAACAGGGAGAAGCAGCAAAGGATGTAAAGTGGTGAAGCGGGAACCCAACTTGTGTTTTAGGAAGATGCCTCGGGTTCAGTGTGGGGAATGGATTTGAGAGACAGAAAGGAGGCAGGCAGATCTCCAAGTTAGCAGCAGGAATGCAGGCCAAAGACTAAGCAGCCTCTGAAAGGTAGAGTCACTGGGCTGAAGAAAACTGGAGGACTCTGGAGATATTTAGAAGGCAGGCAGGTTGAGATTTGGTGGGAAACAAGGTAAAGGAAAGAGGCCATGATGCCACCCCAGCTTCTGGCTTTGGCAACAGATAGGTACTATTTGGGGGGATGCAAATACCTAGAGGGGTGGGGGGGTTGGGGGGCAGGTAGGAAAGGTAAGAAGTTTAGGGGAGAACTTCAAAAGCAGCTATCCCAAAGGCCTCTGTCAGGACCCTGAGGGACACCCCCAATTAAGGGATGGACACAAGAAGGGGTAACTGCAAAGGAATCCAAGATGGAGTGGTCAGAAATGTGAGCAGTAAACAGGAGAGTGTGCAGTCACAGAGAGAAAGTCAATCTTATGTAGCACATGGCAGAGGTCAGAGTGGAAAAAGTCACTAGATATGGCCATGGCAAGACCTGGTGGCCAAGGCAGTTGAGTCACTTATTCAACACAATAGTATGGAGTACAATAACAAGGTCAGAGGAGGGGAAAAGGAGGAATCCAGGCTGAGGTGGGTGGAGAGGAGGGAGAGAGGTGAGGGGCAGGAGGGAGGGGTGCCTGCAGTCACCAAAGGGTTTTTATTGAGATAGGAAAGACTGAAGGTTGTCAAGCACTATTTATTGTTGTTCCCATTTTTATCTGGAGGTCTTTTCTCAAGACCACATATCTAAAAAGTGGAAGAGCAGGAATTCAAATACACGTTTGCTAACTCTTTTCAAAACACTCATTTGGCAGCAATAAATGGCCTTTACTGATGCAAAAACAAGTAGTCTGGGCTGGGCGTGGTGGTTCCTGCCTGTAATCCTAGCACTTTGGAAGGTTGAGGCAGGCAGATCACTTGAGGTCAGGAGTTCAAGACCAGCCTGGCCAACATGGTAAAACCCCTCTCTACTAAAAATACAAAAATTAGCTGGGCGTGGTGGCATGTGCCTGTAATCCCAGCTATTCGGGAGGCTGAGGCAGGAGAATCGCTTGAACCTGGGGGGCAGAGGTTGCAATGAGCCGAGATTACGCCACTGCACTCCAGCCTGGGCAAGAGTGAGACTGTCTCAAAAAAAAAAAAAAAAGTACTCTGGGCTGCCTGTCTTCCCTCCTTCTCCACTCTCCTACCCCCTGTAAATGACTGCTACATACAACTACGACACTAAAGTGGAAGGAAAAACTGTCATGCTGAACCACAGCTCTCCCAAATTTGTGACATAGATGTACAGATGATGATGACACAGTTACCGTCAGAAAAGGCATTCCAAATACTTACGCTTAACCCTAAAATGAAAGGAAATTTAACTTCTAAAACAATATCCCAGAAAAGACAAGTGTCATTTTTCAATTCCACTACTTGGCTCAAAGGGCTTCTTTTCTTTTCCTGGTTGTGACATTTCATTGTTTTACTCTCAAAGGAGCAGAGAGCCTGCAGACCAGCAGGGGGCCCTGCCGCAGAGGAGGAAGATGTGGGGCCAGGGGCCTGGCCAGTGGTGGACGAGATGTCTGGTAGGGGTCTGGACAATCTGAGTCCATAACCAGTCAGTCCTGGGGGGTGTCGCCATCAGAAGATACCAAGCCACATAAAATACACGTAACTCGGGGATAAAAAGGAAGCGGAGGGATAATAAGAGGAACAGGATAAAGAGAAAGAAAATAAGAAAATGATCTATGTCTAGTATCTGTCTATAAGGACAGTGAGTCAACATTTTTGGAAATCCAGGCTCTTTCTCTAGCCTTTTACTCCAGAGCTTTCAAGGGCTGACATGGGATGGAAGGATTCTTATGTCATCAAGTCTAATACTGCAATTTTACTTGTCTATTTATTGCTTATAAACTGACACTGTCTTTCATTTATGTTTTATTACACCGGTAATTCATGAATACAGATCCTCTTTACAGATATGGCTTGATTCTCCTTGGGTCCCCCTCCCCCTTCCCCACCACCCACCATGTCCCAACCCCTCTCCCTGACCTCTGTCTCTGGGGCCCTCCCTCCTCTGCTACAGCCCTTCTACAGCCCTTCATTTGCTTATACCTCTTGTTTTAGAATTTTCCTAAAGTGAGCCAAATTCTTTTCCATCTTGAGAGGTTTTTTGTTTTTTTTTTTTAACTTCATAGCATCCATCAAGATAGTGGCTGACACTTCTGCTGTAATAAAACTGGAATTAAAAAAAAAAAAATCTAGAGGCTTTCCAGAGCTTGCTTAGAGGCTTTGCTCTGCCTCCCAAGATGAACCAACTTACTCTTCATAATCTAAGTAAGGTCTAAGCAATGTTATTTCTTTGAAAATTTACATTAGAGCTTTTCCAAATCCCTGGCACACACTCTCCATTTAAAACTAACTATGGAGACCAAAGCCTGTTATATAAGCATCCAAGTCTGCAGCCATGGGCCATATTTCTTCAGCTGCCAGATCACATGACTGATAACAAAGCCAAGATAAAGGCAATAATTTTTTAAAATTTTTTTCTAGAAGAAAAAAAGCCCTACATATTTGAAAAAATAAAAAGATTAGGATCATTCCCATCAGAAGCTATTCTAAGTGGTTATTCCTCAAAATTAAAACAAAAATAAATTTGATTTTAAAACAAGCCACATCTACAGTGGCCACGGTGGGTTGCCTTCCTAACGTTGATTTCCCTTTCTCCCTCTTTAAGGAACTCCTATTTTCCGCAACTATTCACCCCGTTCATCCCCAAGGCAGAGTCTGAGTCAATCTTCATGGCATTCCTCCTGGGACTATTATTGACCCAGGGACAAGCATGTGACCTAATGTACCCAATCACACTAAAGGGAAGAACTTATTTGCTGGAAAAGGGAAACATATCAACCCAGTGGCTACTGGCAGCCATCTTGCAACCATGAGGGACACCAGCCTGAAGAGCACAAAGAGTTTAAGGAGATGGAAAGGACTTGTGTGTTTGGTGATAGTTTAGTAATTGAGTCAGTCAATCAGGGATTGACCTAACTCTGTACTTTTTATTCTGTGACATACAAAGCATCTCTATCTAAGGCTCTGTGAGTCAGGATTCCTGTTGCTTTCTCCAAACGGCTATAACACCAAAGAAGCGGGGAGATGGGGGAATCTGGTGCCATTTCCTTTTCCTTTTCTCTAAAAAGTTTCTTTGCTCTTTGGTTCTTTTTTAGGAAACAGCCTCTTACTATGTTGCCCAGGCTGGAGTGCAGTGGCTATTCACAGGCACAATCGTAGCACACTACAGCCTCAAACTCCTGGGTTCAAGCTATGCCCAGTTATGCTTTAGCCTTTGCATAGCTGGGACTATAGATGCAAGCCACTGCATCCAGTTCTGGCACCATTTTTCTGACCTACAAATTACATTTTGAAAGTTTCTTGGTTTAGCAGCTCATGCCTGTAATCGTAGCACTTTGGGAGGCTGAGGTGGCAGACTGCTTGAGCCCAGGAGTTTAAGACTAGCCTAGGCAACATGGTGGAACCCCATCTCTATAAAAAAATACAAAAATTAGCCAGGCATGGTGGTGCATGTCTGTAGTCCCGGCTACTCAGGAGGCTGAGGCAGGAGGATCGCTTGAGCCTGGGAGGTGGAGGCTGCAGTGAGCCATGTTTGCACCACTGCACTCCAGCCTGGGAAACAGAGCAAGACCCTGTCTCAAAAAAAAAAAAAAAAAAAAAAAGGCTTCTTCTTTCCTTCACTGTAATGGTTGCACTATCCATTCACTGTATCCACATGCATTTTTATAGCTGAGTACATTTTTCCAGGTTTTGTAGGAATTTTAATGGGTTTAAGCCTAGTAATTAAATATATATTAACTGGCTGCTACCACAGAAAGTTCAAGAGAAGCAAACTCAGCTCTGAGGATACTGAGCCCCTACCAGTGCCTGCCAAGATGCTAGAGATTATAACAATTGACAATGGCAGTCCCTGTCTGTGCTTGTGGGTTTACCTTCTGGTGAGGGGAGGAAGACAGTCAACAAGAACAACAGATGGTTTAGATAGTAACAACAGCACAGAAAGCACTTGCGGGGAGGGCAAGGCCTGCTTTAAATTGAGTTACCAGGAATGGCCTTTGCAAGGAGGTGACATTGAAAGCTGAGATCAGAACAAGGTGGGAGTCATATCTGGGGGAATAAGAAAGGAAAGAATAAACCTTGAATGTTTCAGTAGCATCAATAAATTCTGGTTTATTAGAAGGTGCCAAGAGATGGAGAGGGTGGAGGGAAATGAGGTTGGCAGGTGGGCAGGAGCCTAGACATTTGGGCCCTATAGGCCAAGGAAAGTGGATCTACATTTTATTTTAAGTCAGGGATTCTTACTTGTTTCTGTGTTATATACTTCCTAGGCAGCCTGCTGAACCCTATGGACCTCTGCTTGCAAAATGTTTTTAAATGGCGAAGACAAAAACAAAAAAATGTAGGATTATGAAAGACCAAGGATGGGACTGTGGGGGCAGGGAGATTATGGGAGTGATTTATCCCGCCAGGGAAGAGTATTTTTATCATGGACATTGTTTAGAGTTACCAGCTTATAGTGATCATAGAAGAATAGACTTTAAGTTGACTGTATTATTGTTTTGTTTTGTTTTTGAGACGGATGGAGTGTAGCGGTGTGATCTCGGCTCACTGCAAGCTCTGCCTCCCGGGTTCACGCCAATCTCCTGCCTCAGCCTCCCGAGTAGCTGGGACTACAGGCGCCCACCACCAGGCTCGGCTAATTTTTTGTATTTTTTTAGTAGAGACAGGGTTTCACCGTGTTAGCCAGGATGGTCTCGATCTCCTGACCTCGTGATCCGCCTACCTCGGCCTCCCAAAGTGCTGGGATCACAGGCAGGAGCCACCGTGCTCAGCCTGTATTATTGTTTTTAAATAATAAAAGCACACCACCTTGTTGCCTAAATCCAGGGCAGACTGAGCCCACATCCCTCTTGCCACCCCCTTGGTACACCTTTTTTTTTTTTGAGACAGGGTCTCACTCTGTCACCCAGGCTGGAGTGCAGTGGAGCAGAGATCTCGGCTCCCTGCAACTTTCACCTCCCAGGCTAAAGCGATTCTCCCATCTCAGCCTCCCGAGTAGCTGGGACTACAGGCACAAACCACCACACCAGGCTAATTTTTTTTTTTTTTTTTAAGTTAGAGACAGGTTTTGCCATGTTGGCCAGGCTGGTCTCGAACTCCTGACCTCAAGGGATCTGCCCACCTCGGTCTCCCAAAGTGCTGGGGTTACAGGCATGAGCCACTACACCCAGCCCCGTTGGTACACTTCTGATTAAGAAAACTCATTACATTGAGCTGGGCATGATGGTTCACACACCTGTAATCCCAGCATTTTGGGAGGCTGAGGTGGGTGGATTGCCTGAGCTCAGGAGTTCCAGACCAGCCTGGGTAACATGGCGAAACCCTGTCTCTATTAAAAATACAAAAATTAGCCAGTCTCATAACCTGGTCTCAAGAGAGATAGATAGATAGATAGATAGATAGATCGATAGATAGATAAAAATTAATATAAACAAACAATTTAATTAAAAATAAAATATAATTTGCAACATAAAAATCTAATTTATTAAATAACTTCTTTGTTCATATTTATTTTTTATTTTTATTTTTTAGAGACAGAGTCTCACTCTGTCACCCAGGATGGAGTGTAGTGGTACGATCATGGCTCACTGCAGCCTCAAATTCCTGGGCTCACGTGATCCTCCTGCCTTAGCTTCCTGAGTAGTGTGCTGAGACTACAGGTGTGTGCAACCATGGCCAGCTGATTTTATAATTTTTTTGTAGAGATGGGGTCTTACTATGTTGCCCAGGCTGGTCTCTAGCTCCTGGCCTCAAGCAGTCCTTCCACCTCAGCCTCCCAAAGTGTGAGCCACTGTGTCTAGCCTGTTTAAATAACAGATATGGTGGCAGATCTAACCACTACTGTCATTTTACAATCAAATGGGCATACAAAATATTCTGAGATATATGTAACCAGTATAATGTGAAGAGAAAATCACAGTGGGTTCTTTTGGTGACAAAGTCACAAGTAACTGCTGATATTGCTGTGGTTTTTTGTCCTCATTTATAGAAAGGAAATGTAAATTTCAGTTGGAGGTTAGTGAAAATACAGATGTAATTTTTTTTCCAATCCAAGTTTAGAGACCCCATGGAAGCCCCTGGAAGTTACTGGAGAGTTTGACTAAGGAGTGTAATCTGATTTATGTTTCTAAAAAGATCTGCCTAATGGTTGGTGGGGGATGACGTGATTAATACGTGCCAAGTTCATTTCGTGCTCAGAAGCTGGCAATGGTCAGCTGTAAGGAAGAGCGATACCAGGGCTTCTCTTGAATCATGGCTACTAAAGAACAAAGAAGATCTGCCTTTATGAGTGGTCTCTAGGCCCACAATGAAAAGGCAATGCGGCAGAAATAAAGCACCTCCAGCCCCCTGCTGCAGGGAAAGGAGAGGAGATTCATGGCTAGGAGAGGCCCCTGTGCAAATCTGCAAAGTCTTGGAGAAAAGAAACCATGTCGGCTTTAGCTTCCTGTAAGACAAGTGTGATGATAAGCACCTCTCAGGCTTGTTATGTAGGCAGAGGGGCTGCTGCAGTATGAAGCGCCTGTCACCAGTGAGTGGTGGTCAGTGCCAGGGTGGTATCTTCCCTTTTGGTGCCTTCTGCCTGGGACTTTGGCCATCAACTTCAGACTGGGGTGGGACATGGAGGAGTCTTAGGGGCCATCTAACTTTGAAGAAGTCAAAGGATGGCCTTAGATTGTCTAGAAAGCTTGGGGCTGGAAGGAACTGGAACCTAATCTATCATCTAGGTTTGGTAGAAAACCAACACAAGCTCCTCAAATGCTCAAAATTTAAAACCTAGATTGCCCAGGTGAAAGCATGCAAAAGAAACAGTCTTCCTAGCAGGAAAAGCAAGGAAATTTGAGCCCAATGGAGGCTTGGGGGCAGTGGCTAAAGCAGAGGCTTCAAAGTTCCCTGAGCCCGGGATTTTCTCTCTTGATACATTTACAGAAGGGGCTATGGATCTCCCACTTCTTAAATGGAACCTGAGTATAAAATGTACAAGGGCCTGGGGACTGAGGGCTGGGGTCGGAAAGGCCTGGATCTGCTGGGCCCTCAGGAGGCTGTTCAGGGCCTTGCAGGGAGCAAAGAGTAGAGTCTGCCACTGCCAAATCCCAAAGATCCTGCCGGAAGCATCCCCTCTTCCCACAAAGCTATAGAATGTACCTCAGACTCTTCCTCCTTTCTCTCTTCTAAAAGTGAATGAAGCCTTCTAACCTGTTGGTTTTTTTTTTTTTTTTTAACTCTCTCTCTACCAAATGTCTTCAATCTAATAAGCAGCAGCTCTGCTTCCACTGGTCTATAACCTATAATAGTTCCCAAATGATCCCTAAAACCTATACACAGCAACAGGATGCACTAAAATAATGGGGTTATCTCTGGCCAATCTGCTACAAAGGCAAAAACATAGATGCTAATCCACAGCTTAAAATGAAGGAGCAAATGAAAGAGTAAGCCCCTGACCCTCCCCACCCACCCACCTTTTGGGACTTTAAAAGGAATGGTATGGAGGTAAAGGCAGGGTGAGGGGAGTGGGAGGGGGAGCAGGGTCAGACTGCCCTTCTGTAAGTGTGAGAGATGCAACAAAAACCTTGCAGATGACCTCAGAACCAACCAAGAACCTCCCTACTCCACAAATCCCCCTACTCCAATGCCTACTGGTTCAGCAGAACCCAGGTCTGTCGAACAGCCAACACCAAAACATTTTTTAAAAGGGTGGGGAAATACTCTTTCCCTGAATCCCTGCTCTTGTTCCAATGGCTAAACAAAAAGCTTTTATCAGGATTATTTCACTGGGCGACATGGCACAAAGAAAGCAGTCCATTTGCAGTCTGAAGGTCAACAGGGCTGCTCTTGTTTCAATTTGTTGCTCCTCTATGAGGCCAAGGCTGAATCTGGGCCCCCCTCCGCCTGGGAACCCCCATGCCAATGTGCATTCCCTTAAAGTCTCACACAGGACGAGGCTGCTGCAGGCGGCTGACTGAGACTGACCAGCAAATTACACCTCTTGCCTTCCCCTTGACCCTGCCATTAGATTTTTTATTTTTTTAAGGTCAATGAAAATGCTATCAACACTCCTCCATTGGAAAATGTTTGTGGTTGCAGCTGAGCATGCCTGTTACAACTGCTGACAAAGGATTCCCAACTTATAGGACGCAAGAGTCAAATGCACCCCCTTAGCAAACCTCCCCTAGCTTTTTCCACTTCATTTAGGCTGTGTACCCTGGGCTGATTCATTAGAATTCTTACATTCACTCCTACTCATTTGAAGAGTTTGGTTTTGTTTTTCTAGTGACTCACATCTGGTGTGCTTTAAAAAGGCAACCTAATTAAAGACCGGTCTTGTTTGCCATAAATGAAATGTTAAGTGTATACAGTGGTGCCCCCTAACCATGTCTTCTAACATCCAAGGAGTTAGAAAGAAGGACTTGAAGAAAGATGGTTGTGTAAGCAAACTCAGATACTGATCTCCTATTATTAAACCAACACATTTACCTTTTTCTTTTTTTTTTTTGAGACAGAGTCTCACTCTGTTGCCCAGGCTGGAGTGCAGTGGCGCGATCTCGGCACACTATAACCTCCGCCTCCCATGTTGAAGCAGTTCTCATGCCTCAGCCTTCCGAGTAGCTGGGATTCAGGTGTGTGCCACCACACCCAGCTAATTTTTTTTTTTTTTGAGACATTGTCTCACTGTGTCGCCCAGGCTGGAGTGCAGTGGTGCAATCTTGGCTCACTGCAACCTCTAAATCCCAGGTTCAAGCGATCCTCTCACCTCAGCCTCCGGAGGAGCTGGGATTACAGGTGTGTGCCACCATGCCCGGCTAATTTTCATATTTTTACTAGAGATGGGGTTTTGCCATGTTGGCCAGGCTGGTCTTGAACTCATGACCTCAAGCAATCCACCCGCCTTGGCCTCCCAAAGCACTGGGATTATAGGTGTGAGCCACCACACCTGGCCATTTTTGTATTTTTTAGTAGAGACAGGGTTTCACCATGTTGGCCAGGCTGGTCTTGAACTCCTGGCCTCAAGTGACCCACCTGCCTCAGCCTCCCAAAGTGCTGGGATTACAGGTGTGAGCCACCACACCCGGCCCACATTTACCTTTTAATCCTCTGCCTGAAAAACCGATAGCACTCAAAACATCATGAACCTAGGGAATTTGGCACTGGAAAGGACACAATTCATCTATATTATTTTATATTTGTGGAAACTGAGACCCAGAGAGGTGAAGCAATACATACAAGGTCTGATAGCTATACAATGACAGAAGGTAAAATAAAACCCACATCTTCTAACGCATGCCAAGAAGGGAAACATTTACTAAGTGCCCACTCAAGACCAGGCAGTAAAGATACATAGCCATATATGTCTCTCAAACTTGTCTGCCCTACAGACAGCTAAGCCAGGACACCACCATCTCTCATCAGAAAACTAAGGCAGCTTTCTACTCATCATCCACATCTACCCTTGGTTTCATAATCAACCAGAGGAATGAAAGCATAAATGACACCCCTGCCTAACACATCCCCTTCCTAGTGACTCCATACTGTTCTTAGTATAAAGATGCAAATCTTGGGCATAGCCTTTGAAGCTATGTGTGGTCTGGTTCCTGTCAACTACTCCAGTCTCACCATCTACCACCTACCAGCTGCATTTGCCTTCAAAGCAGCATGTTCCATCCTGCCACAGGGCCCTTGCACATGCTGTTCCCAAGGTCACAGCTCTTTCACTCTCCTCTTTAACCTGGTTAACACCTTACCTTCTTTCAGCTTTCACTTCCCCAGAAAAGGCTTCCTTGGCCTTTCATGACTAGGTCAAGCTCCCTGGTTAAATGCCCTAACAGCAACATGTCTCTCTTTTCTTCAAAGCTTTTGTTTTCATTTGTTATTATATTCTTGTTACGGTGATTATTAACATCTGCCTCCATAATTGGACTGTAAGTCACCAGCACCTTGCCTGGTTTGCTCACCATGTTATTCTCTTACCACCAACCAACACAGCGTGACTATAGGAGATGCTCAGTCAATGTGAATATCAATGAAAGAATGAGGAAAGAATAAAAGAATACATGTAAGGTCCTCAAGGACCTTACAGTTTAGAATGATCTTCCAAGTCACCTGTAAATCAGGAAGCTATGCAATGATCAATGCCACTTAACATAGACCTTCCTCAGAGAGTGTCTTGATAGCCCCCTCTTCAGTTATTATATTACATATAATAAAATTTCAAAGTTTACTCAGCAAATGTCACCCTTTTGTCAAGAACATGAGACCTTCAGTCAAACATAAGCCCCCAAACTAAACAAAGCCTCCAAGGTCCCAAAGGCAATTTTGTTCTTTACTGTGGTATACTGGGAGCCCATTAATCATTCCCTTTATTATATAAAACACAGCAATAACCCTCCCTTCATACCATCCCTATTTCCAGACACATTCTTCATGAGTTGCCAGAAGCTGGTTCATTTCTCATTTCAGACACTCCTCCACTTCCCTGTGGGGATGGCGAGCACATGGCAGGCCTATTTCCACAACCTGACAATAATTTAAATGAAGTCGCAGCCTCAATTTCTGGTTGTATTACAGAGAGGGAACATCATCAAGGCACATAACAAAACTTAAACAGCAACCTAGAAGAGAACATGCTACCACAGCGCACAGATTGGTTAGAAAGGAGAATGATTCCGCTACGGCAAACAGAGCAGAGCAAAACACAGCAAGTTGTCAACAGCTATGAGAAATGCACATCAGAAACGTGCTTATGATGAAACCTTCTTTTCTATGTGAAGGCAAAACCACATGAAATATCAAATGTAAAGGAAGATAATTTATAATTTTTTAAAGCCAATGTTTTTCAGTTACACATAATATTCAAATTTGTGAAAACTCACTGTATCCAAACCATGTTAAAAAATATGTTTTTAAAAGGTTTTTCTCTCCTCTATGGAAGTTAGTAAATTACTGTGCCTTTAATGACATTTAGGCATGTGGCTAGTGAGGTGTGATCTGTGAGCTTGGACATTGTTATGAACAGAATATTTGTGTCCCTCTGAAATTCATATGTTGAAATTCTACCCTTAATGTAATGGTATTGGGAGGTGGGGCTCTTGGGAAGTGTGTAGGTAATGAGAGCAGCACACTCTACAACCCAGAAGAGGACCCTCACCAGAACTGGAATCCTAATCTCACACTCCTAGCCTTCAAAACTGTGAGAAATCAATTTCTGTTGTTTATAACCCACCCAGGCTATGGTATTTTGTTATAGCAGCCCAAAGAAAGACAGACATCCTATTCAAAATGCAATCACCTCTGTTAGCCGTAGGTGAATCATTTGCCTTTTGGGTTATCTGCAAATGAAAAAAAAAAAATGAAATAAATTAGCCAAGTGTGGTGGCCTGCACCTGTGGTCCCAGCTACTCAGAAGGCTGAGGCAGGAGGATTGCTTGAGCCCAGAAGGTCAAGGCTGAGGTGAGCTGTGATCATGCCATTGTACTCCAGCCTGTGTGGCAGAGTGAGATCCTGTCTCAAAACACAAAACAAAACAAAACAAACCCCACCTTTCTTTATTAGCATGATTAAGCTGAGTAGATCATCAGGTCCATTTTCAGGTCCATTCAGCACCTCCTGTTTAGTTTTTCCCTGTCTTGGAAGCTTATAATCAATAAAAGGTATTTTCAACCAAAACCTTATTTACCTTTTCCGAGTAAAACAAGCTAAACACACAGGGTAAAAGGGAGACTAAAGATGGTGGGTTAGTATGACCGGTGCCCTGCGTCATGTTCCTAGGGGAGGCTGCTCCACTCACCCTGGACAGAAAGCAGGGAAGCATTCCACCTTGTCCAGCAGGGAGAACCTGGCACATTCCTACCTCCAACAATGCTGGGTCTCCTCAAAGTGGCTCCTGTATTTTTTTCACAATATTGAGAATGCTCAAGCGGCAAGGCTTACTCATATTTCAATGTAACAGCTAGAACATATTCTGAGTGAGATATAAAAGATGTACTGGTACTCTGTCATTTCTATATCATCTAGAATATACTCCTTTCCACAAGTTTGGATAAACAAGCAATGTATGTTGATTGATAACTCCTTACAAGCATCTTTCATTCTGTAACCACATGGTGGGCACCAGGCATAGTGTTGTGCACTCAATAAACACCCGTTAAGTGGAAAGGAATTGAGACTGCAACAGTGGGATGTTTTTCATTTTAATAGAAAATTTCCATTCCTACCACTATCCTGAGAGATCTTTCCATACCAACTGAGTTAAGTGTAGCACTGGTGTTAACAATTCCACATCCATATGAAATCATGTGTATATTTCACATTCCTTCTATCCTCTTGTCTTTAGCCTGACTTATTTATTAGCTCATAAAAGCCTGGTATTATTTTTACCTATCTTGCTTTGTATATCACAAGGTCTCTTCAGGTAGACCTTGATTTTCCTTTTGTTGTACTGGTTTTCTTTAAAAATGAGGGAAGGCAAATATGTATGTAGAGGAAGACATGTTCTTAAAATGTTGCCAAGATAAATCCAGTTCATGTTTACAGTAACCTTCCAAAGACAGCATGTAACATATGAACAACCAAGTAGCCACTCAATCATTTATCCAACAAATGTTTATCGGACACACAATGCCAGACACTGCCCCAGATGTTGATAATATGGCAAAAACAACAAAATAAAAATTATATTCTACTGTGAAGAGACAAATATAATAAATTTAAAAAATACATAATGTGGCAGGTGATGATAAAGGCTATGAAGAAAAAATAAAGTCAGATAAGAAGAGAGGGGAGTGCCGAGGAGTTAAAATGCTATTTATTTATTTATTTATTTATTTATTTTTTTGAGACAAGGTCTTGCTCTGTCACCCAAGCTGGAGTACAGTGGAGAAATCATGGCTCACTGCAGCCTTAACCTCCTGGGCTCAAGCAGTCCTCCTGCTTCAGCCTCCCAAGTAGCCAGGACCACAGGCACACCACCATGCCTGGATAATTTTTATATTTTTCATAGAGACAGGGTTTCGTCGTGTTGCCCAGGTTGGTCTCGAGCTCCTGAGCTCAAGCAATCCTCCCGCCTCAGCCTCCCAAAGTGCTGGAATTACAAGTGTAAGCTACCGCGCCTGGCCTGGAAATGCTATTTCACATAGTGGGACAGAGGAAGTCTAAGAATATTTGAGCAGAGAACTGAAGGAAAATGAGGAAGACCAGGTTGGAGGCCCTAGACATCCAGCCACTGTGGAAATGAAGAGGGCATGACCATCTGGAGGAAGTGATAATGGTGTGATTCTGGCTCTATTTATCAAACCATCACACTCTTGATCACATCTGCTTGGATATGAATCAAACTTTACAGAATAAAATCAATAGCAAAGGCATTTTGTTAAATACTTCTACTAATAACAATGTACAGAAGTGGCTCATTTCAAACAACCTCGTTCTCCCTAAAATGGAACAGTACCCCACAACCACTCTACATGAACAAAATGAAAGGTCCTCTCTAGATGTAAAAAACCCTAGTGATGTTTCTTTGAAACTCAATGCTTCTAGAGCCTAATGCCTAACTGTAAGGAGAGCACAGATGCAAAGCCCACCACAAAGTATAATTTCTCAAGGTTGGCTTTTACATAAAATAAAGTGAAGCACCTTCCCGACTGAACCTTTGAGTTAACCAGCTAAAAGCAAATAAGTTAATTTCAAGGATATTCTTTTTTTGTTTGTTTTTTTTTTTTTTCGAGACAGAGTCTCGCTCTGTCACCCAGGCTGGAGTGCAGTGTGGTGCGATCTTGGCTCACTGCAGCCTCCACCCACCCTGGGTTCAAGCAAGTCTCCTGCCTCATCCTCCCAAGTAGCTGGGAGTACAGGCGTGTGCCACCACATCCGGCTAATTTTTATATTTTTAGTACAGACGGGGTTTCACCATGTTGGCCAGGCTGGTCTCGAACTCCTGGCCTCAGGTGATCTGCCTGCCTCAGCCTCCAAAAGTGCTGGGATTACAGGCATGAGCCACTGCGCCCAGCCAGTTTCAAGGATATTCTAAGAGAGAAAAATATTACCAGAAAAGAATCCATAGTAAAATTTCTTTCAAAACCAACCAAGAGTCAGAATTGATCCTTTGGAAAAAGGAGAAAAACAACCATGGGTACAGCTTAGATGCGCCTTCTCTGTGCTTGGTTAACTTGTTTCAGAAGCAAGAGTGCAACCCCCACTTGTCTGCAGATGAATGAGTCTTAAGTTTAGCTTCTTTCAGTGGCCCGTGTATGATGTATGGCAGAGCTCAGTAAATGCCAGTTGATTGAATTAGTGGACGCGCTGAGTGAATGCACTAAAGAATGAACAAATTAACTCATTAATTCTAAAACAATATTTTCTTCAATGGAATTTATATAGAGCTGACCAGCAAAATCGTCCCTTTCCTCTGCCAAATAAAGACAAAGAAGCTCTTTAGATTTATTGATTTTAGTGCTGAGTAGAGGATTCCTGTTTTGGAAATTGATATTTTGAGGTACGTGAGGAGTTAAAAAAAAAAAAGTTCCATTTACAGTATTATAAGGGGAAAAGGTCAGTCTGTTGGGAATAAACCCATTCAGGTTTCCCTGCAGGATTGCTAAGGAGTTAATCCAAACCTGGCATTGTGACCACTGAAGATAAGCCCGTGATTTCGTTTCAAATGTTTCACCTTCAATATCAGTCATGAATGTTATGCTTATAGAGAAACCACCTGCTCATACTGAGTCAGCTCTCTCCGTAAAATGATCAGCACATCGCAGGGTAAGTTAAACAGCAGGGTAGAGGAAGACACACAAACCACGAGAATTCTCCTGGTCACTTCATTCTTTTAACATTTCTCTGAAGTTACCCAAGAATTTCAGTGTCCGTCAAGTAATGTAAAATTCTATGCATGGTAAGATCAAGGGCAAAAGTCAACATATCTCCTTCTCTTCACAGAGAACAGGTATCAGACACAATTGAGAAAAGTAAGAAAAACAGACAAACAGCTTCTGCAATTGAAACCAGGAATATATAACCAGATCAAAGATGAGGCTTGATATAATTACATAAATCATTTAGGGGTAAACTCAATTAGCTGGGCATGGAAGCCCAGATGAAACTTCCTAACCAGTATTATTTACATAATTTTCAGGTGGACAGACCCAGGCTCCAGCCTGGAAAAAAAATCAGAAACAAAAGTATTACTTTCTAGTGACTTCTTACAGCAAAAATCTCAGTCAAAATAGTATTAATGATAAACTGAATACATTTTAAGGCAGTTGAAAGGTAAAACTTGTCAATATAACATTCTTTAAATTCACAACTACAATTTATATATATATATATTTTAAATTATGCATGACATAGAAGGAATATACTTCTGGATATATAAGTTTAAGAGTTACAAACACTGTTATTTAAATGAAGTGTACCTTACTACTTGCTCTGGGGTGTAGAGATAGTCATTGTTTGTTATTGGGAAGTATTGGACACAACAAAAATGTTTCTCAGTGGAGAACTGCATTAAAAATAAACTATACCCATCTGTTTTATGCAATAATAAGCAGCAGTTTAAAAGAATAAGATACAGCTTACACTAAATTAATGGATAAACAAACTGTGGTACATCTATACAATAAAATATTTTTCAGTGATAAAAAAGTAGCGAATTACCAAGTCATGAAAAGACATGGAAAAACCATAAATGCATATTACTAAGTGAAAGAAGTCAATCTGAAAAGGCTATATACTGTATCCTTCCAACTATATGGCATTCTGAAAAAGGCAAAAGTATGGAGAGAGTAAAGAGATCAGTGATTGCCAGAGGTTAGTGAAGAAGGGGAGATGAATAGGTGGAACAGAGGATTTTCAGGGCAGTGAAAGCATTCTGTATGAAACCATAATGGTGGATATGTGTGATTACACTTTTGTACAAACCCATGGAATGTACAAAACCACAAGTGAACTCTAATGTAAACTATAAACTTTGGTTGAAAGATGATGTGTCAATGGAGGTTCATCACTTGTGAAAAATGTGCCACTCTGATGGAAACTGTTGATAATGGGGGAGACTATGTATACATCGACTTGGGGGCATATGGGAATGCTCTGTACTTTCTGCCTAATTTTGCTGTGAATCTAAAACTGCTCTAAAAAAAAAAAGTAAAGTCTACCCTATATAGAAGAAAAAGACAAGGCATTCCTCCTTTTGCTTTCGGAGGATGCCCTATTCTGTAACTGAATAGCTTTCAATATACTATCTCTTCTCACAGCAATCAATAAATAAATAAAATCTATTTAAAAGGGAAAAAAGCAAGTTGAAAATTAAAATAAAAACAATGACAACATGTCTTTAAAAAGCCATCACAAACTAATTTTTACATATATATTTATCTATCTATCTAACTCTATCTAAATATCTGGAAGGAGACAGTAAACTGATTATTACACCTAAGGAGGTAAGTGGGACTGGGGCATGGTAGAGTCACTGTTAGCTCTATCTCTGCTGTTTGATTTTTAAATGATGAGAATGTATACAATGTTACTTGTATAATTAAAAATAAAATTGTTTTTCTCTTTAAAATATTCACTTTATATTTTATGCTAAAGAATTTGACAGTAAATGAAAGATATGACATTTTACCCCTAAACACTTCCATATTCATCTCTAAAAAATAAAATATTTTTCTATCCCCAAATTATTTTTTCAACAGTAGAAGCAGAAAATATTTTCTACTAAAATACTGAGGTGGCTCAAGTTATCTGTTTCAAAAAGCAATGTGTAGATGGGCATATGAAGCATTAAAAAACTAAAAACTAAAAACAAAAACAAAAAACAAAGGTTAAAAAAAGCAATGTGAAGGACCAGTAAGCTAAGCTGTTCTCAAGGAAAAATCTAAACACCAAGTGCTGAGAACTGACTTCATGACTATTACATGGTCTTCCTAAAAACAACTTTTATATAATGTTTTACATTCTTACCTTTACTAACACTAATAATCTCACATACCAACAGGTCAAAATCTATTATTCTTATATTTTTTGCAGTCATTTGTATTACAAATGTAATATAATAGAAAAGCTTATCATAACAGACTGAGTGTCTTAAGCAGGGATTCATAATCTAGAATTCTCAGACCCTCAAGAGTTCACTGAATAAAATTCAGGGCATCTTCAAGCTTAGATGGAAAAATGAGATACATCTTTATTTTCACCAATGATTGAAATTTAGTATTTCTTTCCAGTATGAATGGAGGCTACAGATCACAGAAGCGTTCTCAGACCTGTGACTGTCAACACAGAAATCACTATATTTTCAAATGACAGTGTAGTTGGTGTAGGTATTTCAAAATATCATTTATTCTTATTCTTATCATATCACTGAAGGTGTATTACTTATTAGACTTGTTGCCAGATGTTACTTAATGCATTAAGAAGCACATGCTCTAACCACAAATTTGTTTTTAAATATTTTTATAACTATATTTCAACATAACTGGTTTGCTATAACCTTGTGAATTTTGCTTTGGGCACATATAAACAGTCTTTGTGGGGAAAGGGGTGTTCATAGGTTTTGCAAAATACCAAAGCTCAGGAATCCTTACAACTTAATCTCCTCATCCCCACAATTCCATTCTCCCAATCTAAGGACTATCCACAATACAGTGTATGCTCTTCCATACTTCTTCCTTTATATAGATAAATGTATATAAACATATAGGAGCATAACGTATATAGCATGTGTTCTGTAACTGCATTTTACACTTATATTCTGAATGCATTTACAAGTCTATATAATTCGGATATTCATGCTGTTTCCAGTTTTAGCTATCATAAACAATGCTGTAATAAAAATCCTTATATACCTCTTTTCATATACTTTTTTTTTTTTTTTTGAGATGGAGTCTTGCTGTGTTGCCAGGCTGGAGTGCAGTGGCACGATCTTGGCTCACTGTGACCTCCCACTCCCTGGTTCAAGCGACTCTCCTGCCTCAGCCTCCCGAGTATCTGGGATTGCAGGCATGCACCCCCAAGCCCAGCTAATTTTTGTATTTTTAGTAAAGACAGAGTTTCACCATGTTGGCCAGGCTGGTCTCGAACTCCTGATCTTGTAGTTCACCCGCCTCAGCCTCCTAACGTGTTGGGATTATAGGCGTAAGCCACTGTGCCTGGCCTCATATACTGCTTTTTAAAATTACATGATCAATTCTATTTATGGAATACTTGTATTAATAACAAAGACCCTTGAACTTAACAATAAAGTTGATTTTGTATAATAAAATCAATAGCAACAGTAGTTATTTTTTTGTGCTCACGATAGGCCAGGTACTAAGTACTTTACATAAATTAACTTTTTATTTTATTATTTGTTTGTTTTTAAATGAAGACAGGATGTTGCTCTGACACCTAGGCTGGAGTGCAGTGGCATGATCTCAGCTCACTGCAGTCTCTGCCTCCTGGGCTCAGGTGATCCTCCCACCTCAGCCTCCCAAGTAGCTAGGACTACAGGTGCATGCCACCACACTCAGCTAAGTTTTAAATTTATTATTTTTTAAAACCTCAAACAAGTTTTACTTTTGTGCTATGTTTGTTTTTTTTTTTTTAACTTTTAAGTTCAGGCTTATATGTCAGGTTTGTTGCATAGGTAAACATGTGTCATGGGGGTTTGTTGTAGAGATTATTTCATCACCCAAATATTAAGCCTAGCACCCATTAGTTGTTTTTCCTGATCTTCTCCCTCCTCCCTTCTCCCCCGCTCCACTCTCTGATAGGGCCCAAGTGTGTGTTGTTCCCCTCTATGTGTCCATGTGTTCTCATCATTTAGCTCCCACTTATAAGGGAGAACATATGTATTTGGTTGTCTGTTCGTGCGTTAGTTTGCTAAAGATAATGGCCCCATCCATGTCCCTGCAAAGGACATGATCTCATTCTTTTTTAATGGCTACATAAATTATTTTGTAGAGACGAGGTCTCACTATATTGCCCAGGCTGTTCTGGAACTCCTGGGCTCAAGCAATCCTCCAGCCTGAGTCTCCCAAAGTTTTGGGATTACAGGTGTGAGCCACCTCACCTGGCATGAATTAACTCATTTTTAGCCTTACAACTTTAAGGCAGGGCATTGTTACGATTTCTGTTTTACAGGTGAGGAAACTGAGGTACAGAATGATGTTCACTCTCTAACCTCCTGAAGTTTGTAATTCTGGTGATAAATCCCAACAAACAGGTGTTCTGGGGCACAAGCACCTTCATTTAACAAGGGCCCCATCAAGGTCACTTTGAAGGGGAATGGGAAAAGGTGAATATGCTGACTTACACTTTGTTATATCATTCATATCCGAGAGTGTGTCCTGAAACTCCTTGGAATTTCTTTGTCACTGTGCTTTTCAAGAAGTGTGTCAAAGATAAAAGATCACAGCAACTATTATCTACCACCTAATCTATTAGGCCAAAGGCAAGATGCAATATGTCTATGTGAACGCTCAAAGCACAAGTAAATTTGCCATCAGAGGCGGCAGCGTCAGAACAACCATTGGACCAAACATAGGGTATCTGCTACCTTAGGCCCAAACAATTTCACAGACAGCAAAAATAGACCATAAACCCAAAACAAACAAACAAAAAATGCCAACAGGTTAAATATAAGCATGTGTTAATGAAGACCCAATCTCAGCTAGAGGCCTGGTCTCCTCGGTGATAAGAGCATTATTAACCTCTCCCACATAATTCATCAAGGCCCCATGCTGGCCAGGGCGAGGCTAATCTCCCCAGTTAGCAAGTTCCAGAACAGACCAAGAGAAACAAAACCACAGAAATGGTATCTTTTTTAATTATCTGGACTCTGCTGAGCAGAGATAAAATAAATCTCGCTGCTATTCCGTGCCTGGTTTAACATATCCTGGCAATGAAACACCATTTAGCTTAACTGAGACAGGAAAGCTTTTTTCCCCCTCTTCTATATCAATGCTTGTGCTTTGGGCATGCACATGACAGGATAAATAACTGGAGTGCACAGTTAATGGAAATTTGGGGATGCCTGTCATAAACCTCAAAGCAACTTTGCCAATAAGACCAGCTAAAAGCACTAAACATCATTCAGCACTGAAAGCCAGGGAGCCAAAAGCTTTCTTCTCCTCTCCTGTCCTGGAGGTGGTGTGGGGAGGCTGTGGAATCGAACCATCCTGGGCTTAAATTTACATACTGTGACTTTGAACTAATTGTTTATCTCTCTGGCTCTCAGTTACCTCATCTGCAAAAAGGGTATGATACATTCCATTGTCACAGGACCGTACCACTGTGAGAATTTAATGAGGTATTTGGAAAGCACAGAGCATATGAATGCTTAATTCATATTAGCCTGCTATAGTATGCTATTTACTAATATAATAACTATAATTAGCACTGTGATTGGGAGGACAGGCCTGCGACTCAGATCCAAAAGCTATGGTATTTGCTAGCTGTAAGGCCTCAGGCAAGTTTATAACTTCTATCCACTCCGTTTGCCTCATCTCTAAAGGGGTAATATGAGGATTAAATAATAAAATGTATAGTAGCACAGTGCCCATCACATAGTAGCACTAAATCAACAGTAGCTGCTCTTGTTGCTATGTATCTAATGAGTCTCTCACAGCCATGCTGCATAAGGAAGGACTCTATAGCAATTTGGTCCCTTCCTCCCTGAAATTCTGATTAATATTAATCCCAGGAAAACCATGCTAGTAAGAATAATACTGAGCATCTCAGAAACACCCATGTAAGTAACTCAATCTGAGACTCATTCATTCATTCATTCACCCATCCTAGACATATTTATGGAGCAACTATGATGGACACTATGTATTTGCTTTGAGGGAATTCACAGGCTATTGGTGAGCTTGCAAACAGATCACAACTATACCATATACTATAACAAAAATCAGGAACAGCCTTCTGTACCCGAGTGATTGAAGTCCAAAAGACTTCCTGGCATCACACATCTGAGATAAATATGTTCATCTCATCTTCTGCCTTAAATTTTAAAAATTCTATCCCAAGCCCCCTTTTTTTTGAAATGCTACTGACTTTTTAAACATTTATCTGTCCCTTTCTTTCAATTATTCATACAATAGAAGAAACTTCAAGCATACCTTCATTCAATGTTTATTCAGCACCTGCTACGGGCAAGGCCTTGTGCCAGGTGCTAGGGATGTAAAAAGAGTGGAACACAGCCCTCCCTGTGAAGGGTCACAGCCTGCCTCTGAAGGTGAAATGGAAGCAGGCATCACAATGCTGGGTGATAAAGGCTAGGATGGCAACATAAGCTTGTGAGAGTGGGGTGGTGGTGGTGGTAGGGAATGGCTGGAGGGAGAGGTATAAAGGAATCCTGGGAAGTCTGGGAGCTTCTTAGAGGAGAGCTAGATATGAAGGGTAAGGGGGCATGAGCCAGGTGAAATGCGGGGAGAAGAAACAGCATGCATTCCACAAATGGGAGAATAGTATGTGCAGAGGCCCAGGGACAAGATGGAGCATGAGGAGTTGGAGAAATTGAAAGAAAACCAGCATGGTTGGCCTGCATGTGTAAAAGGTGGAAGGGAGTGGTTCAGGAGGTGGGCAGGGGCCAGACGGTGCAAGGCTTTGGAAGCACAGTCTGGGAACCTAGAGGCAGGCATGACAAGATAAAATTTACACTTGGAAAGATGTCCCTGGCTGATACATGGAGGGCAGACTACAAAGAGGTAGGGAGGCCAGTGAGGAGGCCACAGAGACGCTGAATACTGCTCGGCCTCAATGAGGGTCTTGCAGTCATGTTAGTGAGCTCCAGAAGAGCCTCCTCCACTGTTGGCAGACCATAGCTCAGCTCTTCCTCAACTTAGGAAGAGAGGGAAGGGGTGAGATTCAAACATCTGCCATGTGGATTTCTGTGTAGATTTCTCAAAGGGGACAGAAGAGTGGTTGTAACAACAACAATACATGGATCTCAAAAGCACTGAGAGCTGTGAGCACATTCTTCCCAAGTATTCCTTGCCAGGAGATTAAACAGGGCTCATCTTGATGGTTGCAAATCAGCAAAACAAAAAAAAAAATGCAGGAAGAATGTGAATCCCAATCCTATCCCACTCCAAGTGATGGTCCAGCCATGTGCTCCCATGGGAAAGCCCCACCAGCATAGAAAAGATGCCCCACCACCAGCTCCATCGCCACCAGCTCCATCCCCACCAGTCAAGAGAGGCGTGTGGGCCCTGTCAGGGGCTTTCCTAAAGGGTGGCAGGATGGGTGGAGGGGGGAAGTAAATGTCCCATCTCAAGTCATAGTCTTAGCAAGGGACTGGTCATGCAGTCGGAAGAGAGAAGGGCCAGGGAAAGCTGAAAACAATCTCCCATGCCTGTGAGATTCCACACAAGATACTCAACAGCTCTAAAGTTCATTTCCACTTCACTGCCAGAAGCAGAGGATAAACCTATTCAGAGATTGTAAAAATATTCATACTCTTTTAGCCAGGAATTTCATATCTCAAACTTTATCCAACTGATAAAAGAGATTACACAAACATGTTCCTGGATGCCCATCAGCATTAGTTATAATAGCGAAAAGTTGGAACTTATCTAAATACCCAGTAAAGGGTTGGTGGAATAGATTTAAATGAACACATTTGATAAAGTACTCTATCGTTATTAAAAATAATATTCTTACAGAATATTTCATAATATGACACGTTCATAATATAGTAAGTGAAAAATTCATGAATAAATTAATTTGTACTATAATCCTTTTTTTTTTTTTTTTGAGATAGGGTCTTACTCTGTCACCCAGCCTGGAGTGCAGCAGCACAATCACAGCTCACTGCAGCAACCTCCCAGGCTCAATCGATCCTCCCACTTCAGCTTCCCAAGTAGCGGCGACTACAGCCATGCATCACCATACCTGGCTAATTTTTTATTTTTTTTGTAGAAACAGGATCTCCCTGTGTTGCCCAGACTGGTCTCGAACTTCTGGGCTCAAGTGATCCTCTCGCCTCGGCCTCCCAAAGTGCTGGGATTATAGGCCCACTATGCCTGCCCGATCTCAATTTTTAAAAACTGTGTATGCTTATATAAATGTTAAAAGCTGGTTAAAAATATATATGCTCTTTAGGGATACATGTCCATAGCAAATTTATGGACATGCAAAGCAGAAATAAACATCAAACTCCGCAAAGCAAAGGTTTTTGCAAGGGTCTTTGGCATCACTGTTTAGGGCGTATTTCTTCAGTTGCATTGGTAGCTACATGGGGTTTTCTATTATCTTTATACCATTTGTATGTCTGAAATATTTCATAATGAAAAAAAATTAAAGGTTTGTATATAATGACAGGAAGGAAATACATCAAAATGTAGCTATGGCTTTGAGGTGGGATTGTCAAACTATTGTTCACATTTTCCAGTTTTTCTAGAGAACGTATATTCCTTTTTATTTTTACATTACTTTATCATTGGAGGCTATTTTTATTTCCACCCAGAGCTCATTTGTTTTATAAGAAAGAATGTCTGGTGCTGAGCTGTGCTCTGCAGCAGGAGCTCTGGCACCAAGGGCCTTTCCTGTGGTGACATGAGCTACAGCGTCTCTCGCCCATTAGAATTTAAACTAGAAAAGTGCTGTGGGGGAGGCAAGCTCCCTGAAACCATCCTACTCATATCCTCTGACGTGAGGGGAGATTCGTAGGTGGCTGCTGGGAGCCTTCTCCACTCGGCAGATTGCTCTCAAAAGTGTACGTTGCTTTTTATTTTCCCTCAGAAATAGTTTGTGTTCTAACCCACCAGGAAGTTGGGGGCCCAGTCAGGGGATTGGGTGAGGCGGTGGGAAAAAATAGTGACCGATTATATCATCAACTAGCATTGACTCTCCAGTCAGAATTCATTTTCCACCAAGTGCTGGGAGTTGAGGGTCAGAAAACAATTATTTGGAGATACGTCACCCATCACCGAGCTTTAAGACCCTTCCAGTTTCCTCTGTAAGAGAAACTCTTAACAGGGGTCTTGGCTGGGATCCATAAATCCCCTGAAATCACACATCAATTTTGTAAAATTTCCTGTGCTATCAACAGATTCCGGAAAGAGTTAAGTGATGCATCCCCCCAAACAATCGAGGATCCCTGTTCTGTAAGAATAACGTCAGTCATCCTGAAGGGTGTCTGAGTGATGATAACAAATAAACATTCTATAGGGCCACGGAATCAGGCTGCACAGTAACAGGTGAGTGGCCGGCAGGCAAGCAAAGTTTCATCTGTATTTATAGCCACTCTCCATCTTTCTCATTACCGCCTGAGTTCCACCTCCTGTCAGATCAGCGGTGGAGACTTTAGATTCTCATAGGAGCACACACCCTATTGTGAACTGCACATGCAAGGGATCTAGGTTTTGGCTCCTTGTGAGATTCTAATGCCTGATGATCTGTCACTATTGTTACCCCCAGATGGGACTGTGTAGTTGCAGGAAGGCAAGCTCAGGACTCCCACTGATTCTACATTATCATGAGTTGTGTAATTATTTCATTATGTATTACAATGTAATAATAATAGAAATAAAGTACACAATAAATGTAAAGTGCTTGAATCATCCTGAAACCATCCCCTACCCCACCCGGTCAGTGGAAAACTGTCTTCCACGAAACCGGCCCCTGGTGTCAAAAAGGTTGGGGACCACTGCTATAGGGCACTTACTTTTTAATCAAAGGGGGACATAGTCTGTGTTAATATTTCTCAACTTTAAGTCCCAGATACATTTCTTTAAAAGAGGTATACATTAGGCGAGTTCACTGTTTTGTTTTTTAACCCATCAACAATATTTATCAAGAATCTACTGTGTATCTAGCATTGGGCTGGGACTCAATGAAAACTTGAATATGGTCTCCAAAGACCTGTCCCCTCATCTGCAATTTCTTGTTCAAAGCACACATCTGGCGAATGTCTTACAACTTATTAAATGGAATAAAAATTGAGAGTTACTCATATTACTTTCCCAAACCCTCGCATCCTCTGGTATGAGTCATCCATTGGGACCCACCTTTTTTTTTTTTTAAAGATACTTTCCACTACACATAGAAACAGTCCAAAAACAACTCTTCAGTAATACTGCCAGTTAGCTCAGGGACAGTGACTCTATTAGATATCATCATTTAAATGCACAAAGATAAAGTTCCTTTGAGTAGCCCACAGAGGCCATTTACTTATTAGAGCAATTAATTTATTGGATTCAGATATTCATTTCACCATTGTTGCCTTTATGGCAAAACATCTTCTCCTGTGTGGCTCTATCTACCATTTAGTTCCATTCAACTCATCTCTCCTGAGTGCCTACTGGGAGAAAGTTACTTAAATTTAGTCACATTCCCTCCATGGCCACATCTAGATCTGTCACACCCTCTGTCATCTCCATATGACTGTAATGGTCAGCGGAATCTGCAGAACAGCAGTTTTCATGTTCCTCCAACAGCTTCTAGAATTCTTCCAACTTCTGCAATTATTATAATACTATGTGGCAATAAATGGTGGAAACTCAGCCCTGTTTGCCAAGATTCAGGAAAAATGCCAGGTAAATCAGAAATGAGTCTGTCCAAAGCTGAGTCCCTAAGCATAGGGATCGGCCATGTTGGTGGTAATGGGGTAGATTTATCTTCTATACAAGTCTCTTTAATGTGATAAAACATAACATATGAGATGGTTAAGAAAAAAGGAAATATCATCCGTAGCTGCACAAGGAGAAAAGAAGCCAAATTATCCACAGTCTTGTGACCTTGATGGGAAGTCAAGGCCATTGATGACAAACAAGACAAAAATCAAATCACAATTCATAATTGTAAATAGTCCTTTAATACAATGTTAGTGGTTCTTCGATAGAAAGCATCTAGAGACATGCTTTCCTGAAAAATGGATATCAATATATACTTGGGGGAAAATGTAAGACAAGGCATAATCTTAGAAGTGACCTGGATTGAAGTCTTGCCTGAGTCATTACACCTCCAGGGCTTCCACTTCTTTATTTGCAAAGTGAGGGGACTGGAATACATACATGGTGGCTAAGGGCTCTGTAAATTCTGACAGTCTTTAAATTCTGAAAATCTTTAAATTCTAAAAGTAAACTTCCATAAAATTAAAAAGATTCAAACACACAAAAAAATCTTGCTGCTAAGAGAAATTCCATAGACTTCACTTGTCAATAACAAAATATTCAATGAGTAAAGTAAAACCCAAAGGAACATCATCTTTTTGTCCTGTTCACCACGGCAACTTAGTAAACTGGCCCAACTCCATCAATCTGAGGGTCTAAAGATTGGAACAAACAAACACCACATGGTAAAACAGACGCTCAAGTACATTAATTAGAGCCAGTTCAAGCTCGCTCCATCATGGCTGGTTGCATCACAGAAAACTCTGCAGTAATTAAAAATAGCTAAAAAAAATTGTTCACATTGGTAAATAATGTTATCAGTTGAGTACCTAACAATCCATATCTAATGAGTTTCCTTTTCACAATGGTTTTAGAAGGGCTGATCCCAAACATTTTTTCTTTTTCTTTTTTAACAAAAGAAGAAACAGAAGTTCAGAGAAAGGAAGTGACTCGTCCAAGGTACACTGTTAATTATAGGTAGAGCCAGAACCATGACTCAGTTCTTTATTCCTAGCATGGAAGGCTTCTCATCTCATAAGAGTAGCTTTCATGGTCTCCACAGAGGAGAGCGAGCACGGCCTAATGTTAGACGGATCCACAGAACACAGTGGTTAAACCCCAGGGATGTGCAGATGATGAACTGACAAGGGGAGCCCAGGGAGGGCCTGAATTCCTACTCCACCCCCAAGCCCCAGGATAATGAGGGCATCAGAGGCCAAGGTAGGCTTCCCAATTGCATCAGTGGGGAGACACGGTGGCCACACAAAGAAAGCTATGAAATTAAGTATCCAAGGACATGTTCTGAAACAAAGCCAAGGAAGCTTTTCCACCTTGATCATCACCAATAGTCAACTACCAAGACACTTGAGCATCTTCTACAAACTTCTGATTTAAAAAGAAAAAAAAAATGAGGCAAATATTTGGTGGGTGCCCAGTATGTACAGGCAATGTGTTTAATATTCTCACTTTTATTGTTTTATTTGACCCCCTCCCAAATTTTGTCAGGTTAAGTCTTTTCATTCCTATTTTCCAGATGAGGAAACTGGTAAGGAAAGGTGTCACACAGATGGTAAGTACAGAATCTTGATTCAAACTAAGATCTGCTGATCCAAAGCCACTCACTCCACTATGCTTCTGGAGTCTTATTCTGGCCTTTGGGCCATCCGGCTGCCTGAGCTGGGCCAAGCCACTAACTTTCCCCCAAAGGGGGACAAACATCTGTTCCATCTTCTGGAACCAGCCTCTAAAAGAGTACACTGGTATTTATCTAGATTCTACCCAGATGCACTGAGTTCATAATTCATTTTATGAGAGAAAAGACACAGGCAATAAACAACTTAGCTTGGAAGTTTAAGTTGGCCACACAGTTTTCTCCAGTGAAATAAAATGTTTTTCAGTTAAAAAAAATTTCCCCCAGGTCACAACTTCCATAGTCAGATCCTGGAAGCCCACTTCAAGCACACAGCATATTATTAACAAATAACCTTCGGAGAAGAGAGATGCTCTCGGTGCCAGTGGGGGAAGAAAGGACTATACTTACACTTATGTCGAGACTGCAAAGGCTAACAGCATCTTCATCTTGGGTGCTCTGTTTCCGTTTTCGCTGCAAAACAAACGAAAAAACAAAGTTCAAAGGTAAGTAGGGGTTATGGCTTTGATTAAGGCAAGAAAAAAAGCAATCAAATAGCACATGCAATCCTTATCATTTCTACCATGGTACCCAAAACCTTTAACCAAGCTATGTAAATGAACACTTCTTTTTTTTTTTTTTTTTTTTTTTGAGACAGAGTCTCACTCTGTCGCCCAGGCTGGGGTGCGGTGCGGTGGTCTGATCTTGGCTCACTGCAACCTCTGCCTCCTCGGTTCAAGCGATTCTCCTGCCTCAGCCTCCTGAGTAGCTGGGATTATAGGCACACGCCACCACGCCTGGCTAATTTTTGTATTTTTAATAGAGACAGGGTTTCACCATGTTGGTCAGGCTGGTCTCGAACTCCTGACCTCGTGATCCGCCCTCCTCAGCCTCCCAAAGTGCTGGGATTACAGGCATGAGCCACTGCGCCCAGCCTATAAATGAACACTTCTAAGAAAGCCTAAGAAGTTATGAGAAACTATTAAGCTCTAGGATAATTGGTTTGTGTTACTATTCTTATGCTTGCTGTCACAGTTTGTTTCTCTTTGAGTTTCATTTTTTTCTAAATGTCTCCATATATCAAGGCTTAGAAATTTAGATACAAAGTTCAGATTCTGACTAACTTGGAAGAGGAGATTAGATTGGAAAGAAAATCTAATTCACTTGAAGATATTCCATTTTTAGAGGTGCTTTGTACTTAAGTAATTTAAACTTGCTCTAAACCTTATCCAGGGTCCTAATGTAATCACAGAACCCTAATGTTGGAAAGAAACTTAAACATCTTCTCCAACTTTCCTGCTTTATAGCCATATGATTTTTAAAAAGTTATTAGTTGGACTGAAGATAACTGTATTTGAAATAAATTTGTACATTTATGACCAGGGCAGTCTGCCAAGTTAGATGTGAAAAAGTATGTTTTTCTTTTTTTTTTTTTTTGAGACAGGGTCTCCCTCTGTTGCCTAGGCTGGAGTGCAGTGGTGTGAACACAGCTCACTGCAGCCTTGACCTCTTAGACTCAAGGAATTCTCTTGCCTCAGCCTCCCAAGTAGCTGGGACCACAGGAGCACACCACCACACTGGGCTAATTTTAGTTTTTGTAGAGAGGGGGTCTTGCCATGTTGCCCAGGCTGGTCTCAAACTCCTGGGCTCAAGTGATCCTCCTGCCTTGGCCTCCCAAAATGCTGGGATTACAGGAGTGAACCATTGAGCCTGGCCTTTTTCTTTTCATTAGAAGAAAATAAATGTAATCTATAAGCCACAATAAAGCTCATCAAAGATACATTCACCTCTCTTCTGCACCCCCAGCTCAACCAATCAGTCAAGTGTTTCTTCAGTCCCTAACCTGTGACTTGCTAGGTCTTCTGATGTTACTTAGAAGAAAGCTACCAGAAGACCAGAATCACCAGCATGGGGTTACAGGAGAGTCTGAAGACATCTGTAGTCTTCAGTCCCAAAAGAAGTCAGCCTCCTCCTCTAGTGGAACCCTGAGCTTGAACAAAGGCAGAGACTGGAAAGCAAACAGAACTACTCTTTTTTATATTACTATAGTTGTTCTATTATTTTTTTCACTTCAATTTAACAAAGGTTTGTTGAGCATTTACTATGTGCTGGGCCCTGTGTTCACTCCCAGAAATGCAAAGGTCAGCAATTCTCATGGTTAAGGACCTCACACTCATGTAGGAGAGACAGGCCTATTATGATGAACTATAATGCAATAAGAGCCAAACATCCTAGAGAAAGTCACTTTGCTTCTCTGAGCCACCTTTTCTCAACTCTAAGGTGTGAGCAGAGGTGGTGATGATGGCATTAGCTTCTATTCTCAAAGGAAGAGGAGTAAATATAGTAATGCATTTTAGAGCTTAGTAGAGTGCCTAGTACACAGTAGGTGCTCAAAACATGGGTTGGAGGGCTCTGGGAGGACTGTGAGGGAGGTCTTCCCAGAGGAGGAGGCATTTGAATAGGCCTAAAAGATGAATAAGAGTTTGTCAGACACAGATGGGGAAGATATTGGGGCTCTTTTTGTTAAGCAGCTACCTAGATATTTAAAATTCCAAAGGTCAATATGGTCCTATACAGAGCAGTGGCGTTCTACATATATACATTTTTCCACTGAAACAGTGGTGCAGCGTGCAGCAGAATCACCTGAGGAATGATTCAGAGATGCTGATGCCAGGAGCCATCCCCAGGAATGCTTAATCAGCCATTTGGGAGGGTGCCCAGGAATCTGGATTAACAAGCTCACCCAGTGACTTTTAGGAAGTCAAATACTCCACTCAGCGTCCTTGAGGGAAGCCTCGAGAAGATGCTGATCACAACTCCGGGCACAGCTGCCGTTTTTGAGGATGCTTCACGTTTGTACAGGGCCCTGATCCTTACTGATTCACCATCCAGGTACAATTAAAAACAGCACTTCAGTGCCAGTGAAACCAATTCACCAGCTTATATTTATATGGTGACTTTTTGAGCCAGATATGGTATGGGATAATTTCCATCCTACAGGTTAATAAACTGAGGTCAGGAGAGAGAAGCAATTTGCTCAAAGTTACATGGTTACAGCGTAACACTCTGAATCCAGGATTCTAATTCCTAGGGCAAAGCCTTTTACATACACTGTTCAAAGGTTGGTGGCAAATAGGTTACATCTCACTTGCCATCCAGAATGTCTGGTAGTGTCTGCTTGGAGCACTGTACTGAGAAGGACTGCACAGCATAGCAAGCCAGAGAATGCTGTGATCACAATCAGCAACACGTGCTGGGCAATGAATTGGGGCATGGCAGCATGGGCGTCCTGCTGCCTAGAGTAACCCCATGCCCTTCTTGAGTTCTGCTTCTCCTGCCTTGGGAGGCTACAGTATTATACCTGAGATCTTGGGAGGTATCAGGAGGAGGTTGAGACTCTGGGATGTTATCTGTAGAGTAGAAATAATGCCTTCCAGGTTAGGGTGTTGTGAGGATCATAGATGTTGGGCGACAAGACCTGGCACATAGTAGGTGCACAGTAAGTGGCAGCTCCTGTTATGAATTGCCCAGACCATAGGCTACACCGATACATGCTGCAACCTGGTATTACCAGATTATTGAGTTTTATGGTGCTACAGTTCCATTCCTTGAGCTCAATGATTTTGTCAACCTGACATGTTGACAGTAGCCTAGATGCACATTGATGCAGGAAAGTGAATAATAAGAGAAGCTCCTCTCCTCACAGGCATGCAGCCCTCTCCAGACCAATTCAACACACTACCCAGCTTTGGAGCCAAGCCTCATGAGTTCCCCCAACCCAGTTCCTGCCAGATACTGCCACCTGCTCCAAGTGTCAAATCCAGAAGACAAATGGCCTCCAATGGTCTTTTTAATTCAGCCATAGACAGTCAATCTGGGATAGAATGATCTCCTTAAGGAACCCACATGTTTTATAAAATAAAAACTGCATGAATTATGAAAATGAATTTTCTTTTCAATTTTCTTACATAGGGAGGTGACTGACCACTGCCAGCAACAAAAAAGTAGCCTGAAGTTTAAACTCTGGGCTCAGAACGAAAATTTCACAAACCATCACTAAGTCACTTGTTCATTTGCTCTGTGTTCACTGAGCACTTTTGACACGCAAAACCCCATTCTGGGTCCTTGGATATAGCAGTGAATGAGCCAGGCATGTTCCCTGCCCACTAGTTTGGAGTAAAAATAAAACAAAGTAATTACAGATTGTGATCTCTGTCATGAATGAGTCAGATAAGGTGCTAAGACAGAGGCTAGCAGGGCAGACCCATTTTAGAAAGATAATTTTATTTAATTGTTTTCTGGGTTTTGGTTGACCTTTTCATGAGACATAAGCCCATGAAGGCAGGACTTGGTCAGTCATGCTCACAGTCCCAGAGCCTGGGACAATCCCTGGTACACAGCCAGCTTCCCTTAAAATAGGATTTCTGGATTTTGTTGATCCTCTTGGTCCTCCTCCCTTTGCTTGTCTTCTTCACTAATTGCCCAACTCGAGAGGGCCACAGGAAGAGAGAACAGAAAGGACCTGGTGAAGAAGGGCGTACAGATGGAAACACCACATAAAGACATTTCACGCTCTACCCAGGAACTGGGATTTCTAGAATATTGGGGTGTTGACCTCATGCCAGTGATCTACAGAGTAGCTCATGGAAGAAATCACCAGTTGGAAATAAGCCACGGAAACATAAACAAATGAGCATCTCAGAAAGCAGAGAGTGCAACAGGACACGGCACTCACTTTGAACTTCACTGGAGCTACTACTACTAATAATTCACACTGATAATAATGAAAGCTTTAGCCTATTGAACGCTCACTACATGTCAGGCACAGAGCTAAATCCTTATATGCATGATCTCATTTGATCCTCATAACTACCCCATGAGGTAGGTGGATAATGGTTATCATCTCCATTCTACAGAGTAGGAGATGAAGGCTCAAAAAGGGGCAGGAATTTGTCCAGGGTTTCATGATTAGCAAGTGGCAGAGCCTGGATTCAAATCCAGGTCTTTCCTACTTCAAACTATGTGCTTCCCCACCATGCTGTCCCGTCCCAGAGTCTGGGATGGCACATCAGACCTGCACAGAAGGTCTAGGAAGGTGTTGAGCATGAGGAATATGGCAAGAAAATAACCTTTATTCTACTAGAGAGACTGGTCTTCAAGACCACAGCACACACTGTCTAGACCAAATCAATTTTGTGGTCCTTTCTAGTTTTAAGAGCTATCAGTGTCTGCTATCAGGTAGCAGGCATTGGTGGCAAGCACTGGTGGCAAATAGGTTACGTCTCACTTGCCATCCAGAATGTCTGGTAGTGTTTGTTTGGAGCACTGTATTGAGAAGGACTGCACAGCATAGCAAGCCAGAGAATGCTGTGATCACAATTAGCAACATGTGCTGGGGAACGAATTGGGGCACAGCAGCAAGGGCGTCCCGCTGCCTAGAATAACCCCATTTCCTTCTTGAGTTCTGCTTCTCCTGCCTTGGGAGGCTACAGTATTATACCTGGGATCTTGGGAGGTATCAGGAGGAGGCTGAGACTCTGGGATGTTATCTGTAGAGTAGAAATAATGCCTTCCAGGTTAGGGTGTTGTGAGGATCATAGATGTTGGGTGACAAGACCTGGCACATAGTAAGTGCACAGTAAGTGGCAGCTCCTGTTATGAATTGCCCACAGGAAGTAAAAAATGCCATTTTACTTCCTCTGCATAAAAAACCACTGATCAGTTACCTGGGGGCGTTCCCAGGCAGGAAGGGCACTGTGTGTGAACTGTGCATTTGCACACTTGGTCTGACAGGTTCCCAGCCAATTTGAGGAGCCAAGGACCCACCCTGTTATTCTTGTCAAATTTACTGAAGCAAAGGCACAGTCCACTTCCCTTTCAACCATGAAAACAAAGCACCTTCGGTGAGCCCAATAATTGTGCTGTAGTCTCTGCACTCTGATTTCAGCACATAACTTTAACCCCTCAGTGCCCTGTGCTGAGCAGTAGGTCAGTGAATAATTTCTAAATGGGTGACTAAAAGAAAGAATGAATAAAGGAGGCCAGTGTTTTTGAGGTGACACCTTTCCCTTTCATTAACCACCTGGTGGCAAAAGGGCAGCCAAAATTAAATCAAAAACCTCAAAAGTGAAGGTCATTGAAGGCTTAAATTCTTCAACCTCAAATCTCCTTGGAGAAAAAACCTGCCCATTCAAGCTAAGATTCTTGTTTTTCAAATAAGAGCTTTTTTTTTTTTTTTTCTTACCAGCAGGGGCATTTATTTTCCTTAAAATGCACAGACATGTTAAAAGAAATTACAGTTGTTTAGACATTGGTCCAAGTGGGACATTGGCCATTTCCACTCCTACGAAAAGGAATGTCAGATCTGTTCAAGGGTGAGGCACATCCCTGACCAACGAATCTATCCATGTACTGCCCTGGGCGACAGTCTGGGGACTCAGTCTCTGTGCTTTAAGAGCAAGTAATCCAAGATTGATAACACCTCAGATGGAAAGGGAACATCCAGCTGAACCAAACCCTAAATGAACTTAATGGGCACCTGACCCCTTTGTCTCAATGCCACGTGCCTATATGGGGGTGGGGAGAAAGGCAGTTACAGAGGAGAATTTGTGGGCACAATAGACCTGCATGTAGTCTCTAAGTCCTTAGCCCTGCAGGTTATATATTTGCTATAGACCACTTTCTAGAAGTGCTCAAGTGCTGAAAAAACCCTACCACTGCTTCTTAAAAAAGCAACCAGGGGCCAGGCATGGTGGCTCACGCCTGTAATTCCAGCACATTGGGAGGCCGAGGCAGTTGGATCACCTGCGGTCAGGAGTTCCAGACCAGCCTGGCCAATATGGTGAAACCCCGTCTCTACTAAAAATGTAAAAATTAGCTGGGCATGATTGTGTGCACCTGTAATCTCAGCTACTTGGGAGGCTGAGGCAGGAGAATCGCTTGAACCTGGGAGACGGAGGTTGCGGTGAGCCGAGATCGCACCATTGCACTCCAGCCTGGGCAATAAGAACGAAACTCCATCTCAAAAAAAAACAAAAACAAAAACAAAAAACAAAAATGACCAGGGGGTCCCTTTGCTAATTTGCAATAGAGCAAAGTCCTGTGCATATTCCAATGGGAGGTCTCATGGAGATATGGGTATTCCTGGAAGGATCAAGTGAACATTGCCAGAGACTCGTTACTGCCTCTGCTTGAGAGATCCTGCTAGCTTGACCTTCACCTGAACCTTTCGACCCACTTTCACAAACATTATTGTTTCCAGGACACTCTGTGGCTATCTCTTTTTAGGGTTGGCTACCTTCTGATATCACAAGGCAGACATCTGAATCTCATCGGTAAATAACCCATGAACAAACTGCCTTTTCGGTTGTCCTGGGGAAGATTCTCTGTGAAAAGCACTGATCCTATCCTTACCCGACAACAGATTCTCAGAAGAGCTGGCCGTGGTCCAAGCCTGAATAGCGTGTCCTTACCTGGCTTAACTTCCATCCTCTCCAGACCTCCTTTGAGGTTTTGAGAAAATCACCAGGTGCCTTCCAATACAAAAGTGGAGGGAAACAGACGCTGGAATTGGGCACCTACTATGAGCCAAGGACTATGCTCTCAGTTTAATGGATTGTGCCATTTAAGCTTCTCCTCAGCCCGGTTTAAGTAAGCCTTGTGGTGTTCATTTTAACAGAGAGGAACGCTGAAGCTCAGGAAGGTTTTAGTAACTTGCTCAAGGTCACAAAGTGAGTGAGTGCTGGAGAGAGGATTTTCTGGAGGCCACCCTGACTGCCAAACCACTGACCTCTCTGCATATGATGCTATTTCTCTTTGTACATTGTTTAAAAACAATCTGCGTTTCCTTTAAATTAATACATACAAATAAGGTAAAATACATTTAAATATTTGTTTCATGGCTGGGCGCAGTGGCTCATGCTTGTAATCCCAGCACTTTGGGAGGCCGAGATGGGCGGATCACCTGAGGTCAGGAGTTTGAGACCAGCCTGGCCAACATGGTGAAACCTCATCTCTACTAAAAATACAAAAATTAGCTGAGCGTGGTAGCGTGCGCCTGTAATCATAGCTATCCAGAAGGCTGAGGCAGGAGAATCGCTGGAACCCAGGAGGCAGAGGCTGCAGTGAGCCAAGGTCGCACCACTGCACTCCAGCCTGGGTGACAGAGCAAGACTCCTTCTCAATAAATAAATAAATAAATACATAAATAATTGTTTAAAATCATATGTGTTTTAAAACAATATAAAAAGACCCACAAGGCATTTACCTACATACCTCAAAGAAACTAAGAGCATAAATGAGACAGTTCAAAATGCAGCTCCACCTTTGCTACTTGGTGTGACCTTGGGCAAATTACTTCTCTATTCCTTCATTCACTCAACAAATATTTACTGAGCATTTACTATGTGCCAGGCAGGTTCTAAGTGTATGGGATACGTCAGTGTCTATAAAGCAGTTCTATAAGCTTTGGTTTTCTCCATCATGGGGTTATTTCAAGTATTAAAAGAAATAAAATATTTCGAACAGAGCCAGACATATGGCAAGAGATTTGAAAAATGTAATTATTATTGCTACTGCGGTTATTACCGTAATTACTATTACTACTGCTGTCACTGCTGGCATAATTATTTTGTTGTTATTTGATGTTGAGAGTCAGGCAGGGAGGGTATTAGAGATGGCAGGATCCTGCAGAATGATGGGCAGGAGACCTGGTACGCTGCCTGACTCTTTCTAACTACCCAGGTCCCAGAGGACTATCCACAAACACTCTCAGGATACCTTCAGTCACATTTGCACTGTGTCGTTCCCACTTCTTTCACAGAGACAAGGGCTACTGCAAGCCTGACTTAATTTTAAATGGCCAAGATTGAACTGATTAGTGTCAGAACAACCCTGTTATTTAATCACTGGGCTTTTCTATTTAATAACCAGGTGACCAGAGCAGCAAAAACGTACTGATTGAGAGAGTGCAGCTCCTGACTTGGCAGCAAATAGTCCCTGATTAGTCATTTGTAATTATTAAATTCAAACCAGATCTCGAACCTTTTTGATTTATCTCTTTGCTGGCAAACAACTTTGGTGGTTTCAGAGGCTTTGATGCCTTGCCTTTCATCTGCTCTTTCTTTGCGGAAAGATTAGCAAAAGGATTTTGTGTTCTTGTACTTGCCCTTAGCTGGAACTTGACTTGCTAAATTCACGTTTTAGCAGGGAGAGGATCCACATTTTGTTCTTCTCCAGTCTGAAGCTCCAGAAGTGAATGAGAGAATTGAAAGAAGGAGCACCAACTCCATTTTTAAAAAGTAAAAAAAAAAAAAAAAAATAGAGACGAGATCTCCCTATGTCTTGCAGGCTGGTCTCAAACTTCTGAGCTCAAGCAATCCTCTCGCCTCCACCTCCCAATGTGCTGGGATTACAGGTGTGACCCACCGTGCCTGGCCCCTACTCCATTTTTAGTACACTGCTTTTTTTTTTTTTTTCCTTTTCCTTATTTTTAAAACATCCTCCTTTTTCTAGGATCCAGGAACCCCAGTCCTTTTTTCTAGGCTGTCTTCAGTGTGCTGACAGGGTGGAGAAATGGGAAATCATGATGTTTTCAGAGCTACGGGGAACTAAATTTTAACAAATATAATATGCAATTATGTGCTCAGATACCACTAACTATAGGTTGAAGATGTTAGGTAGACTCTAAAGTCAGTGTTTGTGAGTTTACATCTTAGTTAAGCCATTTATTTGTTGTGGAACCTTAAGCGCATCATTTTACCTCTCTGCACCTTAGTTTCCTCACCTATAAAATGGGGACACGAATAGTACCTCCCTCCTAAGGTTACTGTGAAAGTTAAATAGATCAGTGTGGGTAAAGAGCTTAGCACAATGCGTGGCCCTCAGCAACTACTCAAATATTAACTATTAATGGTAATAGTAGCAACAGCAGCAGTAACAGCAAGTAAGTACAGGCACCGGGGGGAAAATCATGGGGAAAATACTTAAAATGTCTAAAAGTCTACTCATTAATTTGACGTTGGCAAACTAGGAAAAGCCCCTATTATATGATCTTAGCCATGGAACACCTGGCCCTTAACTTGTTTGGAGGTACAGATGAGACAGTCTTAGCCAAGGAAAGATCCTCTTCTCCCACGGGAGGGAAGACATGTCCAACCAAACAAGTGGGAGGAGGGAGGAGACCTAGCCAGCCTGACAGTGCCACCACCAACCCTGATGGCTAACAAGCAGCAGGATTCACTCTGTCATTCAACAAACATTTACAAACTGCTTTTCCCTCCAAAACACTCAAGGCCAGGGGAGCAGGAGAAAAGACAGAAAACTCATCTATCCAGGATAGAGGGCTGCCAAATATATTTTCCAGAAAAATTGTCCCAGAAAAAAAAAATACGGGCATCGATCTAAGGTGGGAGAAGGAGTCCATATTCACAAGGATTTTCAACAGTGGATGTGACGCAAAGCACAAAATTGCATTAACCAGAGCACTTTTACTAGGCCTTCTAAATTACTGTAATTATTATTTTCTACTGGTTCTCAGGTACACCAGATTGGACTCACTGCAATCCTTGGTTCATAATATGCTATGGTGCTTCCTTGGCCCTCCTTTATATGTTTATTCACTTATTTTTTAAACACTATAACAAAATCCTACTTATTAAAATTCTTCACTGATGCAATGATTTGAAGCCATTATCAACAAAAAATATTATCTATATATATGCAGTTTAGGGAATGTCCAAATCATTGTTTAATTTCTAGAAAACTACTCCATGTAAACAATCAGCTTAGATTGTCCAACTGCATAATTCAAATTCAAAGTGCTCATCATCCACAATAATACTGGGAACCTGAATTTACAAAGACAGTTGTCAGTTTTTCGTTCACTTGGCTCGTGTTCCCGCTTTCTCCTACCTAGAAATGCTCCTGGTTCTGGTAATGTCTTATCAGCCACAACACCCCATGGGTTCATGAACAGTTCCCCAAATGCCAACGGGCAGGCCTTTAACCCTAGGGAGAGCACAGTGCAAAGCTCCCTTTCAATCACTGGTGTCTGGAACACCTACTCCTTGGGGCAATTTGCCGCACAAAGCAGAGATGAAAAATGGTAGAGAAACGGGCTGCTCTTGTCAAGCTGTCCTCTAAAGGACATTCCTTTAAATAAACAAAAGGTTCCCTTGTACAACCATTTGGTGTTGTCTACCATATAAAAACTCACAACTTCAGTTGCCAAAATTCCATTTCTTTATTGTATATTCTGGCTGCTTAAGGTAGTCCCTTCCCTTTGCTGGGATTTTTTATTTTATTTTATTTTTTTAGAGATAGGGTCTCACTCTGCCACCCAGGCTGAAGTGCAATGACATGATCACAGCTCACTGCAGCCTCGAACTCCTGAGCTCAAGGGATCCTCCCACCTTAGCCTCCCAAGTAGCTAGGATTACAGGCATGTGCCACTGTGTCCAGCTAATTATTTTACTGTTATGTAGAGATAGGATCTGTTTTTGTTGCCTAGGCTAGTCTTGAACTCTTGGGCTCAAGTGATCCTCCTGCCTTGGCCTGCCCAAGTGCTGGGATTACAGGCATGAGCCACCACGCCCAACCCCTTTGCTGGGCTTTATAACAACTGTCTATTAAGAATCCACTGCCAGCATGGCACAGTGGCTCATGCCTGTAATCTCAGCACTTTGGGAGTCTGAGACGGGCGGATCACCTGAGGTCAGGAGTTCAAGACCAGCCTGACCAACATGGTGAAACCCCGTCTCTACTAAAAATACAAAAATTAGCCCGGCATGGTGGTGTGCCCCTGTAGACCCAGCTACTCTGGAGGCTGAGGCAGGAGAATCACTTGAGCCTGGGAAGCAGGGGTTGCAGTGAGCCGAGATCGCACCACTGCACTCCAGCCTGGGTGACAGAGCAAGAACAAGACTCTGTCTCAAAAAAAAAAAAAAAAAAAAAAAAAAAAAAAAAAAAAAAAATCCACTGCCTTGCTGGGTGCTTTACATGTATTATAACCAATCCTTACAGCTGTACAAAGAAGTTATTACATATAAGGAAACTGAGACTTAAAGAGTTTAAATGACTTGACTAAGGCTGCTCTAGGAGTATCAGAACCGGTCACTCGTGTAGCAGATACAGCCGGCTGACAACCCCTGGGCAATCACCATTTCCCTGCACACCGTGTGGAAAGCACACAAATCAGCTTTCCACAGGCCAGAAATGCCGGAGAATTAATGCCACTGGGATCAGCTTTCAATCTATGAGGGACTGGGGCTGGCAGATAAATAATCCAGCTTCTGACAGTTTGGTGGGACAACTCTGAGGTATGAGCTCAGTCTTGTACACTGGAATCACCTGGGTCCGCTCAACTGTGTTCTTTCTGAGAACAGACACTGCATCTCTTTTGTTAACCAATGTATCTACGGCATTTGCACAGTGTCTGACACATGGTAGATGCTTAATAAAATATTGTTGAATGAATGAAACTAAATAGTGAAATTAATTTATCTGAGTATCCTACTGTTCCTGTGTTTCTATTGTCAAAATTCAGAAATATTGTGGGCCCCAGAATAAAAAATGATATTTTATGTACTGTATTTCTTGGCATTTTAGTTCTCCTGAAAAGAAAGTTTAGGCCAGGTTTTGTGGCTCAAGCCTGTAATCTCAGCACTTTGGGAGGCCAAGCAGGGAGGACTGCTTGAACCCAGGAGTTTGAGACCAGCCTGGGTGACGTGGCAAGACCCTATCTCTTTCTCTCTTTTTTAATTATAAAAAATTTTAAAAAAATTCTATGGATTTGCCATTTTATGGGCAAATGGGTTCATTTGTTCACATATAGCAGTAGTTGAACATTCTCTGTATGCTGGGTTAGGCCTTAGAAATGTCCACGAAAGTCCTAAAAAAGAATTCCACTCTTGGTAAAACACTGATTTCCTGGGAAATGGATTAAATGCTGGATAAACATGCTTTGATTCTGCAAACGCCAGGTCTCCGTTTCAGACTTCAGGATAAAAGTGATTGGGATGAACTTTGAAGCAAAGACTCCGGATTAGAAAATTTAGCCCAAAGTACTTTCCCCCATCCCTGCAGCCCATTTGTGGCTCACCACAACTTTTGCTTTTTACTCAGAACTTGACAGAACATGACAGTGTCACTAAAGAAGGCGTACCCTGAATACCTGCATGTCCCTGGTGTTTAGGGGCCCTCTACCTCCCTCCCTCCCTCCCTGTAATTTGGGGTTGTGGTGAACCCCTCCTCCACTTTCAAAGACAGCTGCAGGAAGAAAATGTCCCTCTAATCGCAGCTGACTTCTTTCCAGGCGCTGCATCAGAAATGGGAACTGGCTTTCACGTTATTGTTCTGACAGATTCTCTACGGACTATCGCCAAGAGCATTATTCCCGAGTTAGTCATGACTACTCTGAAAGACTGGTGGCCTCCCCTGTGCTGAATGAGCTCTAGCTGGGCAGAGAGAGGGGCCTTTGTCATAGAAATGGTCCATGGCTGCTCCCGAGGCTCCAGTTGCCTCCAGTGCGGACATACAGAAAGAGGCTGTGTTGGCATATTCAGGTCCATTGTTCTTATTTATTTATTTATTTATTTTTTTTTGAGATGGAGTCTTGTTCTGCCACCCAGGTTGGAGTGCAGTGGCGCTATCTTGGCTCACTGCAAGCTCCGCCTCCTGGGTTCACGCCATTCTCCTGGCTCAGCCTCCCGAGCAGGTGGGACTACAGGAGCCTGCCATCACACCGGGCTAATTTTTTGTATTTTTAGTAGAGATGGAGTTTCACTGTGTTAGCCAGGATGGTCTTGATCTCCTGACCTTGTGATCCACCTGCCTCGGCCTCCCAAAGTGCTGGGATTACAGGCATGAGCCACCGCACCCGGCCATTCAGGTCCATCGTTCTGAGGGAAAGAGTATTCATTATTATGCAGTTATTTTCCTTACAGTTGTTTCTTTCCTACTGAGAGACAGGGGCATCTTTAAGGATAAACACCCAGCCTCTTGGAAGAGTTTCCAGTTTTGTTTGGAAGAGAGCTATTTTTGATTAAATAATTCTGAAATTATCTTCTTAGGCCTTAGGAATTGTGCCTCAGCATGAGGGCCTGCAGGCACAGGGGGCTGGCAGATCCTGCAGAGCTGGCGGCAGCACGAATGGCCTGATGCCCTCTGGAGTTGTGTGGTGAGAGTATATTAGATTCCCTGAAGAGGAACAAAGGAACACAGGCCTTTTTCTTGGGGAGGGCAGAGTGTGCAGTTTATTTGAGAATTTATTTTATTTTTGGCAAGTTTATTTTAATATAGTTTCAAACTTATAGAAGGTTTGCAAGTCCAGAATAAGATACTCCTGAAAATCCTTTACTCAGTGTCATGGCTGCCTACAGCTGACCTCATTTGCTCCCTCTCTCTCTCTTTCTATACGTATGAATATAAAATATTTTTCTTCCTAATTATTTGAGAATGAGTTGCAGACATTATGTCCCTTTAGACCCTAAATACTTCAGTGTGTATGTCCTAAGAACAAGGGCATCCTCTTACACAGGATAATTATTATCAAAAGCAGGAAACTTAACATTGACAAAATGTATCAACTCGTTCACCACTTTTTTTAAAAAGGTGCCAACTATTCCAATAAAATGTTTCATAGCTATTGGTTTTCCTGGTCCAGAATCCAACTGAAGGCCCTGCATTGATTGCATTTACTGTCACGTGTTCTTGAGTCTCCTTGAATCTGGAACAGTTCCCCAGGCTTTCTTTGTGTTTCTTGATTTTAATGATTTTGAAGAGGACAGGCCAGTTACGTTGTATAATTTCCCTACCTGAGGGTTTACTAGATGTTTTTTCATGATTAGATTCAGGTTGCACATTCTAAAAATGTCTAGAGTAATAAGAGAATATTTTTTTCATGTGGTGTATTTTTCACAGGAATATGACAGAAGTGACAATGTAGAGTCTTTCTTAGCACATCACCTCAGAAGACATGTGGCATTGGTTTGGCCCAATATTGGTGACATTGGCTTAGACTATTTAGTTGAGGTGGCATCTTCTAAATTTCTCTACTGGAAAGTTACTATTTTTCTGTTTTTAAGTAACCAGCAAATTGAAAATATGGAAGTGTCTTCTTCCTCATGAAATGTTAACACACTAGTTTTAGTGTCCACTGACGATTTTTCAACTCTATCATCCCTTCAATGTTTATAAGTTATTCTTCTACTGGAGGGAAGAGCTTTCCATTCTCCACCATTTATTTATTATTTACATCCATGTTGGCTTATGGATTCCAATTTTATTTAGTGGGTTATGATCCGTTACTATCATTTTTCATTTTGATGCTCAGATTGTCCCAGACTTGGCTAGGGAGAGCCCTACAACCTGGTGCCTGTGTCCAGCTTGTTCACATGCCCATCATTCTTAGGGCACTTCATTACTTTTTGATACAAAAAGATGTTCCAAGATCTTCCTATATTCTCCCTGCCCCAGTCCTGGAATCAGCCTTTTCTCCAAGGAACTCTGGTTCCCTTTAGTGGAGGAGTATTTAGAAGCCAAGATCTGGGCACTAGTTATGTTTTTGCTACGGGGGTGCCACTGCTTCTAGGCCCTCTCAGTAGATACAGGGAAAAAACATGCATGTATATATGTATAACCATGAACTCATTCTGATGCTTTCATTTCCAATCTATCTATATGTATCTTTTTTTTTTTTTTGAGATGGAGTCTCCCTCTGTCACCAGGCTGGAGTGCAGTGGTGTGATCTCGGCTCACTGCAACCTTCACCTCCTGGGTTCAAGCAATTCTCCTGCCTCAGCCTCAGCCTCCCGAGTAGCTGGGACTACAGGCATGCACCACCATGCCCAGCTAATTTTTGTATTTTTAGTAGAGATGGGTTTTCACCGTGTTAGCCAGGATGGTCTCGATCTCTTGACCTCGTGATCTGCCCACCTCGACCTCCCAAAGTGTTGGGATTACAGGCGTGAGCCACCATGCCCGGCCCTATTTTTATTTATTTATGTATTTTTTATTTTTGAGACAGGGTCGCAGTTCTGTTGCTCATGCTGGAGTGCAGTGGTGGCATCATAGCTCACTGAAGCCTTGACCTCTGGGTCCAACTGATTCTCCCACCTTGGCCTCCCAAGTAGCTGGGACTACAGGTGCACACCACCACGCCCTGCTAATTTTTGTATTTTTTGTAGAGACGGGGTCTCATTTTGTTGCCCAGGCTCGTCTCGAACTCCTGGGCTCAAGCAATCCTCCTGCCTCAGCCTCAAAGTCTTGGGATTATAGGCATGAGCCACTGCACCTGGCCTGTATCTATTTTAAAAAACATTTTTAGGTATGTCTTATTTATTTATTTATGAGATGGAGTCCCGCTGTGTTGCCCAGGCTGGAGTGCAGCGGCATAATCTCAGCTCACTGAAACCTCCACTGCCCAGGTTCAAGCAATTAGCCTGCCTCGGCCTCCTGAGTAGCTGGGATTACAGGCATGTGCCACCACACTGGCTGATTTTTGTATTTTTAGTGGAGAGGGGGTTTCACCATGTTGGCCAGGCTGGTCTCGAACTCCTGACCTCAGGTGATCCACTCGCCTTGGCCTCCTAAAGTGCTGAGATTACAGGCATGAGCCACAGCGCCTGGCCAGTCTTCTTTCTTTAGTAAGTCTTCTTTCTTTTATGTTTACCTGCTGTTAGTTTGGAGTTCCCCTAAAGCAGATCCTGGAGCAAAGATGTAAGTATCAGCTGTTTTCTTCTGGGGTGATCCCTGGAAGAACTGGTGGGGAGTGGGAAAATGAGACAAAGAAAAGGAGGGAAGCCAATAAAGAGTATGGAGCCATCAGGTTACAGCCGTGGGCAGCCGGCATTCAACCCACTGGGGACCCCCTGAGAGCATATAAAACACACTTCATGGCCAGGCGTGGTGGCTTACGCCTGTAATCCCAGCACTTTGGGAGGCCAAGGCGGGCAGATCACGAGGTCAAGAGATCAAGACCATCCTGGCTAACATGGTGAAACCCCGTCTCTACTAAAAATACAAAAATAGCTGGGTGTGGTGGCACACGCCTGTAGTCCCAGCTACTCGGGAGGCTGAGGCAGGAGAATGGCATGAACCCAGGAGGTGGAGGTTGCAGTGATCCGAGATTGCACCACTGTACTCCAGCCTGGCGACAGAAAGAGACTCCGTCCCAAAAACAAAAAACAACAACAAAAAAACACACCGCATAATTCTCCACTGAGGGGTGAGGAGGTGGGAGTTTCAATCCACCAACTCCTCCCCTCATTGATGGAAAGGGGCTCCTCAGGATGTTAGCTTCCCTGGCTAGAAACCCTGCCAGGTAGAAGGACATAGAAAGTCAAAGATGTGGACAGGAGGCCCTGCAGATGGCATCTGAAGTGGCCTCGGCCATATGGGTGGGGCACCGGGAGAGTCAGCTTATGTTCTTTACCCAGCAACAGATCACATAACAAGAAAGTTATTACTTTGTCAATTCATTGTCCATCGTAAATCCCTCAAAGAGAAATGCTCAAATTGAGGATACTTCACCTTGAATACTCCCCTAACGTTTACCATGCCCAATCTTTCTCTTCTACGTACAAAGAGGCTCAGACAATAGCACCTAGTTAGAATTTATTTACATTAGTTTGTGCATATTTTATTTTGATACTTATCTATTTATGGCAAGCATACTGGTTTTTTGTTTACCATAGTAATATAAACTTTCCATTAAATATAAATATGAAAGAAAAAATACATTGTTTTACAGAAAATTATGAAGCCTTTTTCAGGTCAAAGGTGATTCACAAATGAGTGGGACTTAGGAAACACTTTGTGGAAGCTCCCTCTCTTAATTGTCACACAAAGTAACTGTCCCATGCATTTTGCTGCTGTGACAAGTACAGAGAAAGCAACTCTCTGTTCCCCTATGCCCTGAGATGACTGAAAAGGGACGCCTCCTTTTTCCCATCCTTTTTGGAGAAGATGTGAACCACTCCTGGCACTGTAACCCTCTGTCTGCCCAGTCATGGATTAAAAATGAAATTCATATCTAATAGGTCTAACTTTAGCCACAGGAAATGGGAGTGCTTGGGCGACCCAAAAGCGTTCGCCATCCTTTGTTTGAAGATGGGCACGTTATCTTTACCTAACCTTCTTCCTTCCCCTTTTTGGGAGGGGAGAGAGTGGAGGCTAGGTTTGGGGAGTGAACGGGAAGTGAAGGCTGATGGATCTGTTTCCTGGCTGGCTTTGTAGCAGAGGCCCCACCTCCCAACTCCCTTTGTTGTCACAGTCCTGGCTTGCAAATGTATATTACATATTGTTAGGACCAAGTGATGCCCACTTTTGGATGTGTTATAACAACAGGTATTTGGATCACGAAAATCACCCAAGTGAGAAATCTAAACACCCTCTATACTGGAACCATCTAGATACCTTGATTGCAGATAAGAAATATTTTTGTAAAAACAAAACAAAACAAAACAATACAGTTGGCTGGGTGTGGTGGCTCACACCCGTAATCCCAGCACTTTGGGAGGCCAAGGCGGGAGGATTCCTTGAAACCAGCCAGAGTTTAAGACCAGCCTGGGCAACATGGCAGAACCCAATCTCTATATATAAATTAGCCAGGCATGGTGGCACGCACTGTAGTCCCAGCTACTCTGGAGGCTGAGGCAGGAGGATTGACTGAGCCACGGAAGTCAAAGCTGCAGTGAGCCATGATCACACCACTGCACTCCAGCCTGGGCCACAGAGCAAGATCCTGTCTCAAAACAACACCACCACCAACGGTTAAACCTAGATATTTTTCTACTTCCATTTATACATTTTCTCCAGCTTTGTTACAATGTAGACAATTTATAGAAATCTGTTTTATGCTTTTAATCGGAAGTTACCAGATCACAATTGATGTTATCTTTTTCTTACCTGATACATAAGTAATAAAATAGAGCAACTGGGAACTATTATTACCTGGGTTGTCACCTGCTTTTTTAAGGCCATTGAACTAGCTTTGTGACTCCAGGCATTTCACTTTCCCAGTCTGGATCTCAGTTTCATTATCTGTAAACTGACGGAGTTGGCCCAGGTGACCTCTAAAGTTTCCTTCTAACATTTTATGCATTTATGACATTATGTGGCCAAAGAAGTTTTTGGGTAGGGGTGGAAAGTGGGTAATGAGAATGGCAGAGATTGGGAAACACTTTCCAGAAATAAGTATGAGACTCTCACTTTGTCTCAAAATCACCAATTATAACAACCCTATGCATAAGCAATGTTTTTGAAACATAAGGTCTGTGTTCAGATTCCAGCATAGACCAGTGCATGGCAAAAGAAGGTGATCCACAAATGTGTATTAAATACATGGATAAATGAATAAAGGCCCTTTCATTGGTGCCCTTGAGGGTCCAAGGCTAATGTCAGAAGGACCACTGACAAATGAGAGTGAATCAAAAATGCAAGAGATTAGAAGAAAGGGCAAAATGGAGAGTAAACAAGAGAGTGGCAAAGTATGTATATGTATATGTATATGTATATGTATATGTATATGAGTATGTATACGTATATGTACATATATATACATACTGTATATATATATATACAGTTGACTCTCATTATTCATAGTAGTATGTTCTATTAAGTCATTGTGAACACTGAGTTAATGAATACTAAACCATTGCTCCTGGGGGGAATACAGGGCTAAGTTTCTGTGAGCCTCTGGTTGTAATTTTTTTTTTTTTTTTGAGACAGGGTCTTACTCTGTTGTCCAGGCTGGAGTGCAGTGGCACAGTCACTGCTCACTGTAGCCTTAATCTCCTGGGCTCATGTGATCCTTCCTCCTCAGCCTCTCGAGTAGCTGGGACTATAGGCACACACCACCATACCCCACTAATTTTTTTATTTTTATTTCTAGTAGAGATGAGGTCTGGCTATGTTGCCCAGGCATGGCTGCAATATTTTTGTCAATACATAACCTTGTTTTATGTGTATTTCTGCTTAACGACACCTTATTTAATACATATTGTTGATTCAGTAGCATTGAACTCATGGCCAATGACACCATAACTCAAGCCTGAAAGAAGCTTATCTAACGTGTATTTTCTCCAAAAGGCACATCATAGCCCTCTTGTGCTTAGAAATACTAGACAGCATTTCAGCATTATACTTGAGAACCTTCTTACACACTGAAATCGCCAACAAAAAATACAATGTGAACAACATGGCACTAAACAGACCACAAAAAGGATACTTGTTTACAGTATGGGAGCTAGAACAAGAAGGCAGTGTATCACCTTGTTCATCTTCTGCTGGCAACGTGCTAAGGGGACTCAAATATTTTGCTGCTCTGCATGTGTCTGTGAATGACTGCACAAGTGCCATGAGTATTAATTCTGGCGTTAGAAACAGATTTTAGAGAGTAAGCAAACTTACAAATATGAAATCATAAGTAATGAGGATCTCATGTGTGTGCGCGCGTGTGTGGATAGATGGATGGAGATAGACAGATTTTTAAAAAAGAAAAGAAATGCATGAAATGAGAAAATGAGTGTTTCATTCAAAAGAGCTTTGCAGCTCACAGTGGGAGGCAGGCCCTGCACAGAGCAGAGAGAACAGGGCCACCCACAGAACTGTACCCCTCTCCCTACATCCTTTTTAGTCTGAGAGACACAAAGATACTTCAGGCAGGACTAGCTATATAATTTGCAGGACCTGACACAAAATAAAAATGTGGGGCCCTTTGTCCAAAAAGTACTGAGTTTCGAGATGACTATAGTAGAGCACTGAAGCGGGCACATGGCCCTTCTGAATGAGGACCCTGTGTGCCTGCCCAGGTTGCAGGCCAGTGAAGCTGGCCCTGGTTTCAGGCCTGCAAGAAGGCCTGACCCAGGTGAGGACATGTGAGCAGACCAGAGAAGGAGACTTATACTCTCACACTACACTTGTGTGCCCAAAGCCTTAGGTCTCAGCTTAATGCCTCAGACTGGGCCTTACCCCAAACACCAACCCAAGTCAGGCAACAGAGAGGCCTGTTTTCTCTTCCTTCACTGAGGACCCAAGTAGCCCCAAATGACAGCAAATGCCACAAGAACAGTAACAGCTGACTGGGCAATTTCTGTCTAAAATAAAGAACAGTGTCCCAGTTTTTTCCTCCTTCCTCATCCAGGGAAGCAGAATACAGAATTTGCTTCTGTGTGTCCCCTCTCTAAACATACACACACACACACACACACAGAGAGAGAGAGAGAGAACGAACCCCAAGTTTCCTGGTGACAAAGACTTCTGCTGAATTGCCTACAATTCAGAGTTATGCTCCAAGGTACAGAATGGAGGTAGGGGTCATCGTGGGAGAGGGATTAAAGCAAGATGCCATTTCACACTCTGGGATTGGCAAAATTGAAAAGTCTGATAATATGAAGGTTTGGAGACATCAGGGCTCTCATACAAGGCTAGAGGGAGAGTCACAGATTGGATAGCAACTTGACAGCTTCCAGGCATGCTGAAAATGTGAATGTCTTACTGCTCAGTGTTCCACTTTTAGAGAGATACTCTAGAGAATGTCTTGCCCAAGGGCACTTGCAGACATGTCCAGGATGTTTATAACAGCAAAGGACTGGAAATAACAGAAGCATCCACTAGTGGGAAAATGAAATATAGGACATGCACCAACATTCTCATCAGTCAAAACCAATCCATCAACTAAGCTCCTTCTTTAACAGACACCACCCATACCCTACTATGCACTTGGATATGCAAAGTGTACATCAGCTGCAGCCCTGCTAGCTCACCTCCTGCCTGACCCTTGTTTGGATAGCTGCATTTGTTTCCCGGTAGTTTATTTCAATCCAACCAGAATTAAAAACACACAGGGCCTGCCTGCTTCTAGGCCAGTGGTTCCTGAATTTTTTTTTTAATCTCAAGATGCTTTTATACTTTCAAAAATTAGTGAGGGTCCCAATGAGCTTTTGTTTATGTTGGTTGTATCTATCAATATACACAGTATTAGAAAATAAAACTGAGAATTTTTTTGAGACAAGGTCTCACTCACCCAGGCTGGAGTGCAGAGGCATGATCACGGCTCACTGCAGCCTCAACCTCCTTGGCTCAGGCAATCCTCCTGCCTCAGCCTCCCAAGTAGCTGGAAGCAGGTACATGCTACCATGCCTAAATATATATATATATGTATTTTTTGAGACAGGGTCTAGCTCTGTTACCCAGGCCTGGGTGCAGTGTTGCAATCTCAGCTCACTGCAACCTCTGCTTCCCCAGCTTAAGCTATCCTCCCACCTCAGCCTCCCAAGTAGCTGGGACTACAGGCACGTGCCACCATGCCCAGCTAACTTTTGTATTTTCTTTGGTAGAGATGAGATTTGCCAGGTGGCCCAGGTTGGTCTCAAACTCCTGGGCTCAGGCAATCCTCCCACTTTGGCCCCCAAAGTGTTGGGATTACAGGCATAAGCCACTGCACCCAGCCTTTTAAAAAATTATTTGTAGAGATGGAGTCTCGCTATGTTGACAGGATGGTCTCAAACTTCTGGGCTCAAGCGATCTTCCCACGTTGGCCTCCCAAAGTGCTGAGATTACAGGCGTGAGCCACCAGGCCCAGCCAAAACTGAGACATTTCAAAAATATTTATTCTTTTAAAAATAAACATATTACTTGTTAATCTAATTACCATATTTTAATAAAAATTAACTATATTTTCAAAAAAACATGAGAGGAGTAACATTGTTCTCTGTTTTGACTACTCTAATGTTTGGCTGCACAGAAGACAGCTGGATTCATACATCTGCTCCTGCAATCAAGCTGCTATGATTTGTTATTTGGTCGACACATACAGAGACACATACAAAGAACATCTGTTTTGTATTTATGTCGTCAGTACCCTCTAGGCCTTGGGGACTCCTAGGGCTCCTCAGATCACACTTTGAGAACCACTCTTTCAGGCCACTCACCACTCCACCAAAGCTGTCATTCATACCAATACAAGCATGTTACTTCCCATTTCCTTCGAACCATTTCTGGCTCCTCTGGTTCAGAGTTAAGTCCAAACTCTACTCACAAAACCTCTCCCATCTAGCTAGTCATGCATGTCGAAACTCCATTACTCTGCTCTTTAATACACCGAATACTCTGCCACTGCTGGGTACATATGGATGACTGAACCCATCCCACTCATTCACGCCTTTGAGCCTCAGCCTTCCTCCTGCCTGAAGGACTCCTATGCATCTTTTACAATCCAGTCCAAAGGTCATTTTCTCTAGGAAGCCTTCTCTGATTCACCTTTCCCTTAGAGTTTTCTCTTTTTATTTTTTAGGTATTCATTTTTTGAATAGGTAATATACACATGCACAGGATTAAATTCCAAAAGGGTATAGGCACCATATGATGATGTCAACCTCTCTCACATCCCAGCCATCGCTTCCTTCTGCATTCTTCCAGACCAGCCCTAGACATAAATAAGCAAATCATCTATTTTACCCAATGCTAACACACTATAGGTACTGCTCTACACTTGCTTAACACTATATTTGGGAAAGCCTTCCATGCTATGAAATAATCAATTTTTTTCAGTAGTTGCAAATTACATTTTTAAAATGTGCAATAATGTATTTATTTAAGTCCCCATTGACTGAGTATGTATGTAGTTTCCAATCTTCTGCTGCAGCAAATATCCTTCTACATAAACCAGCCTACACGCATAAGAGACTCTGTAGCATTAATATCCAGAAACAGAACTGTTGGGGTCAAGGGAATGTGTATTTGTAAGTTTGCTAAACATTGCCAATTGGCCTCCATAAAGCCTGCTGTAATTTATACTCCTACTGGCCATGTATAAAAGGTTGTTCCCCTCCTCGAACAGCATTATCCAACTTTCTAATTTCTGCCAACATGGTAGGTGAGAAATGATACCCTGGTCAAGTTTAAACTGATATTTTTCTAATAACATCAAATCTCTAGAGTTGTGCTGTCCAATACGGGAGCCACTAGGTACATGTGACTGTTTAAATTCACTTCTTTTTTTTGGAGACGGAGTCTCACTCTGTTGCCAGGCTAGAGTGAAGTGGCACGATCTCAGCTCACTGCAACCTCAGCCTCCAGGGTTCAAGCATTTCTTCTGCCTCAGCCTCCCGAGTAGCTGGGATTACAGGCGCCTGCCACCACGCCTGGCTAATTTTTGCATTTTTAGTAGAGATCGGGTTTCATCATGTTGGGCAGGCTGGTCTCAAACTCCTGATCTCGTGCTCTGCCCACCTTGGCCTCCCAAAGTGCTGGGATTACAGGTGTGAGCAACCGCGCCCAGTCCAATATGGGAGCCACGAGGTACATGTGACTGTTTAAATTCACATTTTATCAAAATTAAATAAAATTTAAAATGCACCTCCTCAGCTGTACTAGTCACATTTCAAGTGCTCAATAGCTAACTGAGGCTAGTGGCCTCCATATGAGACGGAGCAGATAGAAAACATTTCTGTCGTCACAAGAAGCACTTACTGGTGCTCTGTGGATCCGCAGTGTCCGATGGCTACCGTAAGCCACATGTGGTCACTGACATTGAAATGTGGCTAGTCTGAATTGAGATGTGCTCTAAGTATACAATACTCACTGGATACTAAAGACTTGGTACGAAAAAGAGAATGTAAAACATCTTCTTAACAATTTTTATAGCTATTGCAGGTTGAAATGCTAGTATTTGGGCCAGGTGTGGTGGTTCACGCCTATAATCCTAGCACTTCGGGAGGCCGAGGCAAGTGGATCACCTGAGGTCAGGAGTTCGAGACCAGCCTGGCAAACATGGTGAAACTTCGTTTCTACTAAAAATACAAAAATTAGCTGGGCGTGGTGGCAGGCCCCTGTAATCCCAGCTACTCGGGAGGCTGAGGTAGGAGAATCACTTGAACCTGCGAGGCAAGAGGTTGCAGTGAGCCAAAATCACACTACTGTACTCCAGCCTGGGCGACAGAGCGAGACTCTGTCTCAAAAAAAAAAAAGAAAGAAAGAAAGAAAGAAATATACTGAGTTAAAATGTACTGTTAAAATTAATGTTGTCTGCTTCTTTTTACTTATTTTAATGTGGTTACTAAGAAACTTAAAATCGCGATTGTGGCTCACATTCTATTTTTTTTTTTTTTTTTTTTTTTGAGATGGAGTTTCATTTTTGTTGCCCAGGCTGGAGTGCAATGGCACAATCCCAGCTCACTGCAACCTCTGCCTCCTGGGTTCAAGTGATTCTCCTGCCTCAGCCTCCCAAATAGCTGGGATTACAGGCCTGCATCACCACGCCCAGCTAATTTTGTATTTTCAGTAGAGACAGGGTTTCACCATGTTAGCTAGGCTGGTCTCAATCTCCTGACCTCAGGTGATCCACCCGCCTCAGTCTCTTAAAGTGCTGAGATTACAGGCATGAGCCACGGCGCCTGGCCAACATTCTACTTCTATTGGACAACACTGCTCCAGAGGGCACAACGCTATGGAGGCCCGATTTTAGCATCTTTCTTTTTACATAGAAATAAATGCAGTTATTTGCTTATACACTGTTGGTGGGAGTGTAAACTAGTTCAACCATTATGGAAATCAGTGTGGCCATTCCTGAAAGACCTAAATAATAATAAAGACCTAAAAACAGAAATATCATTCAACCCAGCAATCCCATTACTGGGTATATACCCAAAGGGATATAAATCATTCTATCATAATGACACATGCACATGTATGTTCGTTGTAGCACTATTCACAATAGCAAAGACATGGAATCAACCTAGATGCCCATCAACGGTAGACTAAATAAAGAAAAAGTTGTACATATACACCATGGAATACTATGCAGCCATAAAAAGAATGAGATCATGTGTTTTGCAGGAACATGGATGAAGCTGGAGGCCATTATCCTTAGCAAACTAATGCAGGAACAGAAAACCAAATACTGTATGTTCTCACCTATAAGTGGGAGCTAAATGATGAGAACACATGGACACACAGAGGGGAACAACACACACTGGGGCCTATCAGAGGGTGGAGGGTGGGAGGACAGGGAGGATTGGGAAAAATAACTAATGGGTACTGGGCTTAATCCTTAGTGATGAAATAATCGATACAACAAACCCCCATGACAGAAGGTTACCTATAAAACAAACCTGCACATGTACCCCTGAACTTAAAAGAACAAAAGAAGTACAGTTATCATTGCTACAAAGAAAAAGAGCCTCCTTACCCTTCCCTGCCCCAGGCAGACAGGCTGGGCAACAAAAGGAGAAAGGGCTACAATGATCCTGATGACAAAGGATCAACCCTGCAACAAACCAGTACACTTCCCACCTGGGCAGCCACAGGCAGACACCAGTGACCCCGAGCGGGGACTGATTTCCTGATGGCTGTTAAAACAATGCACCAGAGAACAAAGTGCCTTCGAAACTAAGAATAGAAGAACAGCTCCAAATAAGATTTCCAGGACTCTGCAGGAACAAATTCCTCCCTTGCTCTGTCTGTAATCCACCTTCCACCCACAGCTTGACCAGCCTCAGCACAAATGTCCCCATCTCCGCGTCCGTATACACAGCTCTGGGCAAGAACTGAAGGACAGAGTGGAAAGGGGAGATCCAGAGAAAGAGGTGAGGTGACAAGCACTTTGCCCTAAGGGGCTCACACCATAATGGTTCTGCAGTTGAGATGTGGAATATGTTTCTCTCATCCATGTCTTTGGCTTCAGATACGAGGGACAAGACAACTCAGTTTTGCAACATGATCCATAAAACTGATACATCAGAATGGACCCTGTATTCTGAAAAGGTACTGAGGGAATGAGATCTAATTGTATCTGCTTGGGGGGAAATGTTAATTATAATCATAATATTATTATTATTAGCTGTATGCCTTTGGGTAAGGTTTATAATCCAGTCTTAGTTTTATAATCCAGAAAATAAAGGGGTTGGATGCTATGTGTGGTGATTTCTGAAAGACCTTAAAACAGAAATATCATTTGACCCAGCAATCCCATTACTGGGTATATACCCAAAGGAAGAGAAATTATTCTATCATAATGACACATGCACATGTATGTTCTATCTCATTCAGTTCAAAAATTCCCTGACGCTATGCACATGCAAACAAGGTATCATCAACACTATCATCTTTATTCTCTCACTCAGTTAGAAAACACTCATTGGGCAGCTAATACGAGTCAGACCCTGGACCTGACACTGGCATACAAATACAGAAAAACACCGCTTCGCTTCTGGAGTAATTTCTTAAGAGAGAGAAAGAAGGAGAAGGGAGAATGGATGGAGTGAAAAATTAGAGCAGAGTTCTTCACCAGGAGCCAGGGGACCACACAGACATTTTCATAACTATGTGCAGTTTTCTAAAGAGAATACTCAAAGATACACATGAACTCAGGAAGGCAGAGGGCTAGTGATGTAGTGAAACTATGAGAGGCCAAGTACCATGTTAAATTCTTAGTATGTGTGGGTGCTTGAAGAGTTTGTGCCCAAAACAGTCCACAAAGTGCGCATGGAAATATACACATAAGGGATTTGAACCTGTGCTTGGCTGGTGCAGAGCCTGCCTCTCTCCCCAGCATCAGGGATGGTTTCACGGCATGTGGCCTCTCCCTGCTGCCATGCCTCCATCAACTCTCCCTTTCTCATATCAGAAGATCACAAGCATTTAACAGCCTTGCACTTGTCTGACCCGAGCTTGCTGTATCTGCCCAAGAGGGCTGGGAAGATAAGATGAAACAATCCCTGTGAAATACTGATCACTAGTCAGCACTCAAGAGGTACCAGTACATCACCATTCATCACATATTCATTTAGGACCTAATACATGCCGGGCCTTGGGATAGGCGTTCTCATCACCTTCATCACTTACTGTTACTACGTTTAACACCCTCCACTCCCAGCAACATGCAGAGTGCTTCACACAATACACACTCAGTAAATGTGGGTTCAGTAAGTAAATGGTGATGATCTTGGTGGTAGATCAATTTATTCTTCAGCAAATATTTATGCCTTTCCCTGACATCCATGGCTTGATCCTGTGAGGTGAAAGAGACAGTGTACCAACTCTGAGCCTACATCTTACGAGACATCATGTGTTTCTGCTTGCTCCACAAGAGAAGAATATATACGTGAGTAGTACTGTCCAGAATGAACCCATGTAGGACAGACCACCCCAGCCAACTTGCGCACTTATAAGCATAAGAGTAAATGTTTGTTATTGTTTGCCACTGAGTTTCGGGGTAGCTGTTACTCAGCAAAAGCTGACTGAGACGATCTCCTTTACCCAACTCCAGAGGTTTCAGGCAGGGAGAGTGGCCCTGGCTTTTCTTACTTTTAAGATGGAGTTTCAGAAATTAGGTCACTTTGTGTGTGTCCCTCTCTCCCCCATTTTCTCTGGGCTGGTAATGTTCCATTCAAAGAAGATAGTGGGGACTCCAAAGACCCATATTTTGGCCACCTTGGCACCTGGCGCAGAATCCAGCACAAAGATGGTTCTCAGGCAGTGCCTGATTGATGGAAAGATGGGATGAGTACAGTCAAAATCACTAGAGGCAGCAAACTGGACCTCAGATGCTCAGAGCCACTGGTTCTGCAGTCCCCAAAGCATGTAAAGTGGACCCCACTGGTGATATAATATAATCTCAGACCATATGCAATAGACCTGTATATATTTATTATAATATGTTTTAGGAAACACATTTCCAACCTGTGATTTCAGGGCTATTACTGCTTAGGATGTGTCTAAGTCTAAAAAATAAACAAAAACAAACCAAAAAACCCAAACCTAAAAAGCCAAAAACAGAAACGAAAAAGAGATAATTTAAAGAAATACAGTAACTGAAAAATAATAGTACCGGTGGTATGTGGATATGAAAAATGTGAGTGAAATTTGGGAAACACTGATCTATTTCAAGTCTCTTTTTCCTAAAAATCACAATCATAATCATAGTGAGCATTTTTGAGCACTAACAAGATAAGCTGTTTGAAGCGCTTCACAGATATTATCTTATAAATTCCTGATACCCTATGAGGCAGGTACTATCAGCATCTTCATCCTGCAGGTGAAGAAACTGAGGCCCAGAGAGGTAAGGAACTTGAACAAGGTCACAGAGTAAGTGACAGTGAGGATTTGACTTCAGGCTGCAACCTCCAGGATCTCAGTCCTTGATGGCTACGTCTCCACTGGTTCTGCTTGGAGAACCTCGTACTGGGGAAGTTTAGCCTTGCCCAGGGTTAACTGCAAAATCCAGAACTTGATCCTCAGATTCCTGACTCCTAGCCCAGTGCTCTCGTCCCTCCACAAGGAATATGGTGGAGAGGACACCTGGGGTTTATGGCAGGGGCTGGGTGGGGTCTGTGAGAGGTAAAGGAGAGAGGTGGTAAGCACTGCAAGGAAGACTTGGAAGGGAGAGATGGGGAAATAAGGATCTGTCATGGGTTATTTCAAAGCTGCCAAGCTGAGGCAGGTGCCCAAAGAATGCAGGGAAGCTAGAATATGGACAGAGATATTCAGAAAAAGAGGGCTGGCAGAGCAAGGGTTGGCACACAGGAGCTGCTTCCCAAGAGAACTGCCCACCCCGGCCAGTATCAGGAATGAGTTTCCCTAAGTGACATCCACTTTGTCTATATTTAGGTCCTAAAGCCACCCATTGTTTCTGTCCCGGTGAACAGCTGGGGTCACCACTCTGACCTTGCCCGCTCCGAGTCACACGTCTGAGTGTTCCATCAAGAGAGGCCTTTTTAGGATCTAGTTTGAATCAACTTCCCCTTCCATGGCTCCTACTTGGCGTCCTGGGCAAGCTGTAAAAACATGGCTAGAATAGTGGCTTTAAAATGCAGTCTCCACCTTGCATCGAATATGCTGCTTCCTTCCCTCCACAAAATCAAACTACGTCCATGTTTACCTCAGGACATAGGTGCTTCAGAGTCCTGTTGTTGCTAAGCCCTTACACACTAAGGTCTGAGCTACTCCAGAGGCCGATGGGGGAGGATCACTTGAGCCCAAAAAGTGAAGGCTGCAGTGAGCTATGATCATGCCACTGCACTCCAGCCTGGGCGACAGAGCAAGACTGTCTCTAAAAGAAAAAAAAAATTACATATATATATACACACACATATATATATACACACATATATATATACATATATATGTTCATAAGCAGAATAAAGTAGCTAGTCAGCCAATTACATTTTGAGTTCTAGTTGATATCCTTGGGAAATGTGTACTTAAACACATTCATTAAATCATTCATTAAATCATTCATTAAATCATTTGACTTTGAAGTAGGGCAGATATGAAAACTATTTTTGACTTTTTGTGCAAGATATTTGCATACTTTAGATTCATATCTGAGCTAAAATGAGTTTAGAGACATCTCTGATTTGACAAGTGGGGAAACTGAGTCCAGAGAAAGTAGTGACTTGTCATAGGTGCCTCTTACTTAGGCACTAACTGGACCACAGCAAACATTCACCAAAATGGGATAACTTACCAAATCATTGGAAAGCAAAGTGTTACTGCAGATGTTGCACATAATAGGAGATCTGGGAAGGACCCCACATTAAAGTTATCACATAGCACCTAATGGCTAAAAACATCATTTCTGAATCCATTCTTCCTGGGTTTGAAACCTGATCCACTACTTAACCATGTAGGTGACCTAGACAAATTATTTATCTTCTGTAAATCTCAGTTTTGCCATCTGCAAAACAAGAATAATGATAGTAGCCAATCCCTACAGTGTTGTAAGACTTTCATGAGCAAATCTGAGTAAAGTGTTTAGATAAGCATCTAATAAATGTAAGTTATTATCGTATTATATTGTTATTAACATTGTATTAACTATCACTGACATGTAATCAATCATTTGAATATTGTCAACTTTCATACTTGAAAGACTCAAAAATTATTCTTTGTCAAGAGAACAAATAGTGAGGTGAGTGAGATGGGGAAAGGCTGAAATTACCCCAGTCACATCAAAGTATTAAAAATATACATCTGGGGGGCATGCAGTGGCCTGCGTCTATAATCCTAGCACTTTGGAAGGCCAAGGTGGGATGATCACTTAAGGCCAGGAGTTCAAGACGAGCCTGGGCAACATTGCAATACCTGGTCTTGACAAAAAAGTTAAAAAATTAGCTGGGTATGGTGGTGCATACCTGTAGTCCCAGCTACTCAGGAGGCTGAGGTGGGAAGACTGCTTGAGCCCAGGAGTTCAAGGCTGCAGTGAGCTATGATTGTGCCACTGCACTCGAGCCTGGGCTCGAGCAAGGCAGAGCAAGACCTTGTCTCCTAAAAAAAAAAACAACAACAACAACAAAAAAAACTATGTCTAAACAATGTCAACAAAACAAAGAGACAACACAAAGAATGGGATAATATATTTGCATATAATATATCTGAAAAGAGATTAATATTCAGAATATGTAGAGAACTCCTAAAACTCAATAGCAAAAAAAATAAGCAACCCAATTCGAAAGTGAGCAAAGGACTTGAACAGACATTTCTGCAAAGAAGACATACAAATGGCCAATAATGCACACGAAGAGATGCTCAACATCACTAATAATCAGAGAAATTCAAATCAAAACTACAAGGTGATACCACTTCACACCTATTAGAATGGCTACTATTGAAAAAAAATCAAAATTAGAAGTGTTGGTGAGGATGTGGAGAAACTGGAACCCTTGTGCACTGTAGGTGGGAATATAAAATGGAATAGCCATTGTGGAAAACAGTATGGCGGTTACTCAAAACATTCAAAATAGAATTACTGTATGTTCTAGCAATTCTACTTCTGGGTATATACTCAAAAAAACTGAAAGCAGGTGGCAGGAATGTAAACTAGTACAACTGCTATGGAAAACAGTGTGGAGACTCCTTAAAGAATTAAAAGTAGATCTACCATTTGATTCAGCAATCCCACTACTGGCTATCTACCCAGAGGAAAAGAAGTCATTATACGAAAAAGATACTTGCACATGCATGTTTATAGCAACACAATTCGCAACTGCAAAATCATGGAACACCCATCAATCGAGGAGTGGATAAATAAACCGTGGTATATTTATACAATGGAATACTACTCAGCCATAAAAAGGAATGAATTAACGGCATTGCAGCAACCTGGATGAGACTGGAGACTATTATTCTAAGTGAAGTAACTCAGGAATGGAAAACCAAACAACGTATGATCTCACTGATATGTGGGAGTTAAGCTATGAGGACGCAAAGGCATAAGAATGATATAATGGACTTTGGGGACTTGAGGGGAAGGGTGAGAGAGGAGTGAGGGATAAAAGACTACAAATAGGTTGCAGTGTATGCTGCTTGGATGATGGGTGCAACAAAATTTCACAAATCACTACCAAAGAACTTACTCATGTAACCAAATACTAGCTGTACTCTAATGACTTATGGGAAAAAAATTGAAAGCAGGGTCTTAAGAGATATTTGTACATTCATGTTCATAGCAGCATTATTCACAACAGCTAAAACATGAAAGCAACCCAAGGCCCATCCAAGGATGAATGGATAAGCAAAATGTGGTATGTCACCGTTTAACAATATTAATTGACAAGAAAAACTGTTTAATGTGGGGCATGCAGTAAACAGCTCTCAAATCTTTCAGCCTTGTAATACAGAGGGTAGTTTTCAATCACTATTAGAGGTAATAATGAAATGCAAAATATGTACTACATATAATCATGCAATAGTGTCGTATATTCACAGAGAAATTGAGTATTTGTTTCTCTGTTAACCTTCAGAGCTCCACGCAATATTACCACCATGTACAATAACGGAATATTCTTAAAGGAAGGGAATTCTGACACACGTTACAACTTGAATGAACCCAGAGGACATTATGCAAAGTGAAATAAGCCAGTCAAAAAAAGACAAATACTGTTTGACTCTACTTATATGAGATACTTAGAGTAATCAAAATCACAGAGACAGAAAGTAGAATGGTGGTTGCCAGGGGATGGGGGAGGGAAGAATGGAGAGTTATTGTTTAACGAGTATAGAGTTTCAGTTTGCAAGGTGAAAAGAGTTCTGGAGATGGATGGTGGTGATGGTTGCACAACATTATGAATGTATTTAATATCACAAAACTATATACTTAAAATAGTCAAGATGGTAAATTATGTGTTATATGTATTTTACCACAATAAAAAAAATTGAAAAAAAATTAGTATGTCTAGAATGGTCATACACAAGAGCTGGAATTAGGGTTACAGAAATCAGTCCCAGGAACATAGTTCTGATGAGAAGAATAGAAAAAGCAATGGGCATTGCCTTTAAAAAACAGTTTTGGCAGGCCAGGTGCAGTGGCTCATGCCTCTAACCCCAGCACTTTGGGAGGCTGAAGCTTGAGCTCAAGGAGGATTGCTTGAGCTCAGAGTTTAAGATGAGCCTGAGCAACATAGTAAGACCCACGTCTCCACAAAAAAAAATGAAATAATTAGCAGGGCATGGTGGTGTATGCCTGTAGTCCCAGCTACTCGGGAGGCTGAGGCAAGAGGACTGCTTGAGCCCGGGCGGTCAAGGTTGCAGTGAGCCGTGATTGTGCCACTATATTCCAGCGTGGATGACAGAGCAAGATTCTGTCTCAAAAAACAAAAACAAACAAACAAATAAAGAACAGTTTTGGCTCATCCAAAACTTTAACAACTACCTCTACAAAAAACAAATAAATAAAAGGGATAGGGAATGTAACCTTCAGAGCTCCTAACCATTCTTCAACCCATGGAAATATAACATTTCCAGACACTCTTTCCAAAATAACCCAAACCAAAAAACGATGTTCTTAATGAGAATGGTATCAAGTCTGAGTCTCCACTGATAATATCTGACTTCACTCTCCCAATAATAAACAGACTCAAAACACCAGGATCACTTTAGGGAAATCTACAAAACAGTTGCTCCAACCAGCATGAACTTCTAAAACTGAGTTTAGCCATCTTCCAATCCAAAGAAAAAGAGAAGATCTTGGAAATCCACTTTGTGATTAAATAGCAACAACAAAACAGAAGGCAGATGCATCCTTCTTTTCCCTCTTTTCCTTCCCATTAATTAAAACCATTCTCTTACAAAAATTAAAACAGTAGCATTGCACAGCAGAGCGTGAAAAGCCCTTCCCTTTGTTCCCCTCCAATCACTTATGCTAAAGGAGGCCCTGACAGCTATGCACGCCACTCAGCTCACCCTCGCAACCAAGCAAAGCCATCTGCGGTCTTAAACACAGCCACACAGTGCTCTTCTGATTCATACGAAAGTGAGGCGGGAATCTGGCTCCATCATCCCAGGTGCTTTTAACAGCAGCTCCCTGATCAGTTTCTTGGAAGGTAAAGAGAACACTGCATCCTCCCACACCTCAGATCCTGGCACCACCCCACCCGGCTCGGGTGGGAGTTGAGAGCCGGCCCATCCCAGGCTCAGCAGCAGGGGGCTTACCTGCGAACGGACAAAGAGGCAGCACCACACCATGGGGCGCTCTGACCTCATCCACCCGGACTCACCGGCTCCTAACTGCAGTGGAGCCCTGTGCACAGGATTCTCTGAACAGGGCTGAGCATAGTTTCCCTGAAGGAACTCCTCCCCGCCACTTGGGCTGCATGACAGGAAGTGACAGGGGCCATCAGTTACAAGTGTCAGAGGCTGAGAGCCGCACCAGTCAAGAGCTCCCCACCTCTCCTGCTACTGCTGCTTTTGCAGAGCACTCTTTGGGCATTCAAAGGTACACCAGAAGTTCAGTTTCTGACTGACAATCCCCAGCCTGTAAGAGACAAACAGTGCTCACTGGGTCCCCACCAAAAGCAATGTGAAGCATCCCATCGGCTGCAGCGGCTGTGCTGCCTGGAGCTTTGCAGACCCAAACACTGGGGTGAAATAGAAAATAAAGCATCACTAGGAGAAGGGACACTGGGAGGAGAGCTTTGGGTCTTCAAAGAGGAATCAATGATCTACTTGAACTTTACCCAAGAATCAGTAGCCCTGTCCGGGATACAGAGCCCACACTGAGTCGCGGTTCAAAAGCAACTACACACCCATCCGTTTCTTTTTGTCTTATGCAAACCTGGCATCTTCTCTTCAGAGCCCTTTCAAAATAGCTGCTTCTGGAAACCTCCCTTTCAACTTTTGTCATGGATAACAAGAGGTCTTCCTGCTCAGAGCTATTATGGAAATAATTCATGGCTGACATTTCTTGTTTTATGAAGTGGGGATCTCACCAGAATGAACATCTTGCTCCAGTTCCTTGCCTTATAAAAAACCCAGACCTCTTGGGTGAGGTAGACTTGTCTCATAGGAAACTACAAGGTTTCAGATTGAAAACTATGCCTGGCTCACTCCTTCCCCACAAACAAACCAGCACTCTCACCCTCCTTGCACATTGGCAGAAGGTCTCAAACTCAAGGAGACATAACTCCAGTGTAGTTCTCAATTATTTATTTATTTATTTTAGTTATCTAATGGGGTAGTATTTGACTTGCAAAAATCTTCCTAATTACAAATTTTAGCTGTTAAGATTTAGCCCAGGGTTTCCTGGGGCCTTCTTACAAATGCACGGATTTTTAAGAGCCTTCCTCTGTCTCAAGCCTGAGTAAAGTCTGGGGACCCAGCAAAGACAGCAGGTTCATTTGAACAACAAGCTTCCGGTCTAACAGAAGGAGATTAAATCCAAGACTTTTATGAGAAAGCAGGCTCTTTCCATTCACGTTGCCAGAAATTTGCAAAAAGTGCTGAGGGGTCCAGGAAATAAGTGAGCTTGGCAAATGCATTTTCATGGGGACAAAGTCTGAGAAGGGTTCTCAGAGCCAGAGACACATGGGCAGCGTTCTGATGGGTGTTCTAGGCAAAAGAACTGGCAAACTCAACAGCAAGGCAGTGCAGAACTACAGGGTATTTTGGAAGACACCAAGTACTTTAATAGGTCTGGAAGCTGAACTGACAGGCTTGGGTCTTGCTTCAAAAAGTGTGAGGGAATCACACCTGCTTAGAGAAAGGAGGAAGTGAAATCACTGTAAAAAGCCTTACGCCTTTCAGGCAAGCATCTGGGTCACCATGGAGCTAGCACCTGGAAGCACTCGGTAATGAGTGTCAGATCAAATGACAGTGTCCACTGAGAGGTGGGTTTCAGATTGTCCTTGGGATTCCCTATTTCCTAAAGCCTGACTCCCCACAAAGCAAGCTGGTTAAGTGGTGGCTGGTGGAGGGGTAAGGGCAGGTATTCCTAAGGCGTCTTGTTCCAGCCTCCTACACAGGAAGGGTCCTAAATTTGAACAAGCCTGTAAACAACTTGAGATTAGCTAGCTTTGGGGACAATTCAGCCGATGAAGAAAGACAGTGCCCTGGGAAATGCGGGAGGCTCCATCACCCAGCCATTCCTCTCTTGGAGTATTTTCTGACAAGCCACTTCAAGGAGTCCCAGCAGCCAAGGCCAGCCTCACCCCAGTAAGGATTCACTGGAAATGTGAGACGACCAGGGCATTGTACGTTTTATTTCTTTGGAGAGGAGGAAGGAAACATTCACATGAACAAATCCTAGAATGATTCAACCTAACTTCCGGCTGCTGACTGAATGGGAAAGAAGAACTGAAACCCGTGGGCTGCAGCACTTCGTGCAAGAGGTGAAACTTGAGGGGCTCCAGGGCAGGTAGCAGTGGAGCAGGGAGGGGCAGAGAGAGGGCCAACAGATGCCCTGGCAGGGGAAAGGGATGCAAGCCTGCAAAAAGGAAGCAAAAACAGGGCACGGCCGTCTCCTCTGATGCCCTTGCTCTGACCAGAAGCAAGAACTCCCGGATTGAAATGGGTCCATGAAGAAGGCACTTCAAGAGGAGAATTTCAATAGTAAGAGGCTCTGATCCGCAAGGTCCACGTTCATTTTGAGCTTTATAATGGGATATCAAAAGGAACAGGAGTCTTCTCTATGGCATCTAGGATACTACTAAGTATTCAAACATGTTTATGTATTGGTTTTTACATTTTAATAGTAACATAGCATCACTGTCACACATTCGAACCACACAGAAGTATACACATTCAAACCACAAAGAAGTATATAAAGTAAAAAGTGAGTCTTCCCAAAGGCCCTACTTTTTTTTCTATCCCGATCCCATTTGCTGGATGCACTGGTGTTAAAAAGCCAGACGTAGACAGAGGTTCATAAACCCAAAAGGATTTAGGAGCAGGGGTCAGGTACCTGAAAGAAAAGGCCAGGTGGGCACTGGGGCACCACTGAGAGTTTTTGTCTTAGGTCAGTTCCAGCTTTTCGGGTTCCTAAGGGGTTAATCATCCAGGGTGAGCAGACATTCTAATTTTTTCAATAGAAGCCTGAAATTCAGGGTTTTATGTAAAATCTCTCAATTTGTAAATGCTGGCAACTATTCATCACCATAAGAAGTACTGTATGGGCCACATAACACAGTTGCTGGCTACATTTGGCCCAGGGGCCACCAGTTTGCACCCTCTGGTGGTAATCCTTCCAGACATTTCCTTCTGTCTAAAAACACGAGTTGCTGGGTGTAACATCTTATTTTTTTCAAAAATAGAATGATAACATTGTTCTACCACTTGCTTCTTTTTTCATTTAACATCCAGGGCATCTTTCCCTGTCACGCACATTTTTGACCTCTTACTGCAGAGCATGCTATGGTATGGAAGGAAATTAACTCATTTAGCCACCTGCCCTGTGGACATTTAGCAAATACGAAAGATACACTTGAAATGTCACTTCTCATTGTCCATTCCTCTTACCTCTGCCAATGTTGATAACTCATGATGAAAGTGCACCTGTGTGTGGATATTAACATATCATACAGCCACAATTACTGAAACCACAGCGACTAAGGATTTTTTATGTTTTAATATGAGCACTTACCATGTATTTTCCCACGTGATCCTCACAACAGTCCCAAAGTAGGCCTTATTATTATCTTTCTTTTTGCAGATTTAAAAAAACTGAGACTCAAAAAGGTGGTGTACGCCTACCCATGGCACGTGGCCTAGAGGTGGTGAGGTTGGTCAGGAGTGGGGCCTAGCAAGCTTACTTCAGAGCTCCTGCTACAAGCATACAGCCCTCAGAAGACACAGCGAGAAACCTGCTCTGGGATATTCAAGAATCTGACATATTAGAGCACAAACCACTAGAGAAGGATCGCTAACAATGGGACAATTCACTTGCCTCTTGGAATGAAAAGCCTCATTTTAAAGCCCTTCTTCATACTCATCCAACATAAATTCTACATAGATTGGAGAGAAATGTTAAAAGGGGGAAAAAAACCTACAAAATTCTGGGGGCATAGGTTTTCAGGGTATGGTATTTTTCTTTCAGTATATAGAGTTGAATCATATATTTATACACAGGAAACTACCTATAGGGTGCCTACGATGCAAAGATGAACCCTGTTTTCCCACAGCTGGTTAAATAACCAAACTGGTAACAACCCCTCTTGTTGGGCTCTAAAGAGATTAGCACCAAAACTGGGACCTAACTAAGGTGTCACCAAAAGTGTCATGGTATCACTAGAACCAGAACCATGTTTCCTGTGTTCTTGTTCGATATATCTGAGGGTATTTTCTGTTGAGAAGTTCCAAGCAATTTCCTTACCAAAGATATTATAAGGAACATACTCGTCAGGGTTGTGAGAATTTCATTTACATAAAATAAAATATTTAGATTTTAGCAGAATTACTTCTTCATTAAAAGTTGGCAAGCAACGATGATTCTTTCCATTTGAACTTTATCCTGGTTCCTTAATGTCTTTCTTATTTGTACTTAACAAGCCAGAAATGTCACAAAATCTTACAGTTGGAAAGGGAATTTCAAGGTCTTTAAACATACCCCATTTGATACTTCAAATTTTAAAATTCCACAAACTGAATTTAAAAATAGGTAGTAAAAAAATCTCATGGCCAAGGCCGGGCACGATGGCTCATGCCTGTAATCCCAGCACTTTGGGAGGCCGAGGCGGGCAGATCACGAGGTCAGGAGATCAAGATCATCCTGGCTAACGTGGTGAAACCCTGTCTCTACTAAAAATACAAAAAAAAATTAGCCAGGCGTGGTGGCGGGCACCTGTAGTCCCAGCTACTCAGGAGGCTGAGGCAGGAGAATGATGTGAACCTGGGAGGCGGAGCTTGCAGTGAGCCGAGATTGCACCACTGCACTCCAGCCTGGGTGACAGAGCGAGACTCCATCTCAAAAAAAAAAAAAAAAAAAAAAACTCATGGGCCAGTGCAGTGGCTCACACCTGTAATCCCAGTGGTTAGGGAGGCAGAGACATGAGGATGGCTTGAGCCCGGGAGTTCAAGACCTGCCTGGACAACATGGTGAGACCCTATTCTCCATAAAAAGAAAAAAAAAAAGACCAAAAAAAAAAAGGTTGGAAAAAATCTCAAATGGGATGGTAGCCGTGACCAAATTAAAATAATATATTGCACACTGGCTTACCCAAGGTTCCAACATCATAAGATTATTAGTTCTCAGATCTTAGGTTTCTAAGACTGTTGTCAAATTTAGGTAAGACTAAGGAAAAACAAAAATTCAAAAACAAATTCAGGTAACACTAAGGAAAAACAAAATTTGGGTGTTACTAGGTTATCAGGGAGGCATAAAGCACAGCAAGCCAGTGAGAAATAAAAAGAATATCAAATTAGAGCCTGAGAGTTGCTCACAGTCATGCACTTTTATTGAATGTCTTTATCTACTCCTCAAAGCTGGAAGGGTGGTTAATCCAAGTAAAACCTGAACAATTCCTCTGCCTGCTTCACCATGAACTCTAGACAAATGGAGCAGCGGTGTCCAGACACTTTCCCAGGCCAAGGCCTATTGGACTCAAGGTGGTTCAACTCAAGAGACTGTGAACATTTGAAAATGTTGATGCTCTTGGAGAGCCCTGCTTAGTATCCCAGCTCAACAAGATTATAAAATGATGAGAAGAATGTGGGAGCAGACCTGGCTGCTCAAGGTCAAGAATGAATAAATAGAAAAGTCTTCATCTATGGTTTCAACACAGGAACTAAAAATAAATGATGCTGGAACATGGAAGTCTCAACGATTGCTAGTCATGGCTAATCTTGAGTGCTTATCTTACTGGTTTTGTTACAAGCAATCGCCTGAGCTCTGTCTTTATTCTCTCTAAACAAATCTGAACTTTTATAACCAGATTCCTCACATTATTTTGGCAACTGATACATGGGCAGCTATTTTTAAAAGTGAATGCAAAAAAAAAAAAGGAAAGCTGATGTATGCTGTGAAGCAGCCACCGGCCTGGCCGCTGCGGTTCTGCCTCCTTGACTAACACAAGAAGCAAGGGCCACCTGAAGAATTTCTGCATGAAGCACACAGGGGCCGCTTGCAAATAAGCTCATCCAGTTTATTTCTTAGAAACATAAACACCCTGGGTGCAGCTTTTTCAAGAAACTGTCAAGTCTCCTTCCTTACACTGTCAGTTAAAAGTGAAACTCCTGTCTGTGGGTTACTGACCTCTGCACAATTTTTAGGAAGAAAAAAAAGTTTAAAAACTGATTAGCTGATATCTATCAGCCAAAGGGCTTCCTTACTTGGAAATGAGACTTACTATTTGGCATTGCACTGTCAAAGTTGGTTGGAAGTGGAAAATCTGAATATGGGGGTGGGAGGGAGGGGTATTTCTGACACTTACATGAATACTCAGGAGGATTTTTAAAAGTAATCTGCCTAGATCAAAAAACAATGCTTGACACACCGAATTTCCAAGTTAAAAATATATAACAAAAGCAAGAATCATTCTTATTAAAAAGTTTCTCACCATTATTTTGACTTCAGATAACTCTTTAGGGATAATTTCTGGGAAAAACCATCTGGCTGGAATAGTTAACAATAAATTAATATTTGGGCTCTGTGATTTTTGGCTCTGCCATTTACTAGTTGAATGACCTGGTAAGTCACTCTTAATTTCCTTGATCTTTAGTTTCCTTATCTGTAAAACAGGAATGACTCCTTTATCCCTAGCAGGTTGCAGGGAGGATGGTAGGATACTAACTGACATATGTATTTAAAAGCAGAACAGCCTGGGTGCAGTGGCTCACGCCTGTAATCCCAACACTTTGGGAAGCGTAGGCGGAAGGATCAGCTGAGGTCAGGAGTTCAAGACCAGCTTGGCCAAAATGGCAAAACCCCATCTCTACTAAATATATATATATATATATATATATATATATATATATATATATATATATATAAATTAGTTGGGCATGGTGGCGTGTGCCTATAATACCAGCTACTCGGGAAGCTGGGACAGGAGAATCACTTGAACCCAGGAGGCAGAGGTTGCAGTGAGCCAAGATCGTGCCACTCCAGCCTGGGCAACAGAGCAAGACTCCGTCTCAAAAAAAGAAGCAGAACAATGGATGATGGGAACTTTGGGCCATCATACTATTGTTTCTATTTTTGTATAGGTTTTAATTTTTCCATAATAAAATATTTTTTAAAAGACAAAGGCACAGTAATAATTTATTTTTTTTCAAACAGAAGAGGAAATTTTTTGGTGTAACGATGGAAACTGGTTCAAATTTTCCTCCTAGCAAATTGAAAAGCAGTACCAAATCTGAAATCCAGAGTTTGATTTTTCTATCCTGATTTGACTGTCAACTGGGCATCTAAGAAAAAGGTAATAGAAACTAGCAGTTTCCCATTTCCCTTCTTCCTTCCAATAGAGAAAAAAAATGAGAGCATAGTTAAAACTTAAGTCATATTTATTTTTTTAATCTTACAATGCTGACTTCCCTGAAATCCCTGTATCCATCTAGAAAGTTCAAGACTTTTATGAAAATACCCCCAAGAAACCAAGAGATTTAAAAGCATGTGTGTCCCATGACTCAGAGTGTTCATTCTGCCTAAACACCAGTGAAAGTGGTTTTTTGTTTTGTTATGTTTTGGGTGTGTTCATGTGTACATGAAGAATTGGTATTGCCACTTTTTCTCCCTTAATTCAGAATCAGAAAGGAATCACCAAAACACTGGAAAATAGCAAACCAAATGAGACAGGTGGAAAGGGCTTCCAACTCTCACCCAAGGTAACTGGTCCTGGTTGGAAGCTCAGCACCTCCTCCCAGTTAGGGCTCTGCCCTGGAGGCTGTCCCTTTAAGTCAGACTTCCTGGTAAGGCTGAGAGATTTCCGCATGCAGCTTCCTGGAGACCGTATAAGATAAACAATAAACTTTGCAACAAAATCATGGACAATAAGCCCCACGTGGCTGTAACAAGAAGCAATTATAAGCATTGACAATGGCTAGGGCATTTCCAACAGGAATGCAAGTCTGTGATAAACAGGGGAGAAACATGCTACCCCACACCTGCACAAACTAAATGATGTGTAAAAAATAGTTCCTAGCCTCTCATCACATTGAGAACTAGTTGCTTCCAAATTCAGCACTCTTTTTAAAAAAATCATTGTCTAAGAGGAAAGCAGTCAGGCCTTTCTTAAAGCACCACTGCCTATTAGATGAAAGCTGCTGAGGCCCAGCGACACTACGTGTTCCTTACTCCATGAGTCTCTGTGTTACAGGAAAGGGGTCCTGATCCAGACCCCAAGATAGGGTTCTGGGATCTCATGCAAGAAAGAATTCAGGGCAAGTCCAGAGAGTAAAGTGAAAGCAAGTTTATTAGGAAAGTAAAGGAATAAAAGAATGGCTACTCCATAGACGGTTGCCCATTTTTACAGTTATTTCTTGATTATATGTTAAACAAGAGGTGGATGATTCATGCCTCCCCTTTATAGAACATATAGGGTAACTTCCTGACGTTGCCAAGGCGTTTGTAAACTGTCATGGCACTGGTGGGAGTGTAGCAGTGAGAATGACCAGAGGTCACTCTCGTTGCCATCTTGGTTTTGGTGGGATTTAGCCAGATTCTTTACTGCAACCTGTTTTATCAGCAAGGTCTTTATGACCTGTATCTTGTGCTGACCTCCTATCTCATCTTGTGACTTAGAATGCCTTAACTGTCTGGGAATGCAGCCCAGTAGGTCTCAGCCTCATGCTACCCAGCTCCTATTCAAGATGGAGTTGCTCTTGTTCACATGCCTCTGACATAAGGGTCACCCTTTGAGTCTCCTGCAGCTGAACCCCCTACCTGGCTAGCTTTGGGGAATTCCCCAACTCAGGAACCAGAGCCCACATTCTACCAGAGGAGATGAGAGTGCCATACACTTGCTTCCCAGCCTCCCTTGCAGCCACAGCATGAGAACATGAGCAGGCTCAGCCAATCATGTGCTGGGATGCAAAGCGGCAGGGCCGCTGCAGACCCCATTCTGCGAGGGTGGTGGCAGCTTGCAGAGGCAGAGTAAGGGTAGACTGGGTAGCCACAGCCTACAACCAGCATTGGTGGTGCAAGCCATGGCGTCTACACCTACCCAGCAGTGGTAGCAATAGTGTCTTTACAATAACTGTTTGGTGGTATAATTTGGAGTTGTCCCTGTTTCCCTGGTCCTTCCGAAATTCTCTGAGCTACCCTAGACACTGTAATAAATTCATTTTCTGCTTAACTCAGCTGTGTCATCACTCAAGTTCAGCTCACAGGAGGCTTCCCTGACCAGGCTGTCTATAGGACCATGCCTTATACCCCACCATCGTTATTCTCTATCATGATACCCTACTGATTTCCTTCCCACTACTTATCACATCCTGTAACCAATCCACTTCATTATTAACAACAATACGAACCACCATTGACTGGGGGCTTGCTATGTGTCAGATGGTAGGCTAAGCTAATTTAATTCTATGACCACCCTATGAGATAAGTACTTTTATTATCCCTAGTTTATAGATGAGGAAAGAGGCTCAGAAGGGTTAAAAAAAGTTGTCCAATGTGCCAAGCTTGGCAGTAATGGAATAAGGACTGGAGTCTAGGCCTGCAGCACAGGTTCTTACCACAATACTCATTCAGGCAGTGACTGAATACACACTGGCCACAGTGCAGGCACCAAAGCCACAGGACAGCCTGGCTCTCATGGAGCCTGGAGGCTGGTGGTCCAATCTCCCACCTGGTATTCTACCCATCACCCAAAAACCCTTCTTGGGGAAGAAATGCAGACTGACATGTGTAAAGATGAGACCAGCTTCCTTTGTTCAACAGAAATGTGCCCAGCTCTGTGTTCAAAGCATCAGGCATGCAAAAATACCTCAGAAGCTCACAGGCCAGAGGAGACGCAGACCTGTACACAATGCTCACTGCTCAACCTGCTGGTTCCCACAGCCTCGAAGCACTAGGCTGCAGAGGAAGAAGCCAGGGACCATTCTCAGGGTCTCCCCAATGACAGTGCCATTCCAGCTGGTTGTCAGTGATGTATAGGAGTTGCCAGGCTGAGGAGAGGGGGGTCAGCGCAAAGGTGAGAAGTGGGAACAGCAAAGTTCATTCAGGAGGCGAGGAGACAGTCAAGGGGTCTATGGAAGGGACAGGATGCGAAGGCCAGGGATGAGATGCTTGGAGCCAAGGAAGGAGTTCCAACTCCACCCTGCAGGAAATGGGGAACCAGGGCAAGTTTCTCAGCCAGAACAGCTGCATGACCAGATAGAAATTCTTTTTGTCAAGAACAGTGGCCATGGCCATAGAATACAGTACTAGTCAGATGCTTTTCCTATGTATTTTTAAAGTACACAAACATAAATATATTTGCTGAAAGCCAGGAATTGTAATAACAAGAAGTTCCATTTCTATGCTTTCCAACTCCCTCTCCTGGCTGAGTAAGAAGTGAAATAAGTCTGCCCTTCCAACAGAAGGAGTTAAACACAGCCATTCCCTCCTGTAATGTGAAATTACACAGAGCTCTCACATGGATAATTTATGGAGAAAACAAGGAATTCCCCAGCTACTTGATTTTACAACTCCAATCACCCAGATTCCCCCAGTGTGATAACAAGAACCTCACCTCTGGGTTGTGTCATCATTAAAATGAAAAGCTGATTTTTATTTTTTAAAAGAATGTGTGTGGTTGAGCCACAAAGAGCCTCCTGGGTTGGATGAATACCCCGGGAGGGGTGGGAGGAGTCCCCAGAATGACCCTTTGAGGCTGAGAGGGACTCATACTTAGTAACAGGCCCCAGGGAATGCTGTGTTAAGTGTGCAGCCCCAGAGGTCTGGAAATGCCAAGCCAGCCGGGGTGGTGAGGGCATAGCAACCAGAACACAGACCAGAAATAAAGGAAGGCAGTTTAGCACAGAAGTGAGGAATAGGAGTTCTAAGCCAGATAACCTGGGTTCAAATCCCAGTGCTGTCACTTAATGCGTGACCCCTGATCATTTACTTAACTTCCCTGTGCCTCTGTTTCCTCCTCTGGTAAATGGGAACAGTAAGAGGACCCACTGCAAAAAGTTCTTGTGAGAATCAAATAAGTCAAATATGTATCATTGAGCATAGTGCCTGGCACATAGTAAGTAACAATTGCAGTTTCCTAGAGACTATAAGATAAACAAGTAATTTTGCAGCAACATGACGGATAATAAGCCCCCATGTGGCACAACAAAAAGCAATTATAAGTGCTGACAATGGCTAGGGCATTTCCAATAGCAATGCAAATCTGTGTAAATAGCTGTTGCTGATACTACATATAATAATCTTATATAAAAGTATAATATATAACATAAACTTATATTTTAAATATACGATATGTAACATTATATAATATGGTAATAGTGATTTTATTATGATCTGCTTTAACCCAATTTAACAAAGAATTTTTCAACAAAAATGAGGGGTCTGAGGAGGGGAGCCCCAGGATCAGGCACCTAAAGTGTGTTTGTGCAGTATTTCCAACCACCTGGAGGTTCAATGTCAGGGATACCTACCATGGACCACAGAGCCAATCTGCTAGGCCAGAGTCCAGGTGGTACCGCATATGAGCTGCAGAGTTGGGAAAGTCATTTGACCCATAAAAAACAAACAAACAAACAAACAAAAACCTTGATTTCCTCATCTCTGCAAAGGGGATAACAATAGTACTGCCTTCACAGTTTGTGTCAAGCACTGGTGCTCAATTTTACATTTGTTTTTACATAAATATTTCTAACAACCTGTGAATCAAAAATGATTATGATGTCTATTTTATGAATGAGAAAACCTGAGGTTCAGAGACGTTAAGCAATTGCCAGACAGCACACAGCTAGATTGACATGCAGGAAATCTACCCCAAGCCAGCACTCTAAGCCAGCCCTCAATTCTGCAGACACATGCAGCATGAGAAGGATGCACCAAAGCTCTTCAGAGCAGGAGAGTATTAACCAACATGTGTGCTGGAATCACCCTTTAAGAAGGGCACGTGTTTCCCCACTGCAGACCCCAAAGCTTATGGCACCTGTAGGCAGTGAAAAGAAACTCCCCCTTGTTGAGCATCTACTATATACCAGGCACCATGTTGAGTGTCCTGCCACATCATTGCCACCTTATCACCACAGCAACCCTCTGAAGCAAGGACTAGAAGACATTGAGGCTCAGCGAGGTTGGGTTCCTGGCCCATGGTCACAGAGCTTTTCAGTGGCAGCATCCCTACACACATCTGGGTCCGTTCTGCTCCCACTCAGGCTTGCAGACAGGCTCTGAAAACACTCCTTAATGTCCCTTAGGTGCTCCTCTCCCCCTCATTACCTCCCACTTTGAAAGCACAAAGCTGCTTATTTTGCAGCAGGAAAATGACCATGGGGGCTGAGTAGGGCCATGGTGCAAACTACAATTACTGCAGACAACAATTTGCATTCCAGATCTGAAATGTGCTCAGGGCTCCACTTGAGCCCTGTAATCAGCTTAGCCTTTGCCCAAATCTCTCTTGAAATGAAGACATATTAGATGAACTGAGACACAGCAGGGTTTGGAAAATGTGCCTCTGCCCCCCAGTGAACTGCCACCTAAGGAAAAACTGTGCCAAGAAACAGCCAGGGTTGAGTGGGATTTAAGCCCCAGAGAGGTTGAATTCCTCTGCTGCAGAACAAAGAAAACAGCAGCCAGGACAGTAGACAGGCAGGGCCACATGGGTAAAGAATCAAAGGCAGGAAATGCATTACATAACACACGGGCCTCAGTGAGGAGGTGGAATGGCCACCCTTCCCTCCTTATCAGAAATTGCTGTCTTGCCTATGAGTCACATGTCAGGATATAGCGACCTTGCTGCACAGGACAATAAAGGACACCCACAAGGTCAGCAAAAGGCCTACTATGTGCACACTGTGAGAAAAGGGGCATCCTCTGCATTAAAGAGAGACCTCCAGGAGGGCCTATCTAGGACAAAAAGGCTGCAATTTGGGTCCTCTGGATTGGGGAAGAAGGGTCTAGAAAGGAGAGTGAGAGTGGGGGATACCAGAGTTTTTAACCCTGACTGTGGCCTCTTCTACTCATTCTGAACTACAGAAGGATTTGCACTAATTATTTCAGTCCCAAGTGGCTAGAGTCATGGCTCCTGGTTAACTGAAATTTATCACAGCCCAACTTTCTTCTGCTACAGAAAGAAGGGACGGTTTACATGCCAATTTCCATCACCCCAAATCCTGACTAAAGAGCTTCACATGAAATCTCTACTGAGTCGACAGTATCTGCAACCTGAATCTAGACCACCCTAAAAATCGGAATGTTTCTCAAACTTTAATGTGCCCACACATCACCTGGGGATCTCAATGAAATGCAGCTACTGCTTCAGGTCTTGGGTGGAGCCTGAAATTCTGCATATCTAATATGCTTCCGGGTTCTGTTGCCACTAATGTCCCATGGACCACACTTTGAGAACCTTACTAGGGGACATGGAATGACTTAAGCAGAACTCCCCAAAATGTATTTCCTATGTTTCCATAGTCACGGTGACAAGTGGTGACTTCATTCTAAGAGCAAATAAGTAAACTCAAACACTATGTATCTTTAAAATTATTGTTTCCAGGCTCAAAACTTCAGCACTTCTATGTTATTTTATTAGTAGCTAACAGGATGACTGTTCTTGAAGGAAAGCCTTGTGTAGATGCTATTAACTGAGGAAAATCCAGTAGAGCTTCCCTTGGCTGATGTTTCCGGAATAGCCCTAGATCCTCTGAGGTATAAAAAACCTGAAGCCCCAAAGGACAATGCAACTGACAATGCTTTTGCCAGTGCTCTCCCTCACCGATGACCCTCTCCCACTCTTGGGTGGCCAGCCCATTGCAGTGCAGCCACATTCCTGAGTCTGGGTCAACTACCAGCCCCCCCCTCCCACCAGCTGTGGCTGGGATCCTCTTCAGGAGGTCCTCATCAGTCACAGTTGCACCTTCCCAATCTGACAGGTACCTTAATAAAACCATTCATCTAATCCAAAGCATTTTTTTTAATGGCTGGAGTTGGCTGTCCTGTCCCGTTATGCAAACAGTACACAATGAGATGCCGATAGCATCTCTCTACCATTGCCAACACAAACCCTGCCAGGCCAGCAGAAACGAACCCGGTGGCTGTAAGCAACAATAGTTGCATGAGTTTGTTTAAACAAACACAACTAACAACAGGTGAAAATGTTTTGAACTCCTCCTATTGCTAAACCAGAGACTTTTAAGGTTGGTTTCTTCTAGAAATAAAACCAGCGTCAAGCATAAGGAATGAAAGGCAGCTGAAGGGAAACCACCCAGAAAGCAAACTTCGTGTTTCTTCCAGCAACACACACAGAGGCACAGATTTTGGGATAGATTTTTGACGAGAACTACCGATGTTGAATTAATTGAGATACTTGCATTGTCTTTGCCTCAAAGTAAGGATTCTTTCCTAATCTTGTTCACTGCATTTTTTTGACTTTTGCTCTTTGAGTTTGGTAGTGGAAATATTTCTTAATATATTAAAGAAGTTCAGTGCCACTAAATAACATAAAGCAAAAGGAACTTTAGTCTTTAAACCAAAACCCTAAAATATATTTTTTAAATGCATGTAGTAAGTGAAGGGAAATGGGCATTTATTGAGGTAGGGAGATGATGTTCAATACCACGCTCCATGGAGGGCATTTGACAAAGCACATCAGAATGACTAATGAAACCAGATGGGTAAGTCATTTCCTGAGCAACAGGTATCAGGAGAAAAGAAAGAGCGAATCGAGGACAAGTATTTTAGTGGCACATATGCTGCGCCTCTTAGTCACTCTGGATAATGAGATGAGTATATTTTTAAAAGAAGAAAAAAATGACATGACATCAAGACTGGAAGAATAAGGCAGCAGGAGGCTTTATTATGTTTCAAGAACAGCAAATCCGATCCATTTGTACCAATTCTGTAGACCTGAAAAACCTATTCCAGTCTAAACCTCAAGGCTTTTCCCTCCTTGAGAAGTTTGAGAAATTGCTGATGAACTTCCTAATGCCTGGCAGAGGTTCTTCTTAAGAAAAAACACATTAGACTATAATTACACAAGTTCCGTGATGGGAAACATACTGTTGGGTGGAAGTTATTTTTTAAAAGCCACATATCTTTTTGGCCAGGTGCAGTGGCTCACGCTTGTAATCCTAGCACTTTGGGAGGCCGAGACAGGCAGATCACTTAAGCCCAAGAGTTCAAGACTGTCTTGGGCAACATGGCAAAACCCTGTCTCTACAGAAAATACAAAGATTAGCCAGGCATGGTGGCATGTGCCTGCAGTCCCAGCTACTAGGGAGGCTGAGGTGGGAGGATCACCTGAGCCCAGGAGGTCAAGGCTGCAGTGAGCCATGATCGTGCTACTGCACTCCAGCCTGGGTGACAGAGTGAGATCCTGTCTCAAAAAAAAAAAAAAAAAAAAAAAAAAAGCCACATATCTTTTTCCTAAAAAAACCAAATTTGCAATCTGTAGTTATCTGAGTTTCATAATTAAATTAAGGGGAATACACAGGCTGCCATATTAGGTATTTTTCTCTGATTTTTCCAAAGTGATATTCCAAAGTACTGTCCCAAGCAAGCACTCAGAACTCATAAAAATAATGTGCCCAACACAGAGAGGCACCACCATTCAGCTACCTATTAATTCCTTGGAATATGAATCTTTTGGTCCAGGATGATTGCTTTAGAGCCATGATTTTTTTCTTGGCTGAGTACACAGTATCCATTCTTATCAAGGTGCTTTCCTCCCCTCTCAAATATCCAAGTAAGATTTATGGGGTTTTTTTGTTGTTGTTGTTGCTGTTAGAAAAAGAAGACAAAATTCCTCCAAGTTCACTTTTACCAAGTTCTCACATTTGAAACTCCTCCACAAACATATGTGATGCCATATTTTAAAATTCCATCTTAAGTAAGCATGGGATTTAGTCCAATTCATTGCATTTCTGACTTAGATTCATTTCTGTTGCCTGTTGGGGAGGATTTTTATTCTTAAACCTTAAAACCTAAGACTCCACTCAAAATTGCCATTCAAATATTTGTCTTATGACTTCAGCTTTTTGTTCCCTCAAATATAAAATTAATACATGCACCCCATAGAAACGTACGAAAGTCAAAACAAAACAAAAAAAAGTCATGTATAACCTCACTTCCCAAAAGGAAACCATTATTAATATTTCAGCGTATTTTCTTTTAATCCTCTCAAGTGCTTTTTTTCATAGCCCAAATTGTACTGTATATACAATTTTGTTTCCTGCTTCTTAAAACATACCAATAAACATTTTCCCTGAATTAAAACTCTTCCTCAACCTCCCCTTGTCACTTACAACTCATATGAACAAAACCACACTTTACACCAACTGCCTCACATTAGTGGGCATTCACACTTTTTCCACTTTTTTCTGTCATTGTAACTGCTGCAGCACTAAACATTTTCGTGCATAAGTCACATCTCTGGTGACTTCTGTGGGATAGATTCCTAGTCGTGGAATTATTGGGCCAATAAACTTACATATGTTTATGGTTCGTGACATAAATAAACAAACTGCTTTCCAGAAAGATGACCAAGTAACACTACCACTGAACACCTGTGACAGAGTCCATCCTACAGTACCCTCACCAGCATTTTGAGTTATCACTTAAAATGCTAATTCTGAAGCTTTAAAAAATTTCCAATCCTCAGACTGACCTGCTGAGGTCAATGATTTCAACTGTTACCTCATTATCAAAATAATCTTCTTTTATCCTTCCAAACAAGATGTTAATTTGTACCACATCAAAACTGCAAACATGAGAGGAATGTAGTCATTTGTTGCATATTCTCATTGGGCAACTAAGGTGCCATGATTAAGAAGCCAAGAACAGTTAGTTCAGTACCAGTCTGCGGCAGTACACAGAGATGCATGCAAAATAAAGTCAGAACCGAATCTACTGCCAAGCGTCACAAGATACACAAGATCTGAATTACCATCAGTCAACACCTATCAGAAGGAATACATAGAATGTTCAAGAATATATTCAGACTACATTTAAAATTCATTCAATAGCTTTTTGCACAACAAATTTTCTTTCTTCCCTCTAAATTGGTACATCTCTCCATATGCAGCAGGAATGTCTTTTTTATTTAAGGGCACATTTACACAAAGAGCAAATGGTCCAGACTCAGTCTTCCATAACCTAGAGTCTGAATTGATCACTCTATAAAATGGAAAAATGTTTCTTTTCTTTTTTTTTTTTTTTTACTTTTTTTTAGTTTTTAACTTTTTTTGAGACAGTGTCTCACTTTGTCAGCTAGGCTAGAGTGCAGTGACACGATCACAGATCACTGCAGCCTTGACCTCCTGGGCTCAGGTGATCTTCCCATTTCAGCCTGCTGAGTAGCTGGGACCACAGGCGCGTGCCATCACACCTGCCTAATTTTTGTATTTTTTGTAGAGACAGGATTTCACGATGTTACCCAGGCTGGTCTTGAACTCCTGGGCTCAAAAGGGTTCACCCGCCTTGGCCTCCTAAATTGCTAGATTACAGGCTTGAGCCTCCATGTCCCAATGGAAAAATTATTTGTAAAAAGGAAAGTTTTTCTAGTATGCTAGAAATGTTTGGGGATTGATATGGTCTGACTCTGTGTCCCCACCCAAATCTCCTCTCAAATTGTAATCCCCATAATCCCCACATGTACAGAAAGGGTCTGGTGGGAGGTGATTGGATCATGGGGGCAGTTTCCCCAATGCTATTCTCATGACAGTGAGTGAGTTCTCACAAGATCTGATGGTTTTATTAGTGTTTAACAGTTCTTCCTTCACACACTTGCTCTCTTGCCTGCCACCATGTAAGATGTGCCTGCTTTCCCTTCCACTATGATTGTATGTTTCCTGAGGCCTCCCCAGCAATGCAAAACTGTGAGTCAGTTAAACCTCTTTTCTTTATAAACTACCCAGTTTCGGGTATTTCTTTACAGCAGTGTGAAAATGGACTAATACATGGATATAGTCCTCACATTCCCTTCCCAGGATATTTGCCCCACTTCACCAACGTTGTCCACAGCTCCTGCTGAGTGAATATAGCATAATAGTAGTAGTAGCAGGGATGGAGAGAATATTTACTGAGCAGTTACTGAGACGTGACAGCGTGCTGGCAGTCCTCAGAGCCCTCGCTTGCTCTTGGCACCTCCTCTGCCTGGGCTCCCACTTTGGCAGCATTTGAGGAGCCCTTCAGCCCACCACTGCACTGTGGGAGCCCCTTTCTGGGCTGGCCAAGGCTGAAGCCCATTCCCTCAGCTTGCAGGGAGGTGTGGAAGGAGAGTCGCGAGTGGGAACTGGGGCTGCGTGCGGTGCTGGCGGGCCAGCTGGAGTTCCGGGTGGGTGTGGGCTTGGCGGCCCCCGCACTCGGAGCAGCTGCCGGCTCTGCCAGCCCAGGGCAATGAGGGACTTAGCACCCGGGCCAGCGGCTGCGGAGGGTGTACTGGGTCCCCCAGCAGTGCCAGCCCACCAGCGCTGCGCTCGATTTCTCACCAGGCCTTAGTTGCCCTCCCACGGGGCAGGGCTTGGGACCTGCAGCCCGCCGTGCCTGAGCCTCCCACCCACTCCATGGGCTCCTGTGCGGCCCCAGCCTCCCCGACGAGCGCCACCCCCTGCTCCACTGCACCCAGTCCCATCGACCACCCAAGGGCTGAGGAGCGCGAGCACACGGCGCTGGACTGGCAGCCAGCTCCACCTGCAGCCCCGCTGCGGGATCCACTAGGTGAAGCCAGCTGGGCTCCTGAGTCTGGTGGGGAGGTGGAGAGTCTTTATGTCTAGCTCAGGGGTTGTAAACACACCAATCAGCACCCTGTGTCTAGCTCAGGGTTTGTGAATGCACCAATCGACACTCTGTATCTAGCTGCTCTGGTGGAGCCTTGGAGAACCTTTATGTCTAGCTCAGGGATTGTAAATACACCAATTGGCAGTCTGTATCTAGCTCAAGGTTTGTAAACACACCAGTCAGCACCCTGTGTCTAGCTCAGGGTTTGTGAATGCACCAATCGACACTCTGTATCTAGCTACTCTGGTGGGGCCTTGGAGAACCTTTGTGTCCACACTCTGTATCTAACTAATCTGATGGGGACGTGGAGAACCTTTGTGTCTAGCTCAGGGATTGTAAACGCACCAATCAGCGCCCTGTCAAAACAGACCACTCGGCTCTACCAATCAGCAGGATGTGGGTGGGGCCAGATAAGAGAATAAAAGCAGGCTGCCCTAGCCAGCAGCGGCAACCCGCTGGGGTCCCCTTCCACAGTGTGGAAGCTTTGTTCTTTCGCTCTTTGCAATAAATCTTGCTACTGCTCACTCTTTGGGTTCACACTGCTTTTATGAGCTGTAACACTCACCGTGAAGATCTGCAGCTTCACTCCTGAGCCCAGCGAGACTACAAGCCCACCGGGAGGAACGAACAACTCCAGACGCTCTGCCTTAAGAGCTGTAACACTCACCACGAAGGTCTGCAGCTTCACTCCTGAGCCAGCGAGACCACGAACCCACCAGAAGGAAGAAACTCCGAACACATCTGAACATCAGAAGGAACAAACTCCACACGCGCCACCTTAAGAGCTGTAACACTCACCACGAGGGTCCGTGGCTTCATTCTTGAAGTCAGTGAGACCAAGAACCCACCAATTCCAGACACATTACTATGTCACAGACCCAGTGCTAAATACTTGATATGATTATTTAAGTCAATCTTCATAATAACCCTATGAGCTACATATGATTTCAGATGGGGAATCTGAATCTCAGTGAGGCTGATTACTTGCCCAAGCTGGTGAGTGACAGATCCATTTGACCTTGACTCTCTGGCCACAGATGACTGAACCAAGAGGTAGAGAAGCCCTTTTAAGAGCTAGCCAGCTGACTGCCCACCACTTGTGAAGCCCAGTGCAAGAAAGAAAAACTGATCCAATTGAAGTTTTCTTAGGGATTTGGGGATGGGGAACCTGAGACTATGCCATAAGCTGTAGGAGAGCGAGCTGCTGAAAGATCACACTGAGTTGGTCCAGAGCTGGCATCATGACAAGCCCAACAGTGCCACATACAAGGAGGAGACACCGGGAGCAGAACCTATAGGTCAGTAACAAGTGAAGGCAGAGAGAGAAGGGGAATGAAACTGACCCACAAAGAGAAGTCCTAGGTTCCTGCAACTATATATTCTCTTATTAAAAAGCCATTTTCTTGAGGTAATGGAGCAAGTGCCTATTCTTTGCCAAAAACTCTGTCTAAAATATTCACCAAAATATGACAGCAGAGACACTCCCCACTCAGGGTCTGAGCTCTCATCAGCGTCTACCCTGCATAGCAAATTAGCATCACTAGTAACAACCCAACTGTGTGCCTCTTAATAAGATGCAAGTAACCGGCATCCCTTAGGATGTTTTCCTGCCCAAAAGTGTTTAACCTAAAACAAATTAAGTCTTTAGATCCAAATTACCAGATTACAAGAAATATATAGAGCTGAAGAACAAGTTAAATGACATCATAGGGAAGCAGTCAGATAAACCCAACTGTGAGACACATTCCAAAGTTCCATGGGTTTTTTTGAGACAGGGTCTCACTCCATTGCCCAGGCTGGACTGCAGTCGCACAATCACAGCTCACTGCAGCCTCCAACTCCAGAGCTCAAGTGATCCTCCCACCTCAGCTGCCCAAGTAGCTGAGACTACAGGCATGCACCACCAAGCCTGGCTAATTTTTGTATTTTTTGTACAGATAGGTTTCGCCATGTTGCCCAGGCTGGTCTTGAACTCCTAAGCTCAAGCAATCCACCCGCCTTGACCTCCCAAAGTGCTGGGATTACAGGCATGAGCCACTGTGCCCAGCCTCCAAAGTTTCAAAAGACAAATTGGTCTTTTCAAAAACTGGAGGGACGAGGGGAGTATCTGAGAATCAAAAAGGCTTAAGAAACATAACAAAATGAAATCATGGTCCTTGATTGGATAAAAACAAACAAAAAATAAATCCAGCTAGATGCAGTGCATGATCCTTGAATGATTTGGGGGAAACCAGTTATAAAAGACAACTGAGAAAATATGAATATAGATGGAATATTAGAATGTTGGAGAATTATTGATAACTTAGGTTTGATGATGATACTATGATAATGTAGGAAAATGTCCTTATAATTAGGACATATATACTGAAATATTTAGATGTGAAGAATCATAGTATCTGTAATTGTGTTACTTTGGAATGGTTTAGTAAAATAAAGCCAAACTGTATCAACAACTAGAGACAAATACATAAAGCAAATGTTAGGAACTGTTAATTCTAGATGGTGAGTGTTTGATGCACTTATCTTTTAACTTTTCCATATGTTTGAAATTTTTCATAATAAAAAGTTGAAAAATAGCGCACAATAAATAAGAATCATGGAAACCATGTAGAAGACAACACATGAAGGCAGACATCCCTTCTCCCAATAGACCACACTCAATAATGCCTCCTCCCTGCTAGAACAAGTATTGTATATACATCTTCAGTTGAGCCCCAGAGGAAGCTGTTGTTTGTTTTTAGGGGGTAGGCTGCACAAAAAGCCCATGTTAACATCTAGAATCACCATCACTCCAATAGGATAGACAGAGGAAATGACAGAGTCACTCATCTAACTTGTGCTGAGTCATAAGTTTTCTCCCCATCCTCTTTTTAATGAAGTGGTTTAGTTCAACCTGCATAAATTAAATGGACTTCCCTGAAGTCAGAGCTTTACACTTAACACAAATTTTCATCTGTCCATAAAAAAGTAATCAGTCTCATTCCCCCTTTTCTCTAAATGAAATGTTAGGTCGAATCAGCCCTGAGGTACAAAAACACATCATGTAGCAGTATTCTGCTGTATAAGAATGTCTCCTCTTCCCTGAATGTGTATTAACCAAGGGGTCAGGTGCTGGTGGTCCTTGCTGCTGCTACAGCATCTAATACCGCTGGTTTTATTTCCAGCACCACGTGGGAGTTGGCAGTAACAGTCATGCACAAAAAAGCTGGTCCTGGAGTTGTGTTCATTGAGATTTCCAGGGTTGGATGGCAGAGAGAGCCTGAGTGGAGACTGACAAATGCAGGAGGCCCAAAAATCAAGGAAGAAAAGAATTTTAATCTTCACACTTATATAGGGCAGCCCATTTTAAAATGGGCCCCATGCAATCAAGATTAATGATTATTAGTTTTTAGAGACTACTAATTTCAATTACGGAGGAAGAATAAGTTTGTAAGACTTATTCATCTTCGATAATAGAATATATTTTAAGTGATGTTACTTATAATTAAGTGGTTAGTAAGTCAAATGTGTGCACCTAACACAGACAAGAAGGGATGGAAGGAGCAAAAGATACCTAATATTCATGAGGCATCTGGTTACACTAAATATGCATGAGACTTACAAGGCACTAAATATACAGAGGCACTAAGAACACATGAGCACGTAACATACATGAGGCCTTAGCTCGGCTCCCCGTTGAAGATAACCTATTCTAGCCTCATGTGTCTTCTGCCCAAGAGATAAAACAGAAATTAGCCAGCTGTTCATCCAGCTAATTGGCAAACCGCAGTACAGACCAGGCGTACTTGTCCCTGAGTCTCTTTGATAAAGCTAGTGTGTGCCACTGGCCCAGGGCGCCTTTGTCTGTGAGTCTCTTGCTTGAAGTTCAACTCCAGTCCTTGTAGATGCATCGTCAGTCATGAAAGCTGACACTGTACAGAGAGATAGGACATTTGGACATTGCGAAGCCCAGGACTCAGGTAGTGTGGTCCTTCCATCCTGCCTGCACTCTCTGTGAAGTGTGTTAATGGATCCCATCTTTTTCCCCTTGCTTCTAGCTGTGTCTTTCAATTGATTTAACGGGCAGTATGATTTGGGCATTTAAAGGGGGGTGGTATTCGAGCCACAATCCAATCTCGTCCAGTCTATTCAGTGGGCCACACTCACTGTGAAGAGGAAGAAGTTGATGACAGAGAAGAAAATCCAATAACAGGACTTTTACCAACCTCCACGCAAGAGGCTTCAATTCCCATTCCCAGATTCAGACACAGGCAGAAAGAGAAATAAACCTAACACGGAGGAAAGAAAGGGAAGTTTCGGCTTCAGAAAAGGAGGATTTTCTAAATAGGTATGTTCCCTCAGTTCTCGACATCACCATCTCCTCTCATGCTTTCAAATACATAAGGCTCTTTTGGAGGTAGCAAGATCACTACCATGACATTTTTGTGTGTGTAATAAAGGCTACATTTGATTAAAATTAAAAATAAAAATTTCAATGAACAGTCATCAATACGACTAACCACAAAACAATACTGAGACTGATTCTTGGACCACCTTCTGTTTAAAACCCCTGACTGAACCCCAATACTTCCCAACAGTCTAGAAATGGCTTAAGAACACAATTTTCTAGGACCTGCTATTATTTTGATTCATCCCGAGGACTATTATGTTTTATGTCTTGCTGAATAGCTTGCCAAACAGGCTGTTCTTGCTCCCAGAAGAGATTGTCCAGGTTGAAAAAAAATCAATAACTAAATGGACTGCTTCTAACCAAAGATGAAAGAAGAGGAGTTAGGAGTTTTGCCCACATGGAGTCAGACAGGAAAAAATGGAATCAGGATGATTACCTTTTATGATAGGAGGACAGATAGGGAAGAATTTTGTAGGCAGGAATTATTTGTATCTGCTCCAGTGCCTCCTTCTCCTTCTAGAAACTGCCCCTTCTCCCCCATTGTTACTATGGTTACCATAGGAGTCACCATGGTGGTACAGCATAATCCCACTCCCTGGCCACTGCTGATTGGTCCAAGAGTATCCACTTGATCCAAGTTGGACCAATCAGAATCCCTCCCTAGTAATTCTGGCTCTGAGAGAGAGAGAAGGCTGTCTCTCTGTAGATGGCTGTGTTTCAACTGTACTGAGAAATGGAAAAAGTCAGTTGGCCAAGCAAAAGTGCTAAGAGCAGAGAGGAGTCAAGAATCCTCATGGGCTTCCAGTGCCTGGTTCAAGGTACTTCTGAGCCTCCACTGCATTCCACGAAATACTTCCCATACCCCTGTACCTTTAAAAACTCTCCTTAAGCTAATTTGAGTTGAATTCCTGTCACTTGCAACTAGGATTTTGTAATTAACCCAGAAGGCCAAAGTAAAAGCATATTTTACCCTGCATAACTCTGGAACCAAAAAGGGACTAAGCAAGGACTAATCAAAACGATAACTATATAAAATAAACAGGCATCTAGAAACTCAAAAATGCAAATCTGCTCAACTGGCACACAAGCCTACTGTTAACTCCCACAGACCTCACATATGGCCAGAAAAAGAAACGGCTTTGAATCTAAGAATGAGCTCCAATGTTCCTGGCATATTTTTGGTGTCAGCAGGTTGAAGATGACGTGAGCTTTCCCTCACAGGTGTCAGGATCTATACAGCCTGGCTTCTCTACTGCCTGAAGGGAAATGAGACAAGCAGGACTAAGTGGAAACCCAGGTATGGTCGGTTTTGCCTTTATGAGGGGGCAGCTCACATTTAAAAAAAAAAGCATCTGTTAAATACTTATCTTTAGAAAACAGTCATCTCAGGAATAAAGGAACCCTAGTTATATGGAGCTAATATTTTCTGCGCTTACCTACATGAGAGACATTCTTCGGGTCACTTTACACACATAATTACTAAGTCTCTGGTTTTCAGAAAATGGCATTATTTTCCATACCTATTTTGCAGATAAGAGACCCGATGCTCTGAAATGTGTCTGAAGCCCCCAATCTGGCATTCTGACCCCAAAGCATATACCTTTTCACCATCTAAGCATTTGTTATGGCTGCCAAGCACTGTCCACCAAACTCAGACTCTGGGCTGACCAATAAAACTGCTAACCCCAAGGGCGCATGGAAGTAGCCTCTAGACTGACTCTCAGAGAGGTGGGGAGAACTGGGAGAGGAGGTGGGGGCAAACATCTTGAAGCACTGCAGAGCACACCACAGCATGTGCCAGCCCCTTCTGTGTACCCAGATTTCATCAGTCCCCAGAGGCTTAGCCACAGCACATGTTCTGTTTTTGAGGCAGAGTCTCGCTCTGTCGCATAGGCTGGAGTGCACTGGCATGATCTTGGCTCACTGCAACCTCCGCCTCCTGGGTTCAAGCAATTCTCCTGCCTCAGGCTCCCAAGCAGCTGGGGTCCCAGGAGTGTGCCAACACATCTGGCTAATTTTTGTATTTTTAGTAGAGACAGGGTTTTGCCATGTTGGCCAGACTGGTCTCAAACTCCTGATCTCAAGTGATCCACCTGCCTTGGCCTCCCAAAGTGCTGGGATTACAGGCATGAGCCATGATGCCCGGCCCACAGAACATGTTCAATGAAACACCCCGATGTGTTCTAAGACCTGAAACTTTTAATATAAGCCTCCTGTTGCTTGTGGAAGATTGTGATTGTGGAAGGAGTTCTTTTTTAATTATTCTACGTGTATTATTTTGCTAATTATAAAGGCAATACACACTCTCTTTAAAAAATTCAGACTTTATAAAAAATATGTAACTAACACAACAACAGTTCTCTGGGACTTCATCTACTCCATATTGTTGTTCATCAGTGACGAGACTTCTTTCTATGTATATATTAATATATTTTTTCCCCGTAAGAAGGGATCACTTTAGTTTTTATGGTTTTAATGTGCTTTTCTTTAGTTATGGTTTAAATCCTATAAATATATGCTTTACATTATATGCCTCTGCATCAATTGCACTTGTTACAATCATCACATTGTTGAGAACACAGGCTCTGAAACCAGACTGACTGGGTTCAAAAGCTACATCCACTACTTAATTGCTGTGGGTCTTTGGGGATGATTCTGGTAGAAGTTTTCCCATTTGAAAACTGGGGATAATAATAATATTGACTAAATAGTGCTGTAGGGGAATGTGATTACTTGCAAAGTACTAGGAGCAGTAGCTAGCACATTCCAAAGGCTAACAAATGAAATACATTATTATTGCTATTGTTTTTATTACAAGGATCTCTCATTTTACTGCACTTGGCTTTATTGCACTTTGCAGGTGCCACAAACTGAAGGTTTGTGGTAAAACTGCATTGAGCAAATCTATCAGTGCCATTTTTTCCAACAGTATGTGCTCAATTTGCATCTCTGCATCACATTTTGTTCACTCAAAATTCAATAGTTCAAACTTTTTCATTATTACATATCTGTTACGGTGATGTCTGACCAGTCATCTTTGATGTTACTATTGTAATTGTTTTGGGGTGCCACGAACCATCCTCATATAAGATGGTGAGCTTAATCAATAAATGTGTGTGTTCTGACTGCTCTATCAACCAACCATCCCATCTCTCTCCCTCTCCTCAGGCTTCCCTATTCCCTGAGACACACTAATATTGAAATTAGGCCATTCAATAACCCTAGAATGGTCTCTAAGTGTTAAAGTGAAAGGAAGAGTTGCCTATCTCTCACTTTAAGTCAAAAGCTAGAAATGATTAAGCTTAGTGAGGAAGGCATGTCCAAAGTTGAGGCAGGCTGAAAGTTAGGCCTATTGTACCCAACAGCCGAGTTGTAAGTGCAAAGGAAAAGTTCTTGAAGGAAATTGAAAGTGCTACTCCAGTGAACACATAAAAAGATAAGAAAGCAAAACAGCCTTATCGCTAATAGGGGGAAAGTTTGAGTGGTGTGGATAAAAGATCAAACCAGCCACAACATTCCTCTAAGCCAAAGCCTAATCCAGAGCAAGGCCCTAACTCTCTTCAATTCTATGAAGGTGAGAGGAAGATGCAGAAGAAAAGTTTGAAGCTAACAGAGGTTGGTTAGTTCATGAGGTTTAAGGAAAGAAGCTGTCTTCATAACATAAAAGTGCAAGATGAAGCAGCAAGTCCTGATGTAGAAGCTGCAGCAAGCTATCCAGAAGATCTGGCTATGATAATCGACAAAGGTGGTGACACTAAACAACAGATTTTCAATGTAGATGAAAAAGCCTTATCTTGGAAGAAGATGCCAGCTAGAGCTTTCCTAGCTAGAGAGAAGTCAATGCTTGGCTTCAAAGCTTCAAAGGACAGAATGACTTTCTTATTAGGAGCTAAGGCAGTTGGTGACTTTAAGTTGAAGCCAATGCTCATTGACCATTCTGAAAATCCCAGGGCTCTTAAGAATGATGCTAAATCTACTTTGCCTGTGCTCTATAAAGGGAACAACAAAGCCTGGATGGCAGCACATCTGTTTGCAGGATGACTTACTGAATATTTTAAGCCCACTCTTGAGACTTACCGCTCAGAAAAAAAGATTACTTTTAAAATATTACTGCTCACTGACAATGCATCTGGTCACCCGAGAGCTTCGATAGAGCTCTACAAGGAGATTAATGCTGTTTTCATGCCTGCTAACTCAACATCAATTCTGCAGCCCATGGACAGAGGAGTCATTTTGACTTTCAAGTTTGTTATTTAAAAAATACATCTCTTTAGGTCAGGCACAGTGGTTCACAACTGTAATCCCAGCACTTTGGGAGTACAAGGCAGGCGAATCACTTGAGGTCAGGAGTTCAAGACTAGCCTGACCAACACGATAAAACCCCATCTCTACTAAAAATACAAACATTAGCCAGGTGTGGTGGTGGGTGCCTGTAATCCCAGCTACTCGGGAGGCTGAGGCAGGAGAATCACTTGAACCGGGGAGGCAGAGGTGCAGTGAGCCAGGATCGCGCTACTGCACTCCAGCCTGGGCGACAGAGAGAGACTCCGACTCAAAAAAAAAAAAAACCTCTTTGGAAGGCTGAGGCAGGTGGATCACTTGAGGTCAGACGTTCGAGACCAGCCTGGCCACATGGTGAAACCCCATCTCTACTAAAAATACTAAAATTAGCCAGGCATGATGGCGGGCGCCTATAATCCCAGCTACTCGGGCGGCTGAGGCAGAATTGCTTGAACCCGAAAGGTGGAGGTTGCAGGGAGCCGAAATCACTCCACTGCACTCCAGCATGGATGACAGAGCGAGATTCAGTCTCAAAACAAAAAACAAAAACAAAACAAAACAAAAACATCTCTTAAGGCCATAGGTGCCATAGACAGTGTTTCCTCTGGTGGCTGTGGGCAAAGTAAATTGAAAATCTTCTGTAAAGGATTCACCATTCTAGATGCCATTAAGAACATTCACAATTCATGGACAGAGGTCAAAATTCCAACATTAACAGGACTTTGGAAGAAGCTGATTCCAACCCTCATGGATGACATTGAGGGGTTTAAGACTTCCGTGTTGGAAGTCACTGCAGATGTGGTGAAAATAGCAAGAGAACTAGAATTAGAAGTAGAGCCTGAAAATGTGACTGAATTGCTGCAGTCTCATGATAAAGCTTGAACGGATGGGGAGTTGCTTCTTATGGATGAGCAAAGAAAGTGGTTTCTTTTTTTTTTTTTTTTTTTTTTTTGTGAGACAAAGTCTTACTTTTTTGCTCAGGCTGGAATGCAGTGGTGCTATCTCAGGGCACTGCAACCTCTGCCTCCCGGGTACAAGCAATTCTCCTGCCTCAGCCTCCCAAGTAGCTGGGACGACAGGCACCTGCGCAACCATGTCCAGCTAATTTTTGTATTTTTAATAGAGACGGGGTTTCACCATGCTGGCCAGGTTGGCCTTGAACTCCTGACCTCAAGTGATCCACCCACCTCAGCCTCCCAAAGTGCTGGAATTACAGATGTGAGCCACCGCACTCAGCCAAAAAGTAGTTTCTTGAGATAGAATCTACTTGTGGCAAAGATGCTGTGAACATTCTTGAAATGATAACAAAGGATTTAGGATATTCCATAAACTGAATTGATAAAGCAAGCTGCAGGATCTGAGAGGAATGACTGCAATTTTGGAAGTTCTCCTATGGGTTAAATGCATCATATTCTACAGGAAATCTTTCATGAAAGGAAAGAGTCAATCAATGCAGCAAATGTCATTGTTATCTTATTTTAAGAAATTGCCAGGGGTGGAGCCAAGATGGCTGAATAGGAACAGCTCCAGTCTACAGCTCCCAGCATGAGTGATGCAGAAGACGGGTGATTTCTGCGTTTCCAACTGAGGTACTGGGTTCATCTCACTGGGGAGTGTTGGAAAGTGGGTGCAGGACAGTGGATGCAGTTCACCGAGCGTGAGCCGAAGCAGGGTGAGGCATTGCCTCACCCGGGAAGTGCAAGGGGTCAGGGAATTCCCTTTCCTAGTAAAAGAAAGGGGTGACAGATGGCACCTGGAAAATTGGGTCACTCCCACCCTAATACTGAGCTTTTCCAACGGTCTTAGCAAATGGCACACCAGGAGATTATATCCTGTGCCTGGCTTGGAGGGTCCTACGCCCACAGAGACTCGCTCATTGCTAGCACAGCAGTCTGAGATCAAACTGCAAGGCAGCTGCAAGGCAGCAGCAAGGCTGGAGGAGGGGCGCCTGCCATTGCTGATGCTTGAGTAGGTAAACAAAGCAGCCAGGAAGCTCGAACTGGGTGGAGCCCACCACAGCTCAAGGACACCTGCCTGCCTCTGTAGACTCCACCTCTAGGGGCAGGGCATAGCCAAATAAAAGGCAGCAGAATCCTCTGCAGACTTAAATGTCCCTGTCTGACAGCTTTGAAGAGAGTAGTGGTTCTCCCAGCATGCAGCTGGAGATCTGAGAATGGACAGACTGCCTCCTCAAGTGGGTCCCTGACCCCCGAGTAACCTAACTGGGAGGCACCCCCCAGTACGGGCAGACTGACACCTCACACGGCCGGGTACTCCTCTCAGACAAAACTTCCAGAGGAACGATCAGGCAGCAGCATTTGCTGTTCACCAATATCTGCTGTTCTGCAGCCTCCATTGCTGATACCCAGGCAAACAGGGTCTGGAGTGGACCTCCAGCAAACTCCAACAGACCCGCAGCTGAGGGTCCTGACTGTTAGAAGCAAAACTAACAAACAGAAAGGACATCCACACCAAAACCCCATCTGTACGTCACCATCATCAAAGACCAAAGGTAGATAAAACCACAAAGATGGGGAAAAAACAGAGCAGAAAATCTAGAAACTCTAAAAATCAGAGTGCCTCTCCTCCTCCAAAGGAATACAGCTCCTCACCAGCAATGGAACAAAGCTGGATGGAGAATGACTTTGACGAGTTGAGAGAAGAAGGCTTCAGAAGATCAAACTACTCCAAACTAAAGGAGGAAGTTCAAACCCATGGCAAAGAAGTTAAAAACCTTGAAAAAAAATTAGACAAATGGCTAACTAGAATAACCAATGCAGAGAAGTCCTTAAAGGACTGATGGAGCTGAAAACAAAGGCATGAGAACTACGTGATGAATGCACTAGCCTCAGCAGCCGATTCGATCAACTGGAAGAAAGGGTATCAGTGATGGAACATCAAATGAATGAAATGAAGCGAGAAGAAAAGTTTAGAGAAAAAAGAATAAAAAGAAACGAACAAAGCCTCCAAGAAATATGGGAGTATGTGAAAAGACCAATTCTACGTCTGGTTGGTGTACCTGAAAGTGATGGGGAGAATGGAACCAAGTTGAAAAACACTCTGCAGGATATTATCCAGGAGAACTTCCCCAATCTAGCAAGGCAGGCCAACATTCAAATTCAGGAAACACAGACAATGTCACAAAGATACTCCTCGAGAAGAGCAACTCCAAGACACATAATTGTAAGATTCACCAAAGTTGAAATGAAGGAAAAAATGTTAAGGGCAGCCAGAGAGAAAGGTCAGGTTACCCACAAAGGGAAGCCCATCAGACTAACAGCTGATCTCTCCTCAGAAACTCTACAAGCCAGAAGAGAGTGGGGGCCAATATTCGACATTCTTAAAGAAAAGAATTTCCAACCCAGAATTTCATATCCAGCCAAACTAAGCTTCAGAAGTGAAGGAGAAATAAAATCCTTAACAGACAAGCAAATGCTGAGAGATTTTGTCACCACCAGGCCTGCCCTAAAACAGCTCCTGAAGGAAGCACTAAATATGGAAAGGAACAACCAGTACCAGCCACTGCAAAAACATGCCAAATTGTAAAGACCATCGAGGCTAGGAAGAAACTGCATCAACTAACAAGCAAAATAATCAGCTAACATCATGATGAGAGGATCAAATTCACACATAACAATATTAACCTTAAATGTAAATGGGCTAAATGCTCCAATTAAAAGACACAGACTGGCAAATTGGATAAAGACTCAAGACCCATCAGTGTGCTGTATTCAGGAAACCCATCTCACCTGCAGAGACACATATAGGCTCAAAATAAAGGGATGGAGGAAGATCTACCAAGCAAATGGAAAACAAAAAAATGCAGGGGTTGCAATCCTAGTCTCTGATAAAACACACTTTAAACCAACAAAGATCAAAAGAGACAAAGAAGGCCATTACATAATGGTAAAGAGATCAATTCAACAAGAAGAGCTAACTATCCTAAATATATATGCACCCAATACAGGAGCATCCAGATTCATAAAGCAAGTCCTTAGAGACCTAGAAAGAGACTTAGACTGCCACACAATAATAATGGGAGACTTTAACACCCCACTGTCAACATCAGACAGATCAACGAGACAGAAAGTTAACAAGGATATTGAGGAATTGAACTCAGCTCTGCACCAAGCAGACCTAACAGACATCTACAGAACTCTCCACCCCAAATCAACAGAATATACATTCTTCTCAGCACCACACCGCACTTATTCCAAAATTGACCACATAGTTGGAAGTAAAGCACTCCTCAGCAAATGTAAAAGAACAGAAGTTATAACAAACTGTCTCTCAGACCACAGTGCAATCAAACTAGAACTCAGGATTCAGAAACTCACTCAAAACCGCTCAACTACATGGAAACTGAACAACCTGCTCCTGAATGACTACTGGGTACATAACGAAATGAAGGCAGAAATTAACATGTTCTTTGAAACCAACGAGAACAAAGACACAACATACCAGAATCTCTGGGACACATTTAAAGCAGTGTGTAGAGGGAAATTTATAGCACTAAATGCCCACAAGAGAAAGCAGGAAAGATCTAAAATTGACACCCTAACATCACAATTAAAAGAACTAGAGAAGCAAGAGCAAACACATTTAAAAGCTAGCAGAAAGCAAGAAATAACTAAGATCAGAGCAGAACTGAAGGAGATACAGACATAAAAAACCCTTCAAAAAATCAGTGAATCCAGGAGCTGGTTTTTTGAAAAGATCAACAAAATTGATAGACCACTAGCAAGACTAATAAAGAAGAAAAGAGAGAAGAATCAAATAGGTGCAATAAAAAATGATAAAGGGGATATCACCACCGATCCCACAGAAATACAAACTACCATCACAGAATACTATAAACACCTCTACGCAAATAAACTAGAAAATCTAGAAGAAATGGATAAATTCCTCGACACATATTCCCTCCCAAGACTAAACCAGGAAGCAGTTGAATCTCTGAATAGACCAATAACAGGCTCTGAAATTGAGGCAATAATTAATAGCTTACCAACCAAAAAAAGTCCAGGACCAGATGGATTCACAGCCGAATTCTACCAGAGGTACAAGGAGGAGCTGGTACCATTCCTTCTGAAACTATTCCAATCAACAGAAAAAGAGGGACTCCTCCCTAACTCATTTTATGAGGCCAGCATCATCCTGATACCAAAGCCTGGCAGAGACACAACAAAAAAAGAGAATTTAGACCAATATCCCTGATGAACATCGATGCAAATATCCTCAATAAAATACTGGCAAACTGAATCCAGCAGCACATCAAAAAGCTTATCCACCATGATCAAGTGGGCTTCATCCCTGGGATGCAAGGCTGGTTCAACATACGCAAATCAATAAACGTAATCCAGCATAAAAACAGAACCAACGACAAAAACCATATGATTATCTCAATAGATGCAGAAAAGGCCTTTGACAAAATTCAACAGCCCTTCATGCTAAAAACTCTCAATAAATTAGGTATTGATGGGATGTATCTCAAAATAATAAGAGCTATCTATGACAAACCCACAGCCAATATCATACTGAATGGGCAAAAACTGGAAGCATTCCCTTTGAAAACTGGCACAAGACAGGGATGCCCTCTCTCACCACTCCTATTCAACATAGTGTTGGGAAGTTCTGGCCAGGGCAATCAGGCAGGAGAAGGAAATAAAGGCTATTCAATTAGGAAAAGAGGAAGTCAAATTGTCCCTGTTTGCAGATGACATGATTGTATATCTAGAAAACCCCATCGTCTCAGCCCAAAATCTCCTTAAGCTGATAGGCAACTTCAGCAAAGTCTCAGGATACAAAATCAATGTGCAAAAATCACAAGCATTCTTATACACCAATAATAGACAAACAGAGAGCCAAATCATGAGTGAACTCCCATTCACAATTGCTTCAAAGAGAATAAAATACCTAGGAATCCAACTTACAAGGGACGTGAAGGACCTCTTCAAGGAGAACCACAAACCACTGCTCAATGAAATAAAAGAGGACACAAACAAATGGAAGAACATTCCATGCTCATGAGTAGGAAGAATCAATATCGTGAAAATGGCCATACTGCCCAAGGTAATTTATAGATTCAATGCCATCCCCATCAAGCTACCAATGATTTTCTTCACAGAATTGGAAAAAACTACTTTAAAGTTCATATGGAACCAAAAAGGAGCCTGCATTGCCAAGTCAATCCTAAGCCAAAAGAACAAAGCTGGAGGCATCATGCTACCTCACTTCAAACTATACTACAAGGCTACAGTAACCAAAACAGCATGGTACTGGTACCAAAACAGAGATATAGACCAATGGAACAGAACAGAGCCCTCAGAAATAATGCCGCATATCTACAACCATCTGATCTTTGACAAACCTGACAAAAACAAGAAAAGGGGGAACGATTTCCTATTTAATAAATGGTGCTGGGAAAACTGGCTAGCCATATGTAGAAAGCTGAAACTGGATCCCTTCCTTACACCTTATACAAAAATTAATTCAAGATGGATTAAAGACTTAAATGTTAGACCTAAAACTATAAAAACCCTAGAAGAAAACCTAGCAATACCATTCAGGACATAGGCATGGGCAAGGACTTCATGTCTAAAACACCAAAAGCAAGGGCAACAAAAGCCAAAACTGACAAATGGGATCTAATTAAACTAAAGAGCTTCTGCACAGCAAAAGAAACTACCATCAGAGTGAATAGGCAACCTACAGAATGGCAGAAAATTTTTGCAATCTACTCATCTGACAAAAGGCTAATATCCAGAATCTACAATGAACTCAAACAAATTTACAAGAAAAAAAGAAACAACCCCATCAAAAAGTGGGAAAAGATATGAACAGACACTTCTCAAAAGAAGACATTTATGCAGCCAAAAGACACATGAAAAAATGCTCATCATCACTGGCCATCAGAGAAATGCAAATCAAAAGCACAATGAGATACCATCTCACACCAGTTAGAATGGCGATCATTAAAAAGTCAGAAACAACAGGTGCTGGAGAGGATGTGGAGAAATAGGAACACTTTTACACTGTTGGTGGGACTGTAAACTAGTCCAACCATTGTGGAAGTCAGTGTGGCGATTCCTCAGGGATCTAGAACTAGAAATACCATTTGACCCAGCCATCCCATTACTGGGTATATACCCAAAAGATTATAAATCATGCTGCTATAAAGACACATGCACACGTATGTTTATTGCAGCACTATTCACAATAGCAAAGACCTGGAACCAACCCAAATGTCCAACAACAATAGACTGGATTAAGAAAATGTGGCACATACACACCACGGAATACTATGCAGCCATAAAAAGTTATGAGTTCATGTCCTTTGTAGGGACATGGATGAAGCTGGAAACCATCATTCTCAGCAAACTATCGCAAGGACAAAAAACCAAACACGGCATGTTCTCACTCATAGGTGGGAATTGAACAATGAGAACACATGGACACAGGAAGGGGAACATCACACACCGGGGCCTGTTGTGCGGTGGGGGGAGGGGGGATGGATAGCATTAGGAGATATACCTATGTTAAATGACAAGTTAATGGGTGCAGCACACCAACATGGCACATGTATACATATGTAACTAACCTGCACGTTGTGCACATGTACCCTAAAACTTAAAGTATAAAAAAAAAAAGAAAGGAAAGAAAAAAAAGAAAGAAATTGCCACAGCCACCCCAGCCTTCAGTAACCACCACCCTGATCCATCAGCAGCCATCATCATTGAGGCAAGATGATCATTAGCATTTTTTGCATTGAAGTATTTTTAAATTAAGATATATATATTTTAGACATAATGCTATTACACACTTAATAGACTACAGTATAGTGTAAACATAACTTTTATATGCACTGGGAAACCAAAACATCCATGTAACTCACTTTATTGCCCTATTGACTTCATTGTGGTGGTCTGGAACTGAACCAGCAATGTCTCTGGGGTGTGCCTGCACTTTCATAATTTAAAAATATTTGTATATTATTAGTTAGAATGCACAATTTGACTCGGATTACTGGTCCTATGTATTTTCTCTTCTATGCTGCCTATTCTGATCCATTAACTGTTTTCCTATTAGATTTTCAAATTTGTGTTACTGTTTTCCAAGAGTCCTCTGTATGTTAGAGGTTAGTATGAGGTGAATATTGCAAATATTCTCCCCACTTGCAAATAATTTCATACAAAAGAAAAGTTCCAAACAGATGCTGGCCAAGAACATGTGCTTTGGAATGAGGTGAGGTCAGGTTCGAATCCTAGCTTCACCACTTACCTGTTGTGTGACTCTAGGCAAGTTATTCCCTTCTCTAAACCTCTGTGTGGTAGGCAAAATTCTAAGATGGTCCCCAAGATTCCCATCCTCTAGTGTATACACCTTGTATAATCCTCTCCCCTTGGGTGCAATCAGAACCTAGTAATGTCATGGGATATCACCCCCATGATTGGGTAACTAATCATTGGCTTTTAGATCATCAAGAGAGAGATCATCTGAGTGGGCCTAATTTAGTCTGATGAGCCCTTAAAAGGAATTTGGCTCTTCCTCAAGTCAGAGACATCTGAAGCATGAATGGATGTGGTGTGAGGGAGATTCTCCATTGCTGACTTTGAAGATGACATGGCAAGCTCTCTGACAGCGACCCCAAGCTGACAGCCAGCAAGGAAATGAGAACCTCCTGACAACCACAAGGAACTGAATTCTTCCAACAGCCCAAATGAACTTGGAAGAAGACCCCAGGCCTCAGATGAAACTCTAGCCCTGACTGACAGCTTGATTTCAGTCTCAGGAGATCTTGGGCAGAGAACTCACTTACACCATGCCCTAACTTCTAATCCACAGAACTCCAAGCTAGTGAACAACTGCTGTTTAAGCTGCTAAATTTATAATAATTTGTTACTCAGCAGTAGAATATTAAGGTACTGTATTTTCTCATTTATAAAATGAAGATGAGGCTGAAACTATACCCACCTCTTAAGATTTTTCTGAGAAGTAATATATGCGTAAAATGCTCAACACAGTGCCAGGTAAAATGTAAGTGAATGCCAGGGGTTAGATACCTGGGATAAATGAAGTTATTGCTATTGTTTTAGTAATTACCATTACAAAGTTGGGGTAACAAATCATTTTTTCATACATCTAGTAGGGAAGATTAAAAGGTTTAAAATAAAGTCGAAGAGAGTAGAAGGAAATCAAGGTGATGAAAAGTTTAAAAAAGATCTTTTAAAAAGTTCTTCACGTCTAACCTCCTTTGAGGACAAGTAGGTGTCATCAGCCTTGTTTTAAAGAGGTAATATACTCTAACGGCCTGGGAACAGAAAGTCCTGCATTCAAATGCTGACTCTGCCAATTACTACACCTGTACTTTAGGCAAATAGCAGGGGTGGGGCTCTGTTTCCCCATCTTTGGACTGGGAATACATACTATCTACCAGGCGGGACTGCCACAGCCTGGCCTGGGACTGACGTTCAGTCAACAAAAGTAAATGCACAAACTGAGCCTGCAAGAGAAGTGAAAGGCTTGCTGGCTTCTTTTGCAGTGTAGAGATGGTAAAGCCACAATACATACTGACCTGGCCTGGTGTGTTGTGAGCATTAGAGACTCTGTCACTTTACTGAGTTGTGAATTTCAGAGCAACTCTCCATCTGACCTTCAAGAAACATTTGGCTACAATGAGGTTTTGGCAACTTCCTTCTATACACGGAGAATGGAATGGGTCAAGGCAGTGTGGAGAAGGTTGAGGACCTCTTGTCAAAAGACAAGGTTCTAGTCCTGATCTCTCCACTGTGAGTGACCCTTAGGAGTGGGCTCCATTATTTTCTGGCTGTCCAGGAAACAGAGTCCCTTTTGGTAACAACACCAAACTCTTTCTTTGAGCAGCTGCCCCTTCCCCACCTCAAGTGGCTCCAGTGGAGCTACCAGTTACAGAGCCCTGTCCACCTGGCTCCCTGACTATGGAGGGAGGCATGTGACCAAGGCCTGTCTAATCAAAGTACCCCATCTTCTTGACCATAGCGATTGGCCGAGGCATAGCTATGTGACCCAAGCCCAGACAATCAGAGTCCTACACTGGGATTTCATAGATGGATCCTGGAAGCAAATCTCTCTTGCCTCTGGAAATGTGTGGCCATTTATGGTCACCCTGTTCCTTCAAAAACATCCATCTGCAGTAGGAGAAGACAAACCAAGAGAGTGGCAAAGCTGAGAAAAGGAATACACCTGGAAACAGCTGTGCCTGAAGCTTACCCACCTCAGTTTCCCTCAGTCACATAAGCAACCAATTCCCTTTATACTTGAGCTAGTTTTAACTGAGTTTCTATCACTTATAACCCAGAGTCCTGACTAATATACAAGGTCTCATTTTCTTTGTCTAAATATTAAAAGGTCAGGGCTACAATGTCCAAAGTTACTTCTAAGCCCCAGAGTCTAGAAAATCTTCTCAAATGGACTAGACAAAAGTAAAGACCAGGCACTGGAGAAGGAGACAAGACAAAAAGGGCTCTGAAATTTGGTCTGTATTTAATTAAAACCTCAGTTCTGGCACCTAAAACAATGCCTTTCACAGCAGGTCCTGGTTAAGCATTTCCTAGTTAACTTACAGGCAATGGCAGGAGCTGTGTTCCAGAGACTTTCACAGCTCTAGGGTGTGTGTCTTCCTTGAGCCTCAGTGCCTCCACCCCACCCCAACAGGAGGAGCTGCAGCAAATATTTTCACAAGGAAGGGTGGAAATTCTGGACTCTGAGCTCAGCACTGCCCCAACCAGATGGGAGCAGATGTGCAGTGAGTACCTGATGGAGAAGCTGCCTCACAGCGAGACACCCCCCAGGGTTCCTCCTCTCTCAGCCTTCTCATTCCTCCCATTCTGTGAGGTTTTCTCCTACTGTTCCTTCCATGTCCACTCCACCCTAAACCATCCTCTCTGCTTCTCTTGGTGAATGCATCTGCAGCACCTATGGGTCTGGTAAGTGGTGGGCACAGTGCCACACCTTGCTCAGGAGGGTGGGAAAGTCCTGGAGGGTTGGTAACACCCAGGGCCTCTGTCTCCTTAGACAAGCATGGGAACTGAAGGGCAGAATGCACCCTGCAATTAATGAAGATGACAATCCGGGAAAGGGCTAAACCACTTGGTAAGGAGAGGGGATATGTAATATGAGTGTCAATAGCCTTTTCTGAGCCTCTCTACAGCCAAACACTCCAGCATAAAAAAGGAAAAACACAAATGCAACTCCTAATGTCTGAGGACTAATGGAGGTCTGCAGGGAATGTTTCCAGGGAAAACAAAGACGGGGGTGCAATACAACTCACTCAGCAAGACTTTCTTTAAAGTTATTTTGAAATCTCTCTTCTCCCAAAAAGTCTGCTCCTCAGCCACCCAGATCTTGCCTACCAGCTTCTCCCACTGTACCTCTCCTCGAGAGCAATATGGTTCCTTCTTCTCTTGCCTTTTCCAAACCATTTCTCACCATCACCTCGTCCCCCACCCCATCCCCTTAAATTCACAAGTGCCTAGGACATTGGTGAACAAACACTGATCCTTTTTCTTTTTTTTTTTTTTCTTTTCTTTTTTTTTCTTGAGACAAGGTCTCTCTTTGTTGCCCAAGCTAGAGTGCAGAGGTGCAACCATCGCTCCCTGCAGGCTTAAACTCCTGGGCTCAAGTGATCCTCCCACCTCAGCTTCCCTGGTAGCTTGGACTACAGGAATAGGTCATCACGCCCAGCTAATTTTGGGGTTTGTTTCTGTTTTCAGAGACAGGGTCCTGCTTTGTTGCCCAGGCTGGTCTTGAACTCCTGGGCTCAAATGATTCTCCTGCCTCAGCCTCCCAAAGTGCTGGGATTACAGGCATGAGCCACTGCGCCCGGCCTGGATCCCTTTTCTTTGCAAGAGGAATGAAATTGCAAATGCTGATAATACAATGGCTTTCTCCGACACATACATAAATGTGGAAAATTTGCTAGCATAGAGATTCTGAAACCTCCCTTTCTAAATAAAGAAGAAAGCAGAGTGTTCACAAAAAGCACACCCTGCCCTAGAACAGCATGCACATCCTGGCCTAACAGACCTGGGAGTCAGATTTCATTACAGAAGATGTGTCAGCTAGATGATGCCTCACATGTCTTCATCCTGACATTCTGCATCCTTCTCGTTCTTCAATTTTAATTACCATAATGACAATTACAAAGTGTGTCCTGGCTGGGAGTGAGGGTGTTTCCACTTGGTTGGGTTCCCTTCCCCAATCCCCGACCATGTCACTGTGGATTACACTCTGAGGCAAAGAGAGATCAGTTTTGGCCAAGGAGGAATCTGGCCTTTGGCCAGGCCCTGAACTGTCTCCCTCTGGTATATCTTGATGTCAGTTTGTCTAATTTTACCAATAAGCCTCAGGGCCCAGAAGAAATCAAGGCAAGGACAGGAGATCAAGATAAACATCACAAATGGCCTAATCACCTAACTGACAACTTTTGCTGTTTGGGAAAATCTTGTGAGCTAGCTAAGAACTTGAGGGCTGAACCTGAAGTCAACATTGCATTGAACTCTGAAACCCACTTGGTTGCAATTAGCCAGGGGCAGGGTTGGTGTTTTTTTTTTTTTTGTTTGTTTGTTTTCCTGCAGTGAATTATTACTTTTTTTTAAATTTTATTTATTTATTGAGACAGAGTCTTGCTGTGTTGCTCAGATTAGACTCAGACTCCTGGGCTCAAGCAATCCTCCTGCCTAATCTTCCTGAGTCCCTAAGATTACAGGTGTGTGCCACAGTGCCCAGCAAATTAATGTGACTGTTGTGTTAGAGAGATTTGGCAAGGATGGGGCAAACAGAGGGTCACTTAAACCAAGTATGTATCTAACAGGTTCCTTTGAGTAACAAGTTCTATAAACCAGAGTCGTGCTTAAAAATTCACAGAACATTTTTCAAGGGAAAACAGTTGAAGAGGTCTCGTGGCCATAGGTGGGGTAATCAATTGTCCCAGTTAGCCTGGTTCCAGGGAATTTCATGATGTGCAGGACTTTCAGTGCTCAACCCAGGACAGTCCCTGGGCAAACTTGGATGGTTGGTCACTCCACGTGTACCCACAAGCCTTGGCTAATGACCATTGTTGGAGCAGAAGGGGAGCAATACTGAAGGGAGGATGGATAGGGCAAGCACTGAAAACAAAGGCCTTCAAAAAGGCTAACTTGCTCACAAGAGATCTAATTTCTCTATAGTTCAAAATTGACTGTTAATGTCAGCTATTCCAAAGTGCATACAATCTACTTGGTCAACAAGGGATTTCATGATCAATGACTTCGGGAAATGCTACAAACTCCACCAGTTCTCCTTATGGAGTCTCCACGTACATCAACACTTCAAAGGCTCTGAGAAGCCCTGCAGTAGCGAGCATATTTAGTTTAATACACTCAGTATGTCCCAAATAGATCTGACCACACAAGCCTTTTGTACTTAATGGTTATGATCACACAACTGGATACACTTTGAGAAATGGAGATCCTACCCACAAAACCATAAATGACTTAGGAAGTGCATGACTTGCATTCAGTAAGACATGCACATCTATTTCAGAAGTCAACACATTTCTCTTTGTACTCAATAAAAAGCATATTGTAACCTGAGCTAAAATAGTTCCATGATCTATATTTATTTTTAATAAGACACTTGGAGAAAATGACTGAGATCTATACAAGATTTTAAAGTGTGAATAGAACCAGTCAGAACAGTATTAAAAAGACTAAAGACCTGAACTTGAAACGCAATCTAAAGGTAACATGTGGATGGATGCAAGAAAAGTATTTGGTATCAGATGGATGTGAGAAAGGTATTCATTCATTCCATTCATTCATCTGACAAATTAATTAAGCATACATGTGCTAGGCACTGTACTAGGCCCAGAGATACAGTAGTGAACAAGAGAGAAAGACAAGGTTGCTACACTCTTCATGCCTGAGTCTTCCAATCTTAAATTTCAGTAAGGACTAAGCACAATAGTAAGAAACTGCAGGGGTACATAGGAGATTCAGGAACTCAGATTCAGGGGGTGGTCATGAGGGCTTCTTCCAAGAGGAGGTGATGTCAAGGCTGAGACCCAGTGGGTAAAGTGTGTGGGCCCGGAGCAGTGTGTGTAGGAGTGTGGTGCTAGGCAAAGAGAGTGCTCTAGGCAGAAGGAACATGTGCAAAGGCCTGGAAGTGAAAAAGAGCTCAGAGCATTCTCTACAGATGCAAGTTTTGCTCCTGAGATTAGCGCTAGAATTCACTTTAGCACACAGCAGGACCTCCATACACTGTGGCTATTATTATTATTATCATCACTATTATGCTGAGGAAGACAACCTTGCATCAAGAAGTTCAATCTGACCCTTCCTATACCTCTATATCTCCCAAGCAAGGTTGATTGCTTTGTGCTTGGTCAAATTTTATGATTCCTAAAATCTGTTTAAAGCTTACAGACTTCTCCTTCTGGAAAACAAAGCTCCCTGTGAAGGCATAAATCTACAGATTAATAAACTCTACATTTCTGATTTCTTTTTTCCTTCATTGTACACTGGTTCCCTCCAGGTTCCAAAGAAAACAGCCCCAATGCCTGCCTCAGCAACCTTGACACTTCTTAGCTTCTTCACAAGATGCTTCCTGCAGCCCAAGACCCTCAGGGCAGGTGAATGTCAGCAGAAGCTTACTGGGCCACTTGAATTTTTTTTTTTTTTTTTTTTTTAATTTTAGACAGAGTCTCGTTCTGTTGCACAGGCTGGAGTGCAGTGGCATGATCTCAGCTCACCACAACCTCCGTCTCCTGGGCTCAAGTGATCCTCCCACCTCAGCCTCCTGAGTAGCTAGGACTACAGGCACATGCCACCGTGCCCAGCTAATTTTCATATTTTTTTTTGTAGAGTAGCAGCTTCGCCATGTTGCCTAGGCTGGTCTCAAACTCCTAGGCTCAAGCGATCCTCCCACATTGGCCTCCCAAAGTGCTGGGATTACAGACATGAGCTATCACGCCTGGCCACCACTTGGAGTTTTTACTTAACCCACAACCACTGATTCAAGTGTGACTTCCCCAAGTGGTAAAGCACAGATGCGCTCCTGATGGAGACTTTGATTAGTAAAACCAACCCTAACAGCGTCCGTTCTGGAGGCCAGAGCATGTATCCATAATAGGACATTTAACAGCAGGGGCTACCCAGGGCAACACTTACCCCTCTGAAATTCCAGGCTTTAGGAGAGGGAAACATGGGAAAGTTGTTTTGCCGCTGCCGTTTAGGCCTAGAAGAGAAAAGACAATGTATTCATTATTCAGTGGTTGGATATTCAGAGGAAGTCACTGCTTTCAAATGCAGGTTTATCAAAAAGAGAGATGCCTCAAGAAATGGCCCAAACAAGGTGGATGGAGTTTTCAACAGCTCTGCAATCTTCAGCAGCCAAATTCACCCCAAACTCCTTCTCAGTTCCCCAGCAGGAAAGTCCCAGAGTCCCTTAAAATAGCCCTTCATCTGTATAAAGTAAAATAAAATCTAACACGCAACCTGGATGCAATAAAAAAGTCAGACCAGACTCCCAATCTTTGTCTTGAATTTTCACATAGACTCAATTCCCACATGGACACTATCAGGAGATGTATAGCTTCAGCTCAGCCTGGAACTCTCCCTTGTCACACAGACATGCTGGGGAGTTCCAACAAGGGGTACATTTGAGCTCCAGGTTTTTAAAGCAACCATCAACGGGACATTTAGCCCCCGCGTAACAAGCTGAAACTGGTTTCCTCACCTGTTAACCTCTCAACATGAATCAATTTCCTTAGAGGCAGTGGAGGCAGCTTCAAGACAGACCAGCACAAAGAGACTCCAGGCACACCAGAAGCACCTTATTTCTGTCTCCTAATCAAATTTTGTAGCTGCCAATATAACTACAGGAATACCTTTTTCAATATTTTTATGGATAAATTACTCCCCTAAAACATGTGATGTCTGTCAATATGGATATTCAGATTTCATGTTTGCTGAAAAGCATCTCTGAAAAGCATCCACCTTGGACTTTTCCTGGGGCTTTAGTCACTGATGTACCAAAAGGCTGGCCAGGTGCGGTGGCTCACGTCTGTAATCCCAGCACTTTGGGAGGCCGAAACAGGCAGATCACTTGAGGTCAGGAGTTCAAGACCAGCTTGGCAAACATGGTGAAACCCCATCTCTACTAAAAATACAGAAATTAGCCAGGCATGCTGGTGGGCACCTGTGATCACAGCTACTCGGGAGGCTGAGGCAGGAGAATCGCTTGAACCCGGGAGGCAGAGGTTGCGGTGAGCCGAGATTGCACCACTGCACTCAGCCTGGGTGACAGAGCGAGACTCCATCTCAGAAACAAACAAACCCCAAAAGGTTGGTTACACAATAGTCACTTTTACCTTGACCTTTCTGCTGTAATCAGCAATAATGCAAGGCAGAAAGCATGTAGTGACCAGTGTACAGGCTTTGTGGTATGTTAGAGCTGAGTAAAAATCTTGATTGCTCTACCATACAAAAGAGATAAAATACAAGGTAATTACAATAATAGCAGCAACTAACCAATACTGAGCACTTTAAAAAGCATATGCTAATATTTTACATAGTTAATCCCATGACTCTCACCCTGTGAGTTAGGATGCATTATTGTACCCATTTTATAGATAAGAGCACTGACGCCTAGGGATATTAAGTGCTTTGATTCTGATCACACAGATGAAATTGGGATTCTGTTCTTAGTTGTCTGACCTCAAATACCATGGTGTTTATTAGCGCTGTGACTCTGAACACGAGGCTTAATTTCTTGAGCTTTGGTTTTCTTACATGCAAAACAGGGGAAATAATACCCTCTGTGTTGAGTCAAGATGAGATGAGGACTCTAACTCTGGTTCTGTCATTGCTGTTTTTACCAGCTGTCAGCGTGGTGCCCCTGTCCCCCTTTCTCTCTCAACACCTAGCTCCAAGAACAGCATTCAACCCAGGATGCAGGGCTGACACAGAAGAGCCAGGGCAACTCACCAAAACTATGGGAACTCCCACCTGATGTGCCTTTAAACCAGGCCCCCTCCTGCCTCAACCTCCTCTTCACCCACACGTAAGCAATAAAAACCCAGGCTAATAAGATCGCAAGACAGAGAACATGTGGGTGGTTATTTATGTTTCATACCCTTCTCCATTAAGTTACATGTTGGCCTAAGTCCTTCTGAAAATAAATGTCTGTTTTAAAACAAAATTTTTGGATTTCAACAATACTTCTCCCTGGATACCACTCCCTTCCCTCTCAGTCATAACTGGGCTTTGCTTTCCTAACTATTTGATGGAATTCATTGCTTCTAAAGTAACAATATATACCAGAACATTCTGAGTAAATGTGTCTTTATCTTACATGTTGCAATCCACAGAAGATCACACATAATGTCAATTATCACAATAATTAACACAGATTCAATTACAGATGTGCCCAGGACTAAGCACTTTAGGTACTCTAAGTCTCACAATAATCTTATAAGGTAGCTTATTATGTTATAATGTAAATACATGACATACAGACAGCATTATAACAGTGTTATATAACATTTTATACACAATATATTATAATGGCATTACATACATTTAAATAAATAATCTTACATCATAATTTTATATAACATTATGTAATATGATATAGTGGGAACATTGTCACTACTGCATTTTATAGATGAGATAAACTGAGGCTCAGAGAGGTTAAACCACATGCCAGAAGTCACACAGCTATTTGGTGGCCAATTTGGGATTCAAACCCAGATGTGTCTGACTCCAGATCCAGAGGATGCAGTCCCTCTCACATGAAGAGAAGTCCCCCCAAACAGGGCAAAGCATACCCCTGAAAGAAAGCTGCCTGGGGGTTCCTTGTGGGAGGGCAGCAGCTTAGCAGGGCTTCCCACCATCAGGCCTCATAGCCAAAGAAAAAGCATCAGAGCAAATCTGTCCATTCGGGATACTGTTGGGCAACTTAAGTGTCCCTGTCAGCTGGAGAAGCTGCCAGGAGACCTACCGAGAGAAGGGCTGTCCCTAATTGTTAGCTCCCACCTTCCTCTCATCCCACCACCATTCAGGCTTCCGGTCATTCACATTAGCTACAGTCCCTCTTAACAATTCTAGGCCAGGCACAAGACTCATGCCTGTAATCCCAGCATTTTGGGAGGCCAAGGTGGGAGGATCACTTGAAGGCAAGAGTTCAAGACCAGCCTGGGCAACATAGGGAAACACCATCTCCGCTAAAAATAAAAACAAATTAGCTGGGCATTGTGGTGCCTGCCTGTAGTCCCAACCACTTGGGAGGCTGAGGTAGGAAGATTGCTTAAGCCCAGAAGTTTGAGGTTGCAACGAGCTATGATCATATTACTGCCCCCCAGCCTGGGTGACAGAGGGAGACCCTGTCTCTAAAAATAATAACAAATGTTTGAAAATTATATCCTGATACCATAATAGCCTCCTGATAATTTCCTCCTTCTCCCCAGCCAAACACTACCACCCAGGTGGCTTTAATGCACAGATTCAGGGAAGGAGAACCATACTGATGAGAAGGCTTCTTGATGAAGCTGGTGAAGGATCCTAGCAGCATAAAGTGCACCATCACGGAAGCACCAACACCAGGTCCTCACCAAAGGAGGGGCCTCTCAGTCCTGGGTATATTTCTTCTATTGTAGAAGCAGTATTTTGCACAATCAGCAAAAGTCCAAGTGAGAAAATAGCACTTGATGCTGCAGGTTTCCCAGACACAAAGACACTCAGCTGAGCTTCTGAACAAGGCTTGGAGGGCGTGTCTATCGTCTGTGTCCAGCCCTCAGGCTCCTCATGTGAGCAGGCTGTGCATGGTGTACACACATGGTTACAAAGCACAGCCTTCTGTCTAGGCAGCATTTCCCAGTGTCTCACAGATGTCACAAGGATAAGTATGACCACTTCCATAGAGGGATTCACAGGAAAGCCAGGGATGGGTGAGCAGCAAGAGAGAAACTTCCAAGATTGTTGGAGGGGTTGGAGTTGGGGGGCTGCTATTGTGGAGGGAGGTTACAACCTTACAAAAGGTGGGAAAGAAAAGCCACAAGCTCCCCACCCTTGGGAAAGCTCATAATAGAAATGGAGAAATGCCCACAGTAGCAGAGAAAAATCAGCATTCAAGGTTCAGTTAGGGAATGATCTCAAATTCAAGTGTATGTGTCTGGAATCAAACAGAATAAGGTCAGCAGCAATAGGCCTTAGGGTTAGTGCAGAATTTATTTTCCCACCATGTGAAAACAAATGTGACTGTTTCTCGTCACCTTGAGAAGAGGTTTAGCGACCACTTATACAACAGCTTCTTAGTATGGGTTCAGAATTGAACATGTATTTAGACTGCTCCTGCTGTCTGCGCACTGTGTGGGGCTCAGAACATGGTGTTTAGGGAAGAGCCAGCTTGGGGTTCTAATAGTGGCTCCCTCCCTTTCTTGGTGGGGGACTTCAAGCAAGTTCCCTACTCTCTACTCCCTCTGAGCCTCCATTTTCTCATCTGTAAAGTGGGGCTAATAATCCCTTTTCACAAAATTGAAGGAATAAATTCATGTACTAAAAAAAATGGCTAGCAGGGAGTCTGGCACTTAGTAGGTACTCAAATTAGCTATTATCATTATGAGAAGACTCCTTCTTTAACCCAGTAAGGGTAAATGTTAGTTACCATTATCATTGGTGAGGCTCATATTGGAGGGCCAATGAAATTTACATCTCACTCTTAAGGACTGGGTAAAATATACACAAAAGAAAACAAAGGCTTCAATGTGTTATGAATATTTGTTTTAGATAACAACATGGCCACAAATCTGGACCTGAGGTAACCATGAAAAGAGACTTCTCTTTTCTAATTTCCTAACTCCACTTTCCCTTCTCAAAGACTACCACCTTCGTCAGCAAGTTGTATATGTTTTAAATATTTTACTGTCTGAATTCTTAACCCAGAACATCTTGCTAACGAAACTTTTTTCGTCTTTTCTCGTTTTACCTCTCTTTATCCATCAGAACAATTGTAGCATAACTAGAAAAATCAAACAGCTATATTTTTTAAGAGAAATCTGTGCCGAATGTGGTACCACCTGTGCCAGGTATTTTTATTCTGATTGAACCACTTAAGAAGATAATGGCTTCTTTCACTTAAACATCTTTTTAGTTTCTGTTTTTAGGACATAGTTGATGAGAGACTGGCAGGTGTTTAGCCAGGTGAAGACCCAATTCTTTGTGGAGAAGCTCACTGTGAAGAGGTAGTTTGCAGAATAGAAAGCTCATCACTTTGGCCTGTCTCTCTCTTGAACAAAGGGACATCCCAATAACATTTCTATGGCTCAATGAGTCACACTCAGCTTCATTCTACTCATGCCATGGCTGCAACTCCAACTCTTTATTTCCTCATAAATTACGGGAAAAAAGAATCACAGAGGCTGCATGCGGTGGCTCACGCCTGTAATCCCAGCACTTTGGGAGGCCGAGGCAGGCAGATCACCTGAGGTCAGGAGTTTGAGACCAGTCTGGAAAATATGGTGAAACCCCGTCTCTACTAAAAAAATGCAGAAATTACTGTACATGGTGGTGCATGCCTGTAGTCCCAGCTACTTGGGAGGCTGAGGCATGAGAATCACTTGAACCCGGGAGGCACAGGTTGCAGGGAGCCGAGATCGTGCCACTGCACTCCAGCCTGGGTGAAAGAGCAAGACTGTCTCAAAAAAAAAAAAAAAAAAAAAATCACAGAACCTCAGAAATGGTCAGCTGGTACAATTTCTCAGTCACTAGCTGAATCCTCTTTCCAGCAGTCCAGCTGAGAATGGCCCCTTAAAGAGAGCCCTCACCTTTGGAGAATGGGTCTGTACTCTACTCGTGGGAGCTCACCCACTAATTTGTTCACCAATATTATTGAGCAGCTACTACATGTCAGGCATGGTGCCAGACATTAGAGATCAGCAGTGGACAAGAAATTCAGTTCCTGCTTTCATGTCCTCACAGGGCATTCAGATCCACCCTGTTCCCCTCCAAAAAATTACAACATGGCAAATTGCTTTTTTTTAAGTGGTAGTGAGGAGTGCCGCAGGGTCTCGACCAAAGTTTGAGGAGCCAGAAAGACCTCCCAGAGAAAATGAGGCCTCTCTGAGACCTAACAGAGAAGAAGGACTCAACAGGTGATGAGAAAAGGGAAAAGTAGGCCAAGCCAAAGGAAAACCATGCTAAAAAGGCAGAAGGGAAAAGACAAACAAAATAGACATTAAATAGATAAAACTGGCCAAATTCAAAAAGAGGTGGAAAGGACACTAATAAATACTGTTATGAATAGGGTCACATAACTACAGATTAAATAGCAATTAAAATTTAAAGCTTCTCAGTGCTTTGGGTGGCCAAGGAAGGAGGATCGCTTGAGGCCAGGAGTTCCAGACCAGCTTGGGCAACATAGCAAAACCAACTCTACAAAAAAAATTTTTTTTAATTAACCAGGCATGGTAGCATGAGCCTATAATCCCAGCTACTCAGCAGGCTGAGGTGGGAGGACTGCTTGAGCCTAGGAGTTCAAGGCTGCAGTCAGGGATGATAATGTCACTGCACTCTAGTCTGGGCAACCATAAGAAGGCCCCATTTTAACAAATAAATAACGACTACAATAAGAATGTTATCAATAGTTTTATGGCATTAAATTTGAAAACTTAAAGAAAATGCAGAAATCCCTAGGAAAATATAACTTATTAAAACTGTCCCAAGAAGAAATAGAAAGCCTGAATAGCCTTATAATTAATAAAGAAATGAGAGAAAATGTCAGCCCCAGACAGTTTAACTAATGGATTCTACCGAACTTTCCAAAGAAAAAACAAAAACCAGATCATTTCAATCTTATACAAACTTCTATAGAAGATAAAAAGCATCAAGAGTTAAGAGGTAAATAAAGGAGAATATAGCACATGTGAAGAACTGGAAGAAGTATGACAACTTTAATGTTTATTGATAAGGAAGTAGATTAAATGAAACTACATTCTTTTTTTTTTTTTTTTTTTTTGAAACGGAGTCTCGCTCTGTCGCCCAGGCTGGAGTGCAGTGGCACAATCTCGGCTCACTGCAACCTCTGCCTTCCGGGTTCACACCATTCTCTTGCCTCAGCCTCCTGAGTAGCTGGGACTACTGGCACCTGCCACCACGCTTGGCTAATTTTTTGTATTTTTATTAGAGATGTGGTTTCACCGTGTTAGCCAGGATGGTCTCAATCTCCTGACCTCATGATCCACCTGGCTCGGCCTCCCAAAGTGCTGGGATTACAGGTGTGAGCCACTGCGCCTGGCCACTACATTCATTTTTATAGTGGAAGATCATATAGAACTATATGGTAATAAAAAAGCTCAAAAAAAGAAAAAAATGAAAATCCAAGTTATAGGAGATATACATGATATGATATGATATATTATTTAGAAACACACAAAATACTACTCTATTGTTTATAGTCATATATATGTAATAAAAATGTAAAAACTCCAGATGTTAAGACTATTTCAACCGGAGAGGAATGATTACCTCCAGGGAGAGAGGGAAGGTATAGGGCCTGGGTTGGAGCACACAAAATCTGAAGCAAATATGACTAAATGTTGGATGTATAGTGGGTACAGAGATGAATGCTATACAAAGATACAGAATTAGGTCTGTATATGTAGGATGAGGGCCCTGGAAGGGCACAGCCCAACTGTTGACAGTGACTGATTACATAGCTGGGGTGGTATTTAGACAGCATAAATGTGGACATTATCCTTTATATTATGTATTTCTTAGTCTTTTACTATGAAAATATATTGTGGATTTATTGCATATAATGAACATAATGCAGATTATAATAACATATATTAGCTGGTGGGGAAGGAGGCAGAAAGGCATGAGATGAGGCTGGATAGGTGGGCAAGGCTGGACAGGGAAGCAGAGTCAGGGATTTGGCCATAGGGTGATGGGGTTCCACTGAAGCATGGAGTGACATGATGAGATTTGCCTTTTAGAAAGATATCCCTGGCAAGGGAGGGGAAAAGAGAGTCAGGGGTTCAGAGTGAAAGCAGAGATAAGCTGGAGGCTACTGCAGACATCCAGACCCTGTGTGGCCTGTCTCAGGGACACTTTCAAGATTCTGAAGGCAAGGGAGTCATAGGTGTCCACTGAAACTCTTCTCAACCATTCTCCACCCTCTGTCAGCCTTTTTTTTTTTAATTATTATTATTATTATTATTATTTTTTATTGAGACAGAGTTTCACTCTTGCTGCCCAGGCTGGAGTGCAATAGCGCAATCTCTGCTCACTGCAACCTCCACCTCCTGGGTTCAAGTGATTCTCCTACCTCAGCCTCCTGACTAGCTAGGATTACAGGCATGCGCCACCATGCCCGGCTAATTTTGTATTTTTAGTAGAGACAGGATTTCTCCATGTTGGTCAGGTTGGTCTCGAACTCCCGACCTCAAGTGATCTGCCTGCCTCGGCCTCCGAAAGTGCTGGGATTACAGGCATGAGCCACCGCGCCCAGCCTTTTTTTTTTTAAATACAGCATTATTCAATTGAAATATCATGTGAACCACATATGTAATTTAAGTTTTCTATTAGTCATATATATATAGTATATACATACTTATATATAATAATATTATATTATATATTATACAAATTATATATTATATATTATATATTATATATTATATATTGTACATATCATATATTATATAATATTATATTATATATTATATATTATACATATTATATATTATATAATATATTATATATTATACATATTATATATTATATAATATATTATATATTATACATATTATATATTATATAATATATTATATAATATATTAAATATATTACATAATATATAATATAATATATTATATGTATAATATATTACATATTATGTACATTATATAATATATAATATATATTATACATAATATATTTAATTATATATTATATATGTTACATAATATATATTATATAATATATATTATATAATATATAAAATAGCTATTATATATAATACTTATTATATTATATATAACATAATAAACATTATATTATATATAACATATATACTGGTACTATAATTATATATATTATATATACAATTATATATAATATATTATATTATATGATTATATATTACATATTATATAATATATATTATATAATATAATATATATTAATTATATTATTATATAATATATAATGACATATATAATATATAATATAAATATATAATATATAAATAATATATTATATATAATATATTATATATAATATAAAATATATTATATATTATATATATAAAATATATTTTATATTATAGTTTATATATAAAATATATAATATATATTTTTAAATATAAAACATATATATTTAATATATATAAAATATATATAATATATATAATATATATAATATATTATATATTTATTATACATAAAATATATATTGTATATAATATATATAAAACATATATTTTTATATATAATATATATAAAAATATATATTATATAATATATATAAAAATATATATTATATATAATATATAAAAATATATATTATATATAATATATATATAAATATATATATTAATATATAATATTTAAATATATAATATATAAAATATATATAATATATATAATATATAATATATATAAAATATATTTTATATATATATAATATATAATATATATATTTTTTGAGACATGGTCTTACTCCGTTGCCCAGGCTGGAAATGTAGTGGCGTGATGATGGCTCACTGCAGCCTTGAACTCCCCAGCTCAAGTGATACTCCCGCCTCAGCCTCCTAAGACTACAGGCACACACCAGCACAACTAGCTTTTTTTTTTTTCTGTAGAGACGGGGTCTCCCTATGTTGCCCAGGATGGTCTTGAACTCTTGGGCTCAAGCAATCCTCCTGCCTCAGCCTCCCAAAGTGCTAAGATTACAGGTGTGAGCCACCATACCCAGCCTATTAGTCACATTTTAAAAGTAAAAAGGAATAGATAAGTTTAGTTTTAATAGTATAGTTTATTTAACCCAGTATATCCAGATATTATTGAACACATAATCAACAGGAAAAAAGTGTTAGAGATACTTTATTTTTTTTCATACCAAGCCTTCAAAATCCAATGTGTATTTTACACTTATGACACATCTTCATTGGCACCAGCCATGTTTTAAGTGCTCAGTTGTCACATGTGGCATGTGGCCATCATATTGAACAGCACAGTTATAGAAAAATAAGGCATTCCGTTTCCAATAACCTCTGACTGTGAAAATCCACTGCTCCATGTCTTAGCAGTTGGTGACAACCAAAATACATAAATTGAGAACCCCTGCTAAAAACGACGCATTCTCCAAAAGGATGTTAGTGTCCATCTGAATTCAGAAACGCTAAAAGGACAAAATATTTTACAAAGGCTTTAGAGAGGTAGTACTACATCTGTAAATACCAAATCATCTTTAGGTCACAAATGTATAAAGATCTACTTGAACAAAGCAACAAATGAAATTCTTCCCCTAAATAGGTAATATCCCAAACAAATACATGTGCATAGTTTGCAAATAATATAGGACTACCCTATTCAAAACAATTCCAGAATTAACTAGAGACGAGATCGAAATGATTTTTTAAATCCATGAAATTATATTTGTAGTTCCTCTTCTGTAAAACGCTTGTTCAGTTCATTTGCTCATTTATATAAAGAAGTGTTCTTTTTTTCTTATTGATTGATCAATAAGAATTTTTCATATATTCAGGACATAGCATGTAGCAATGTGTCTGGCACATGGCTGGTATTATAATAACCCTATTGAAAAGGTACATATAAGGGCCGGGCGCGGTGGCTCACGCCTGTAATCCCAGCACTTTGGGAGGTCGAAGTGGGCAGACCACAAGGTCAGAAGATCAAGACCATCCTGGCCAACATGGTGAAATCCCATATCTACTAAAAATACAAAAATTAGCTGAGCATGGTGGCTCATGCCTATAATTCCAGCTACTTGGGAGGCTGAGGCAGGAGAATTGCTTGAACCAGGGACCGAGATCGCACCACTGCACTCCAGCCTCGGTGACAGAGTGAGACTCCGTATCAAAAAAAAAAAAGAAAGAAAAAGAAAAGAAAAGGTACATATGAAACGTTCATCAACTAATGGATAAACAAAATGTGATATATCCATACAACAGAATATTATTCAACCATTAAAAAAAGAATGAAGTACTGATACATGCCACACCATGGAAGAATCTTGAAAACATGCAAAGTGAAAGAAGCCAGACACAAGGGATACATATTATATGATTCCATTTATGTGAAATGTCCAGAATAGACAAATCCATAGAGTCAGAAAGTAGATTAGCTCCAGAAGCTGGGGGAAGAGGAGGAATGAGGAGTGACTGCTTAATGAGTACACAGATTCCTTTTGGGGTGATGAAAAGGTTCTGGAATTCGATAGTGGTGATGGGTGCACAACCTTGTGAATGTACTTAATGCCATTGAATTATTATACATTTTTAAATAGTTGAAATGGTAAATATGGTAATGGTTTAAATGGTTGCAATGGTAATATTTTATGTGTATTCTACTACAATTTTTGAAAAGTGAGGGTGAAATAAAAATATTTTCGGGCAAAATAAAAGAAACATATTTAATGGAAAAAATCCACACGGAATAATGATGTGAAATAAAATCCTATTAACTACTCCAGAAGAGAAAATTCAGTAAATAAGCTGAGAAAGCAAGCATTTTAATGTGGCCTGGGATTTGATGGAAGCGGCTTAGTGGTGGAGTTTTATCAGTACTTGTGAGAAATCAGTCCTACAAGTCCATTTCTGAGGCATATATTTACTTGAGTCACTCAACGATGATAAGAACTCCCACACCTTCTGGCTTTCTGCATGTCCTCCCACTCCCACTTCCCCCTCCAACCCCTGCACTGTCTCTGTGCTCAGAGATTCAGCAGCAACAGCTGGTCTGTCTTCTGCTCCCACTTAAGAGCCATTTTGCTGTGTTCCCCTTCTGTATTTTAGCTTCCTGCGAAGCTTGTATCTTTAGAACAACTTTTCATGCGTGCAATCTCCCAGAAGGAGAACTGCAATAGTCACTGTCAGTGCTTCCTGAGTGCTGCCATACAGGGGCGGCTTCGCCCAGTAGTTAAGAGCACAGAAGCTGGAGCCGGCTCTGCAACTCACCACCTGTGTAGCGCTGGACAAGTGACTTAATATCTCTGATTCCTAGTTCCTCCATCTGTAAAATGAAGGTACTAACAAGACCCCCCTCTCACAGGGCTGTTGTGAGGAGTAGAGGAGTTAATATACGTAAAGCTCTTAGTGACTGGAGCACAGAAGGGACCCTGTAAGAGAGCCCTCTTCCAGGGAACCAGCTCTGGAAAGCCAGGGACTATCTGGTTTAGACTCGCTGCTGTCACTGCACTCCTTGCAGCTAATAGGAGCTTAATAAATAATGAGAATGAATTCATGGTGCGGCCCTCAGTAAGTCTGTGGTCACCAATACACAGGGTAGGCTTCCATACACGATGAAAGAACATGAATACAACATATGCACTTCAGAGAGAGACAGAGAAGAACATGCATAGTGGAAGCCATCTCATGGGGTCTTCTAAGCGCCCGGCAGGGACCCCGAAGCAAGCCTGACATGGGGCTGTGGATCTGTATTCACCCCAGTCATCTCCTTTTCCCCAGGCGTCTCTCAGGCCGTGCTGGATCCTTTATAAATAAGCACTTTTGGAACAAAAAGGCCCTCAAATGCCAACCAACTTCTCAGTCTGGTCTGGAGCTGTCCAAATGAACAGCATTGAAGAGGATACCGGCCATGAGGGATTTAATGAGAGATGGACAGTCAGGCCCCAACATGACCCTTTCCCAGGGCTTTTAAGAGCACTTTGGGTTAAGGCCGGGCGCGGTGGCTCACGCCTGAAATTCCAGCACTTTGGGAGGCCGAGGTGGGTGGATCATGAGGTCAGGAGATCGAGACCATCCTGACTAACACAGTAAAACCTCATCTCTACTAAAAATACAAAAAAAAAATTAGTGGGCATGGTGGCGGGCAACTGTAGTCCCAGCTACTCGGGAGGCTGAGGCAGGAGAATGGCGTGAACCCAGGAGGTGGAGCTTGCAGTGAGCTGAGATGGTGCCACTGAACTCCAGCCTGGGCAACAGAGCGAGACTCCATCTCAAAAAATAAAAAAAAATTTTAAAAAGCACTTTGGGTTATACATGATTTTCACCTTACTAACCCCACCTGGTGTGGTTCCCTTGTCTCCTCATCCAGGAGAGAGTATCTGCCCCACAGCACATTCATATCCCAGACACTCCTGAGAGACCTTATCTCATCATAACAAACGCACCAGGACTCCTATCTATTTCCTTATTTCAAGTCCATGGATGGGCCTTGGGTTGCTCATTCACATTTCTGTGTGTTGGTCAGCTACGATAAACACTTCTAGAACCAATTCAGGCCACCACAGGGAGAGAACGGTAACCCAAGGTGGTCAGAAGCATGGGCTCTGCAGTCTCCAAGACCTGGGTTCAAGCCCAAGTCCATCAAATTACTTTGGACAACTTATACAACTTTCCCAGTCTTCAGCTTCCAACTTGAAAATGGATATGATAAGACTTAGACCTCCTAGGGTTGCTTTGAGAAGTAAATAAATAATTCCTATAAAGCACTGCGCCAACTACCTGGTTCACACCAAGTACATAATAAATGTTGGCTTTAAACATTTGCTGAGTGTCTACCATGTGCTAGGCATTATTTTAGGCATAGGGATACAGCAGAGGAAAAAATATAGTTCCTCTTCTCTCAGAGCTTACATTAGAAGGTGATAAATTCTATGGAGAAGGACAAAGCAGGGTAGGGGATCGGGGGTGGTGGGAGTAGCTGATATTTAGTATGGAGTGCCCAGGGCAGGCTTCTCCCTGCAAGAGCCGGAAGCCTGTCTTAGGTGGACAGGATAGCTCATGCAAAGTTCCTGGGGCACGGCTGAGGGGCAGCAAAACCAATATGGCTGGAGTGGGGTAAGCAGTGAGCAAGAGCGGAGAGTCACAGAAGGAGCTGAAACCAGATGGCAAGGGTCTCACAGATTACTGCAAGGTCTCTGGATTTTAGTCCAAGGGAGAGGGGAGGCCACTGGAGGATTCCGAGCAGAAAACAAACCTGACCTAAGTTTTAAAAGGATTGCTGTCAATGTTGTATGGAGACAGAAGCTCCAGGTGGCGAGACGGGGGCAGGGAGGAGGTGAGGAAGTTCCTACAGCAGCCCAGATGAGGGATGGCAGGGACTTGGAACAAGATGGTGGCAGTGGGGGTGGTGAGGAGTAGTGGAATGGTGAACAGTTTTTTTGTTTTTTTTTTTTTGAGATGGAGTCTCGCTCTGTCGCCCAGGCTGGAGTGCAGTGGTGCGATTTTGGCTCACTATAAGCTCCGCCTCCCGGGTTCACACCATTCTCCTGCCTCAGCCTCCCGAGTAGCTGGGACTACAGGCACCCGCCACCACGCCCGGCTAATTTTTTTGTATTTTTAGTAGAGACGGGGTTTCACCGTGTTAGCCAGGCTGGTCTCGATCTCCTGACCTCGTGATCCGCGCGCCTCGGCCTCCCAAAGTGCTGGGATTACAGGCGTGAGCCACCGCGCCTGGCATGATGAACATATTTGAAGGCAGGAATAACACTATCTACTGTGGATTAAGTACAGAAGGTGAAATAAGAGCAGTAAAGGATGCTGCTCTAAAGAAATTTAGCCTGAACAATGGGAAGATAGCAAAGGGCTATGGGAAGAGCAGATTTGGGGACAAAAATCAAGAGCAGACATATAACATTGAAATAGTATGGACCTCCAAATAGAGATGTGGAATTAGCTGCTAAATATAAGGAGACTATTTTCAGAAATCATCAGCTTGCAGACATGAGAAGAGCCCCATGAGGGTAGGAGGAAAACCAAGAGAGGGACAACGCGGAGGCCAAGTGAAGACAGTGCTTCAAAGAGGGAGACTCTACTATTTCACCAAGCAGGAGGATGGAGAGGTGCCCACCAAATTTGGCAAAGCAGAGACCCCTGGTGACTTGACAAGAAAACATTAGTGAAATGGAGAAAGAGAGCTTAGAGATACTTGTCCAAAGATACCTAAGAAGCATTATTCATATAAAATACAAATTGACAGAGAGCTTAGGTATTGGTCAGTCCACCGAAGTCATTAAAATATGAGCTCCAACCAGACTAGGCAAGATAGCGAAAGCCTGTCTCTACAAAAAATAAAAAAATTAGACAGTTGTGGTGGTGCATACCTGTAGTTCCAGCTACTTGGGAGGCTGAGGTGGGAGAATTGCTTGTGCCCAGGAGGTGGAGGTTGCAGTGAGCTATGATCGCACCACTGCACTCCAGCCTGGGCGACAGATCAAGACTCTGTCTCCAATATATGTATATATTGAGCTCCCTGAGAACAGCCACTTCATTATCTTTTTAACATTTTATCCCCACCCTCTAGACATATGGTAGATGCTCAATAACTATTTGTAAGACTTTTTTGAACTTTCTTGACATCTGCAGCCAAATGGTACAGGCCAATGGGAAATTTCCATCCCTAACAGTATGGTGTGGGAGACAATGAGGAATATAATATACTAGTTATATAAATATCGAATTTTTCATGCTCTTCCCTTAACTAAAGAAACTAAAATTAATACTACTTGGTATTTCTTCAGCATACACACACAAAAAAAGTGTTTCCCAGTTACTACCTCATTTGGCATTCTCATCTGCATCATCAGCGGATAGATGGCAGCACCAAGCTTTCAAACACCTAAGCTCACTGTCAGCTGGTCTAATTAGCAAAAATTACAGAACATTTTTGAAGGGATGTTTTGTAAGAGGTCTTCTGGAAATCTAATTTAAGAAAATCAGTTTTCCATATTCAAAGTGCTGACCCGCAAATGTTTCTGAAGTGTCCAGAAGTTGCTTTTAAAAGCAAAGGGATCGTTCTCCCTCTCCCCTCCCCCTGCCCCCCACATCCATCTGAATCATCGCACGTTTTCAATGGCAAAGGCTTCATTACATCCTAAGGAAATCCACATCCTGCACCTCCAGGTCACAGCCTGGCAGAGAGCAGCCTCACGTCCCTCCGGAAAGGATAATTAGTTTTCTACCCTTTAATCAAGGAGCAGCAGATTGTTATTTTTCTAAAGTTTTGCCTGGGGAGAGCCTGTTCTTTCCCGAGAGTGTATTTTTCTAACCAGGACTCCTTGTTTGTGCTCTGCCTTCCCACGCACCGACACTGAGGGCCCCTCCTCCTTGTTTGAAATAAGACCAAAGCTCTCCACTGATGAGACGGATGTGGGATCAGGTCATGGGCTCCCTAACTCATCAGCACCACTGCCCATTATCATATGGACTGGGGGTACCCTCAATCTCTCTGTCATAGAGAACGTTGTCAAGGGTTCACTGTTTAAAAAGAACCAGTTCTGGCTGAGTGCGGTGGCTCACACCTGTAATCCCATCACTCTGGGAGGCCGAGGCAGGCGGATCATTTGAGGTCAGGAGTATGAGACTAGCTTGGCCAACATGGTGAAATTCCGTCTCTACTAAAAATTCAAAAATTAGCCGAGCGTGGTGGTGCTCACCTGTAGTCCCAGCTACTCGGGAGGCTGAGGCAGGGGAATCGCTTGAACCCAGGAGGTGGAGGTTGCAGTGAGCCAAGATTGCACCACAGCACTCCAGCCTGGGCAACAGAGCAAGACTCTGTCTCAAAAAATAATAATAATAATAAATAAAAAATAAAGAACCAGTGCTTACAGAGGGCTCACTGTGTCATAGCCAGACACTGTTCTGAATGCTAAATAAATACTAACTCATTTTGTCCTCAAAAAACTTTTATGAGTAGATATATTTGTTACTCCCACTTTACAGGTGAAAAAACTGAGGCTCAGACAGGTTAAGTGACTTGCCCAAAATCACACAGCTAGTAGGCATCAGAGTGGGATTCAAACCCAGGCAATCTGGCTCTAGAGTTGATGAACAGAGAAACAGATGTTAAAACCATTGCAGAAGCAGCCACAACAGAGGAAAGGAGATGGAAACTCAAACACTTACTATGTACCAGGCGCAGAGCCAATACTGAGTTGGTTCTCTTTACATGAAGTATAACAGGACTTAAAAAAAAATAATAAAAACAATAAAGATCAGAGATTAGTCTTATTCACTGGTTTTTCTACATCTGCAAATAAAAATATCCATGGAGATTAATGGTAAACTTTTCTGTGTGCATATTATACTTTTAATAGAAGGGTAATTTCAATTTAAAACATTTAATGGCTCAGTTTTCTTAACATTTTAAAGAGATTTCGATCAAATAATCAACGCTTAGAAGGTGTTTTTTGTTGTTGTTGTTGAGACAGAGTCTTGCTCTGTTGCCCAGGCTGGAGTGCAGTGGCGCAATCTTGGCTCACTGCAACCTCCACCTCCTGCGTTCAAGCAATTCTTCTGTCTCAGCCTCCCGAGTACCTGGGATTACAGGCGACCACCACCACACCTGGCTAATTTTTGTATTTTTTAGTAGAGACGGGGTTTCGTCATGTTGGCCAAGCTGGTCTTGGACTCCTGACCTCAAGTGATCTGCCGGCCTCGGCCTCCCAGAGTGCTGGGATTACAGGTGTGAGCCACTGCATCCGGTCAATTCATGTTTTTCAAATCCTAGAAAACTCTTTACTCAAAAATTATATCTCTAGATACCATACTTTACTAGTTTCTATCAAACAGGTACTCCGTAAGGGCTTCTTGCCCTGGGAGGAGCAGAAGAAAGTCTTTATATTTTATTCAATACTATATTGATCAGAAACTAATAAATCCATATGTAGGTGGCCCAACCCCTCCAAAATGAACATTGCAATCTTAAAAGTGGGTCCTCAGATATGGGCATTTATAATAAATGTTCTGTTGATCCTAACAGTTTAAAATGCCAAAAATTCTTAAATTAGCCAGCATTGCTTAAAGCAGTTTATTGACTCCAATACAGGACCCACCACAGTCTCCAAGGTAATTAGATGCTCCATAAATGCTGTTTTTGGCAGTGACTGGGGCCACACATAAAAACATGTTTATTCCCAAACTGTCAGTGAAATGTGGGAGTGGAACTGCGTCAGGCTTGTTAGAGCTCATGTGGTAGAAAGGAAGGTAATGTCAAGGCCACTGATTTCAGCACTGCACCAAACAGCAAGCCACCATGCTGAATCCTGGCAGACCTCAATGACGGCTAAAAAAAGGGAGTGGCGGGTATGAGGTAATTCTGAGTAAAAGAGGGTAATATTAGTACTATTTTCATACTACTACTACTATTCGTACTGTGCTTTTTATGAGGATTAACTCATTTAATCCTCACAGGGGCCCTGTGGAATAAGGGCTGTAACAGATGAGGAAGCTGTGGCACTGAGAGCTTAGATTTAGAAATGCCTCACAGCTACTAAAGGGTAAGGCCAGACAGTCCAATTCCAGGATCCTGCCCCAGAGCTCCACCAAGTTGCATCAAGATTTTTCTGGCTGCCTAATCCACAAGAGCCACAAACTGGGGCGAGAAAAATGACTGTAATTATCAGCTACGTGCTACTTACCAAATATTTCTATCAAACATGGTCCATCTAAAGCACAGGGCAGAGCAAGCCCCATTCTCTTGGGCCCCTCACTAACTCTCAGCTCACCAGATGGGCTCCTGGGAACAGGGCCAGCACTTGCATCAGCATTGCCATGCTGCCGCCATGGCAACCACACTTTATGACCCAGGCAAAGATGCTCTTCCCACTCACTCGGGAGCCCTGATTCTGGGATGCAGCCCTTGGAGAGACATGTCCTTTTACCTGCCCCCAACTTGCTCAAAGTCTTTATAATAATGGGAACCGATGGGAGGTTCCCCAGGTCCCTGGACACATCTGGACCAGGCCAATAAATACACAGGCTGACAGGGAGATGGGGCTCATGGAGAGATGGTGCAGAGAAATGGAGATTTGCAAAGTGAACAGCTAACATCTCCAGGGGACTTGGTGCCTGGCAGGGCTGGAATTGAGTTCCAGCTGGCTATCTTGTGGCCCTAAGCAAATGGGTTCGGCCTCTAGGAATCCATGTCTTAGACTATGAAAAATAGGAATAATATTAGGTTTTACACCTCACAGAGCTGTTGTGAGGTTTAAGTAAACTCAAGCACACAAAGTACATAGAGAGTAGAAACTGGCTGTGACTATCACTAAGGCAATGGTGCTGGGACTGTCAAAAGAGCAGAAGCCCCTCAGCCTCCCGTCACTGCCCTTCCAGCTCAACAGCCTGACAGTAGAGACAAAAAGCAATCCTGTCAACAGACCAGACAAGGCCAACAGATCCATATACACCCTGCTGAGCACAGGGAGACATGCCAGCATTCAGTGGGGACCCCAGGTGCGGTCACCCCCGCCCCGTACTAGGCTACATGGCTTCTCTGAAAAGATAAATTTATCAAAATAAGCCTACTACCTTTATTTGACAAAGATGTCACTGGACAAAACACCTTTTAACACATGAAAACCATGAATGAACCTTCAGAAGTCTTTAAAGTCAAATGGATAGCACTCAAAAATTTCTAGAAGATTCTGGAATTATCATTCCCATACTGTCAGCAGTGGTGATTTCTCAAGGTTAGGATTGATCCGGGGAACTTGCATGTGCCATGTCACACGTTCCTACACTGTCTAAAATTTTATGACATGTACATTTTTGTAATAAGAAAATTTTAGTTTATTTGAAAAAGAAAACTGAAATGCTTTGCCATAACATAGCTCACAAAATAAAAAACCCAATCAATCAATAAACAAACAAAAAGTACTCACCCTCCCTACTAACTAGCCAAATGGAAATTTAAATAAGTTAGCATGTTTATATTTCAAATTAGCAACTTCTATATGGGCATATCAAATGCAAGAAAGAATGTGGAGAAAACAGGCACTGTGCTTCACAACTATAAATGTATATATTGACGTGAAATTTCCACAGGGTAATTTGACATCATTTTCCAAGAGCATTAAAATGACCCAAAAGTTCATCCTAACGATAATTAATTGGACAAAATAACCACAAACATGGGCCTAGCAATAAGGGTACAGCTCCTAACATTGCCAGAGAGGGAGAAGCTAGACAGAGCTCACACAGCCAACAATAGGAACCAGTTATTAAGAAAGCCCCTTGAGGCTGGGTACAGTGGCTCACACCTATAATCCCAGCACTTTGGTAGACTAAGGCTGGAGGATCACCTCTGGCCAGGAGTTCAAGACCAGACTGGACAAGAAAGTGAGCCCTCACCTCTACAAAAAATAAAAAAATTAGCCGGCCATAGTGGCATGCACCTGTAGTCCCAACTACTTGGAAGACTGAGGTGGGAGGATGGCTTGAGCCCAGAGCCCAGGCTGCAGTGAACTATGATTGCACCATTGTACTCCAGCCTGGGCAACACAGTGAGACCTTACCTCTAAAAGAAAGAAAGCTCCTTGAAAATTTCTACATATCCAATAAGGTAGCAGCAAAAAGACTTACTTATTCCACATTGTGAAAATATGGAATTATCTGGATTTGGCACCTTTAATTGCATGCTTTCATTCCACACTCATCCCATTTTGCAACTGAGTAAACTGAGACCCAGATATATTCAACTGTTTGCCCTGCAGTGGTTGGGACAGGTTCACAGTGTTATTTGCCATTGCATCCGTGGTAGGGCCAAGCTCGTTCCTGCTGCCACAGGAGGCCCAAGCCAGGGGCAGAGGCATCTCTTCAAAATCCTCTTCCCCCAAGATGCCACACCTTCCCAAGGGCTCTCAGCCCTGTCCAGCTGCCACAGGCAGCCAGAGACAAGGCACAGGCCCAGGAATAAAGCCGGGGTCTGTGAGCAAGGCCCTCACTAGGAATAAAGTAGGCCCCCTCCAAAGAAGGTCTGGTCCACATCACGACTGCAGGTGGTGCTTATCCTAGATCGCCTCTCAGCCCATGGCAACGCTGGGGCTCAGAGAGGTCAGCTT